>NC_000009.12:132927820-133241638 GCF_000001405.40 Homo sapiens
GGCCCTTTATTGCTTTTTTAATTACAAAAAATAATCCATATCTACTGTTAAACATTCAGGCTATGTAAAAGTACATAAAATAAAAATGAAAGTGCTCCTCACCACCTGCCTCCCAACCCACTCTTCACAGATAAACACCCTTAAGTTTAGAGTGTGTCTCTTCAAACCCTTTTCTACTTGTATAACCACACGCACACAGCCCTCATGTCCACAGACACAGACACAGTTTGTGCATGTGTGTGTTTTTTCCACTGAACAGTATGTTGTAACCACCTTCCCACGTCAGCATCTATGGCCTATTTCATTTCTTTCCGTCCTCCTAGTGTTCCACTGCATGGCTCTACATAACTAATTTAACCATTCACCTACTGAAGGATACTTGGGTTTTTCCAATTCTTCACTGTATTTCACTCAAAGCTGTAATAAGATACAGATTCTTATAAATGGCCCAAATGGTATGTGTTTTAAAATTGATGACTGATGCTCCAAAAGGCTGAACATCAATTCATATTCCTGCTAACAGTGCCCATTTCTATATTCAATATTTAATTTTGCCAACCTGGTAAGCAAAAAAGGGTACTATTTAAATTTGTATTTCTCATATTAAAAAGAGGTTAAGCACTTTTCATATTAAAAACCACATATATGATTTACAGTTAAAGCAACATCTGGAATTTGCTTTAAAATATTTGGAGGGTGGGAGAGTCAGGGAGGAAAGAATTTGAAACTGGATTCATGGGGTTCACTGCATGATTCTTACTTCATGTGTGTGCATACTTGAGTATTTCCATAATTGAAAGTTTAAAACACATATAGATACTCTCTTTGGGTGTTTAAAAAACTTTTCAGAAGATGAAAACTAAAATGTATCAGCAGGATTCTAGTGGCTCTAAAGTCAATCTCTTCTTTCTAGAAGATAAGCTAAAAAGGATATTATTTTGCTAACCAGAATTGAGGTTCTCTTTAAAGACAGCTGTCACGTCGTCCCGCACACCCAGCATGGGGGAGTCCAGCATGGCAAGAAGCTCCCCGACATTTGCTTGTTGGGCCATTCTCTCGCTCGAAGGCGCTGTGCTGGCTCCAGGACGTGTGCTACAGGTTCTGAAGGTTCTTCATTGGGGCCACTACCAAACTGAGAAAAAGGAAGATGAACAGTCACTAAATGGCCCCATTTTTCTCCATAAAAAAAGAAAATACCTGCAAGACAAACTAATGCACGTGTTCAATGCAATGGAAAGTTTGGCCAGAATTCTCTGATTCAAACAGTGAGTACATTTAGCTGATAAAAGAAGATAAAGTGTATGAATAATTCTTTGGCGAGTTTATGAAGAGGGTTTCTACAAAATATAACAATCAGAAAGAAACCTTAAAAACTGATACCAGTCACAGCAACTTAATGATAGGATCAAATCTAAGTTTTATTCCTACTTCTGATTCTACCTTGGGTTTTGGCTAAGACCACATTTATATTTCAAATTATTGATCTAAAAAGCAGACAGTCTTTTTTCAGCAAAAGAACTAAATACATACTATTTCCTTCTTGACAGTCTCATCAATGGCTAAGAGTTAGTATAGCTGGTTAGGTCACAAGTCTGTTAAGTCCAACATCTAGCATAAACTGGGGATCATTTCTCTGTTTTAGCATATACCTCTCATCTGAGACATCTAATTGCACACCCAAATACCACTGGCTACAGGGAGGTATCCATAGATGGGATCATCAGGGCAAATCTTCAAAAACTCACCCTTCAAAACCCAAGCTCTCTATGGTAGTAGAGCAGCTGCTTTATCTTGATATACAAAAAGCAGCTCATTCCCAAGTGTAACTATACACATTTACGATTTCTCCCCCACTTTGATCTCTGAGGCTATATTTGTTAAAACAAGTAACAACAGTTATCATTCATAAGCACTGTACACCTTTCACAAACATCATTGTATATACTCCTAATATGACCACCATGTAATTGGCACTTTTGTCCCCATTGTACAGGGAGCAGAATGGAGATCAAGCCATTTGTTCTGGGTCACAAAGCTAGCAAGAGGCAAAACCAGAGGAGAAAAACTGATATTGGAAGCTAGGTATGCCCGACTCCAAAGCCCCAAGCCCTTAAGTGTCACACTAAGCTAACCTGTGGTTTTGATCATCACAGCAAGTCTGTGATGTGATGTGATGTGGTGTGAGCAGGTATCATCCTTATTTTACACATGGGGATATGCATGCCCAAAAAGGATAACACTTCCTTTTCTTTCAGTAAGTGTAAGTAGCAGTTCTTAAGCTTCAATGTGCATCGAAACCACCTGGGATACTTGCTAGAAATGCAATACCTGGGCCCCTTCCAAAACTGTATTTTGGGCTCAGGAATCTATATTTTAATAAGCACTCCAGGTAATTCTTAAAGTGAGACACAAATTATTTTTGAGAAACACTATGATAAAGAAAAATCCAACTAAAGAGTTAAGCTGAGGCCGGATGTAGTGGCTGAGGCCAGGCATGGTGGCTCACGCTTGTAATCCCAGCATAATGGGAGGCCGAGGCAGGCAGATCACCTAAGGTCAAGAGTTCGAGACCAACCTGGCCAACATGGTGAAGCCCCGTCTCTACTAAAAATACAAAAATTAGCTGGTGTGGTGGCGTGTGCCTGTAGTCCCACCTACTCAGGAGGCTGAGGCAGGAGAATCACTTGAGCCTGGGAGACGGAGGTTGCAGTGAGTCAAGGTCATGCCACTGCACTCTAGCCTGGGCAACAAAGCAAGACTCTGCCTCAAAAAAAAAAAAAAAAAAAAAAAAAGAGAGAGATAAGCTCCTTCTGCAAGAATGCCAAATTTAAATTAGCCATGACCCCAAAAACTGCCAGGTATTAACTTGCTATCATCTATATTCTTATTTAATTACAATCTTGTGACATTCACTGATTTTGGCTCTTAGTAAGTTAGAAGTTCATTTATCAGAAAAATCAATTAAAATGTCTAAATGCCTTTTTGATACCATGATATAGGAAGTTGCTGACTCATATCTATAAATAAAAATCTTACAAGTAAATCACATAGGAAGTTAATTTCAAAGGGCTCCAAAATGTGAGACCACCGTTGGTAAGATTCTACCGTAAAAGTTCAAAACCAAAAAGCGATTAGTATGGTATCAGGTACATATAAACACTCGCTGCATAGTACCTGTATATTATCATAAAAAATACCAGTAAAAATCTTTGGGCCACCACTTTCAAGATGACTTTTTAATGGCACACTTGTCTAGCTAACCCCCACATTGATTTCTGCTTCAGGTAAATCACAAATGATTCTCAATTAGTGACAAAGAATGTTGTTCATAAATTTAAAAGTATCTTGTCCCTAAGTTTGGTTTTGTTTCAATAAAATTGTTACTTACCTACTATTTGTCTAGGGAGACTCTGAGTTTGCCTTCTGTGTAGTCAGAAGACGATAATGTCATATCTGGTCCTCCAAATGCAGGCAGCCCCAGAGCCCGGAGTGACATGAGCTCAATTTTAAACAAAGATGGCGCCCATCCAGTCAACTTGGCGATAGTGTGGGCTAATCAGCTTGGGCCACCTAGCTTGTTTTTCCATTTGCAAAGTAAGGTTTTATTCTAAAACACATTAGAAACACGTTTTGGCAACAAGTTTTTCTCTCTGGTTCCAAAATCCTACTGTCGGCCGCGTTGGTGGTATAGTGGTGAGCATAGCTGCCTTCCAAAATTCTACTGTTTACCATAGTTTTTAATCTCCAGGAAAAATATAAACATTGGGTTTTATGTGAGATTCTTCGCATAAGTGGCTCAAGTTCAAGCATTTTTGACATTCTAAAAAGCCCTCCTAAGAGTTAAATCATAGCTTTTGGAATCAGTCCCACAACTAGAATATCTCCTTTTTAAGCACATTCAAACATTTGAGGGTCTACAGTAAGTGCAAGGTGTTAAGCAGGTAAAACAGATTTAGCCAGTGCAATGAAGAATTAAATGTTTTATAGCAGAAAAAAAGACATGGTTCAATATGTGTACAAAAAAGGGGAAGAAACCAGCCCTACATGGACTCAGTCAGGGGTGGTGGTAGTGGTGGATGAAATATACACATGTTAAACACACTTTACAGCCTATAGAAGACTGGCTGAGAAAAGTCAATTAAAGATTAGCACCACAGACACAAGGAAGCATCAGTGTGTTAGCCACAAAAGTCTCTAGCCATAAGTCTCTTTTCCATTTTGGAAGTAACTCACCATAGAAAATAGCCATACAGGAGAAGTTAAAAGACAGCAACTGGGTGAATGGATTTCTGTATCGTACATGCTAAAGCAATATTCCATTTAGTTTAATATTATCTTTAGTGGCCACATACAGTGCACAGTACAGTGCTGTAGATGATGCTAGTCATATTCAGAGGGCATGACCTTCAAGGCCAATCTCCACTCCAAAATCCATCACTCTGCCATCTTCTGGATCTCAGTAAAAGGCACTACCATCAGTCTAAAGCAAACACCCAGGTGACTCCTTGACTCTTTCACCACCCCCACCACCACATCTAATCCATCAGCAAACCCTTTGCTATCACCTCAGTCGAAGCCCGCATCATCTCTCAGAGACAAGGGAGCAGCAGCCCCCCTCACTACTCTCCTTGCTTGTATTCATGCTACCCTACAAAATTCATTTGCCTCCAAATAACCACAAGAGACATTGAGATATAAACATCAGAATCTCACTCCTCTGTTTAAAATCATCCAATGGCTTCCCATGGAATTAATAAGAGCCAATAACATTATGGAACTTATGAAACTCATGAGTAGCCTACAAGGCCTCATAAGATCCAGCCAGTTATTAACCTCCCAACCCCCCTCTGCCTCTTCATTCCTCTGCTCTAGTCCCAGTCTTCCCAAACACAGGAATACTGGTTCTTTCTTGCTCAAGGCCTTTGCACTTGCTGTTCCCTCTATGCATGAAACACTCTTCTCCCACATCCTTGCACAGCTGACGGTCTCGCAGATATCTGATGGGCCTCCCCTGACCACCCAATCTAAAGCAGCAGGGAGGTTCTCAGTCATCACTTTTCAATAAAAGATACTTTGTAATTCATGAGAAACCTTGAACTAAGTTTAAACTATACAACTAGTAGCCAGATTTGATCCAATGATACTTATGATCTCAAAAAACATGGAAAGCAGGGATCTGCCAAAGTTCAGTTTCAGTCTCTATACTCAGCCAAAATCTGGTGGCTGTCTGGCTTTGGCTTTGGTGTTTTGTTTGTTTTTAATTGAGACAGAGTCTCGCTCCATCACTCAGGCTGCAGTGCAATGGCACAATCTTGGCCCACTGCAACCTCCATCTCCTGGGTTCAAGTGATTCTCCTGCCTCAGCCTCCCGAGTAGCTGAGATTATAGGCGCACACCACCATGCCTGGCTAATTTTTGTATTTTTCGTAGAGATGGGGTTTTACCATGTTGGCCAGGCTGGTCTCGAACTCCTGACCTCATGTGATCCTCCCACCTTGGCCTCCCAAAGTGCTGGGATTACGGGTGTGAGCCACCACACCTGGCCAAAAATGTCTTAAAAATGAGGACAAAAGTATAAACAAGAGTACCCCATGAAAAAAGAAAAATGCTATTAAAAGCTGGGGTTTTTTTTGTTTCAAAATAAGAATAATTGCTAAAGGCGGCCAACAATTTTTAGTAATTGAAGAGTAAGGATCTTTGAGGCTTGCCAAGCTATGAATCCCAGGTACAAGGTTCCTTCCAGAAAACCATCTACCAGAAACTTTCCTGAATTCTGCTTTGTCCAAAAATGTTACCAATGACGCTGTGTGCCAGTTGAGATGATACTACACATGTGACATAGTGACCACAGGAGTAACCTAGCAGCCGGTAGTGCCCACAAAGTATTTTTCCTATATTAAAATTCCAAACTTCTAAAATCTGACTACTAAAATGCAATACAATTACTATCGTGAAAAATGTTTAATAAAATTTGAGATTTACTTTTGTATCCCAGAATTTACATTTTATGATGGTGATATTTAGCTTGGGGACCTCAATGATCTGAACACTTAACCATTTGACTTTGGGTTCAAATTCATATACAGTGGACTTCTAAAAAAGGAACAGTATGAAGTATACACAAAAACACTGAAAATGAAAAATCAAACTCAGAAAACTTTCCCTACTTGAGAACAATACTTAACTTTCGACAGTCTACAATTTGTATCAAGACCCTACTTATGAACCAATGTAGAGCTGTAAGACAAAAATCCCTACCTTATTTTACAATTCCTACGACAGAGGTGAGGCAGACAGTGACAGAATACACTAAACAGCAACCACTGAGCCTCGGCATGAGTCACAGAGCTGTCCATGTACAAAGACAGCAGACCAAGCACCTCCCGTCTTCCCTACACCCTTCCTATACACAGCTCTGTTGCGCTTGGCACTATTACTGCTAAACCAAAATTACAGTTCAGTGATCAGTTAAGTCACTAAGAGGAAATTCCATCCGTGGAAATGCCGGCGCCTCAACATTTATGAAGGATATATTCTGAGACAGGATCATCCAATTCCTAAAAACTACTATAGCATATAATTTATCCCCCAAAATTAATTTAAAGCAACAGATATAGCCATGTTAAGATGCAAATGCTCACTCACCAGCTCAAGGGTTCTCAGCCCAGGATGTACATCAGAATCACCTGGAGAGCTTACAGAAACTCTGGAGCAGGTTAACTAAGGGATGGAATCCGGACATCACATTTGGTTTGTTTTTATAAACCCATGCAGATTTCTCAGGTGCAGCCAGGGTTAAGAACGTCTGCACTAGTTAAATGACTTGTGCCAGCACACAGGCTTTAATTGAATGAAGTGGTCACAACCAAACTTTGCTGCTAAACAGAGCTGAATTGAGTCCACTAAGTACCAGCTATGCATCTTTAGGAAAATTGACATGTTTGAACCCGAATCCTCACCTGTAAAATGGGGAAACACCAAAAGCGTGGCTGTGAAGAAGAAAGTAACGCATATAATGCGCTTTGCACAGTGTCAGGCACTGAATACAAGCAACTAATAATCATCAGTAATGTGACTAATCCCTTCATGCCATAGATGGTCCAGTTCCTGGCAAGTAGCTAAAACTGTAAATGTTAAATCCCTGAATGCACGACCATGGGCAAGATAATTCCCTCCCATCTTCCTCTAACCACTGGCCTGGTTATAGCTTACCTGTTCTAGCGACAACTGGTACTTCAGTTTCCAGTGCTGTCAACCTGGTGTCTTTCATGGTCACTGAAGGAAGAAAACATATGTACAATGAAGCAAAATCCCAGATGTAATCAAAAGCGGGTTAGGGGTTCATCTGGCACAAGCTTCTTCCTCCTCTATCCCTGACAGGTGGCCACCACGTTTCCACTGGAATGAACACTCATAATCATTGGAAGCACGTGCCTCTCCCCGTCTACATTTCTGAACAGCTGGTTGCTGGAAAATTCTTTATATTGTGCTGAACTTGTAATCTCTGTCTTTTGTTAATGTCTGTTAGAGGTATAAATGAATGGGCAGGATAGGCCCTAGAATTAGAGAGTTCCGGGTTAAAATCCAAGCTCTGCAACTTATTAGCTGTGTAACATTTAGCTATTTATCTTAAGTCTCCAATGTCTAACCGTAAGTTACCTCGTCTGTAAAGTTAGAATAATGATGGCATCAAGCTCACAAGGCTTGTGGGGATTACATGAGATGATGCATTCCATTGCCCTCGGCACAGCACGGGGCACACCGAAGTTACTGGAGGAGCCATGTGAGGCAGGTCCAGGACAGTGAGAGGCACAAAGCACTGAGTGGGCCTGCAGGGCCTCACCGCCTGCCACAGTCCCCACAGTCCTCACCCCTCCCCAACCCTCCCCACCACCTTGACTCACTGGCCTTTCAGTTCCTTGGCTAAGCCACATGCTCCCCATTCCTGAGCCTAAGAGAGTCTACCTTTGGCTCCTCCTAAACTCACTCTTCATCCTTAAAATCTCAGCTTAAATGCTCACTTCCTCAGAGAAGACCTCCTAGGCCTCTACTTGCCTCCCACTTCCACCTTCCAGACTAGGTCAGGTCCCCTGTTATACTCTTGCAGCCTATATTTCTTGTGTCACTTACCACAACCCAATTAAATAAGCTTGATTGATTACTGAACATGCCTCCTTCACTAGGAGTTATATCCAGGGAGAGACCGCAGCTTACTCAGTACTGTATTTCAAGCAGCTACCATGCTGTCTGGCACTTCTTGATTGAATGACTAGAAGTTAAAATCTTTTCTTTTTCTTTCTTTCTCTCTTTCTTTTTTAGAGACAGGGTCTCACTCTTAGGCTAGAGTACAGTGGAGCCATCATAGCTCACTGCAACCTCAAACTCCTAGGCTCAAGTGATCCTCCCACCTCAGCCTCCCGAGTAGCTAGGAATACAGATGCACTCCACCAGGCCCGACTAATCGGTTTCTTTTAGTTTTAAAGATGGGGTCTCACTATGTTGCCCAGGCTGTTCCCAAACTCCTAGCCTCACGCAATCCTCCCACCAAGGCCTCCCAAGGTGCTAGTATTACAGACGTGAGCCACTGCACCTGGCCAGTATTTCTTAAATAAATGTGCAAAGCCTAATTCTGCCTTCAGGCAGCATGACTTAAGTTTACTACAAAAGAGACATAAAATGTTTGTGAACAGCTATCATTTTTCTATTTTCTTCCCCCTTTTACCCTACTTTCTGTCCAAATTAACTTGTATTAAATATCCATGCTAAATGAGTATATATAAATACATTTTTGTTTGCTTTTAAAATATGGGTCCTTCAAACTATATTTAGGTACAATCTGATCACTAGATGGTAAACTCCATGAGGACAGGAACCATCTGGGACACCTAGGGCCTATCCTGGCACCTGGCACACAAGAGGCAAAAACACCCTGCTCAGAACTGGTAAGATTTAATCAGCTTCTTTGGCAGCCATTCCAGAGTTGAATAGAGTATGAAAGCTGAGCCTCATATACTATGGACACCTAATTACCCTAAACATGGAAAAAACTTGAACCAAGTTCTTAAATGTACGACCATGGCCAAAGTCAAACTAGTGGACTGAGGAACTCTCTAACAATTAAAATCGCTTGTTCCAGATGACAGAGTAATTATATTTCCACGTGGAACACATTCCAGACATTAAACTCCACTGGTCTCTTCAGTGGCACCTGCAAGCCTGTGAACAGTGCTGCAGGCAGGCTGGCCCTCCAGAAAAGAGGGATCATACCATTCTGACAGGGAGTGCTTGCCTGGCCACACTCACTGCAAGTCACAGGGCTTGAATTAAAGTGCAGGAGCCCAGGCCAGGTGTGGTGGCTCACGCCTGTAATCCCAGCACTTTGGGAGGCCAAGGTGGGCGGATCACCTGGCGTCGGGAGTTTGAGACCAACCTAACCAACATGGAGAAACCCCATCTCTACTGAAAATACAAAACTAGCCAGGCGTGGTGGCACATGCCTGTAATCCCAGCTACTCGGGAGGCTAAGGCAGGAGAATCACTTGAACCCAGGAGGTGGAGGTTGCAATGAGTCGAGATAGTGCCACTGCACTCCAGCCTGGGCAACAAGAGCAAAACTCCGTTTCAAAATAAATACATAAATAAATAAAGTGCAAGAGCCTCTAATCTTAAAATCAGAATCTTAAAATAAGCAGTTAGTCCAGTGAGTCATATAGACTTCCTCTTGCGACTAATCCCGGTTGGACATTTTACCTGAAAAGAAATATCTAAGGCAAGGGTAAAATTAGGATCTACGCTAGATGAGATCCTGTAGACTGCCCAGCCACAACCCATCCTACATAAAGGCCCTACTCTAGGAAAGCAGAGTGGTTTTGTTGTTGGTGGTTGGTTTTTTTGTTTTGTTTTTTGAGATAGAGCCCTGCTCTGTCGCTCAGGCTGGAGTTCAGTGGCCTAATCATGACTCATGGTTCACTGCGACCTTCGCCTCCCAGGCTCAAGCAATCATCCCACCTCAACCTCCCAAGTAGCTGGGAATACAGGCACGCACCACCATGCCCAACTAATTTTTGTATTTTTTTGTAGAGACAGGGTCTCCCTAAGTCGCCCAGGCTGGTCTAGAACTCCTGGACTCAAGTGATCCATCCACCTTGGCCTCCCATAGTGCTGGGGTTACAGGCGTGAGCCCCCACCCCCTGCCAAGCAGAGTGTTTTTGTCCAATGCTCAATGTTAAGACTTTTAATTTCTTTATTACTGCACTAAAAATGATAATGGTACTAAATTGGTAGCAATTTTATGTTGGTATGTCAAAGGCTACCTACTATTCTACTCTTATTTATATTTTTAAGTGTTTATTGACTTATTCATTTGTATTTCAATCCTGTCCTATGGGGGTACTACAAGGCATAATCACTCTGGTCAGTAAAGTGAGATGTGATCTGTGAACCTCCTGAGGGGAAGGGAGGAATGCAGATGGAAACACCTGGCAGAGCAGAACACCAGTGTCAATCCACGTCCTTATCTTCGAAAGCCAAATTTAAAAAGAAACCTGCCTCCAGATCTAGACTTTTTTCCCTTTCATATTTGACCCAAAAGTTGTGTTCTCACTTATGTTCATCATTATAACTTCACTTCTATAAGCAATCTTTCTGAATAAAATGTAGGTTTGAGGAAGAAGATAAGGGCTCTGTGTTTAAGTATTTTGAGATGAAACAGAAGGCACATAGATCAATCTGTTTTCACTGTTCATCTTAACTAATATCATTCTTTAGGTGTTTACAGACGGATGGCTTATATGCCTAGGATTACACATGAACTCTAGCCTAACAGCCATGGACAGCTGTCATTAGCAGGACCCGTACGCCATTTTTTTCACATATCTCTGCCCTAGCCAAGATGCATTATGAGCTGTGAGAGAGCCAAGAGTACACACAAACCTTTTGAAAATACTAGTGGCAGATACCTAAGATGTCTTTAGAATGGATTTATCTGAAATTACAGGTGAATATTCGAATTTTTCAAAAACAAGTGCTGTGATATGTGGCCTAGACACTACCCTCTACGACTCCTCAGGACTGTATGTAACATAAAATAGGTGACCGCATATCAATTTGCCTAAGATAATTTTGTACACATTTGTCTATGATGTAAAAATGTACTGCATGTGTAAATGAAGGCAGATGTCTCTTCACTATAACTTGTTTCCTATATTCAATTTTTTATCCATAAAAATTCAAGGACAATTCAGACACAGGTCCAGGCATGGATAGACTATTTTATTATCAGGTACAGTTAGATAGAGCAGAAATGTTACACTGTTAAGTTAATGTTCCGCTCTGGCTCAGGAACTCTCAGGTGACTTCTTAGGGTAATATTCTATCAAGTGAACCAAGACGCCTTCAGCACAAATGCATCTAAAAAGGGTAAGATACTTGCTCCCATTCTCTCTTCCTATCAGTGCCTAGAAGGAAGGAAAAAAGGGTAGGAAATAACTACTTACTATGTGAGAGTAAAACAGCTGATGGTAAAACCTGCCAACATGTGTAGTCATGTGTGATTGAATAGGTCTTAGTAGTTGGAGTCCCTCTCAAGGACAAACTGGGGCAGGAGAGCTCCAACTTGCCAGATTCTCCATTCAGAATTTCTGCCATCAGGGGCCTTGATGGATGGTTTGCTAAAGCTTATAGCCTATCCCAAAGGTGAAGAATCTTCTAGTAACTTAAGTGTAAGGCCAGAGCTTAATTTTGGTAAGGCGTATCTCTTCAATAAATAATGCTTACGTTTTGACTTTCTATTAACATGAACAACATTATTTACTAAGATAATACAGGCCAAACAGATACCATGTATATTTCAAAAAGACACTACGCAGAGCTTCTCCTAAAAGAGATACAAGCAAACTGTGAGATATCTTTAGGTTTCAGGTTTATAGGACCAAAATAGAAGTATTCTAGGGAAGAAGGGTATAGTTTGATAGTCTAGGGCAGTGGTTCTCAAAATGTGGTCCTGGCACCACGAGCAGGAGCCTGGGTATTTGTTAGAAATGTAAATTCTCAGGCCTTTCACTAGATCTCGGAATTGGATACTTTGGGGGTGGGGCCTTCTAGGTAATTCTGACGTCCACTAAAGGTTCAGAACCACTGGTCTAGGAAAAAGAAGGATGAAGGTAAAAAACATTCATTCATTAATATACCTCCTTTGAGGTTCAAAAGGAAAAAAATATATAGAGTGCATAAACCTTGGGGAAAAGGCCCAGTGGAATTCTGCCAGGTGCTAAAGGTACCAGCACAGACCGAATGCCAAGCCTGACAAGCACGTAGCAGGTTACATACCTGGGTACACTACAGAAATTTAACAAAGTAATTTATAACCCAGACAGTACATAAGGCCACCTTCTGACTTGGGCCTTTCCTGACTACTAGTTAAAAAAAAAAAAAAGTTTTTTAATAAAGCCTAAGTCCATTTTTAGAGCAGTAATCTATCTAAAATGATCAGCTGGGTTTCAAGCTGCGTCCATAAATTACCTGAAGCCATATCCAAAATCCCATGTCTGTATGAATTTTTTTGGTGATGATGGGACATAAAGGGTAGAAGAGAAATTTGGTCCATAGCTTCCCACAGATTTTCAGAGGGCAACTGAGTCCACACACCTTCCCACCACCACCAAAGTTAAGAACCACTGACCTGACCTGTGAGTTAATTTATGAGGTCAGCAGATGAAGCAGTTTATCACAGTGGAAGACTAAATGTTTGGGCTGTGGAGTCAACCAAAAAGGTTCATATCCCAGCTTAGCCACTGAATAAGTGACTATAGGCAACTTACTCTAAGCCTGCTTCCTCTTCCTATCCTGCCTCTTAAGGCTGTAAGAAGTTAATGGGGTATCAGACATGTAAAATACCACAGTGTTTGGCACATGAGTACTCAAAAAATATAAACTTTATTATAACAATATTACTACTTCACAAAAATGGATTGCTGGGTACATAATGCTTAGCAGTCTATCCATTTAACAACTGGTATTTGAAACATTGATACAACCATTGTATAACTTAAAATGGATACAGTTCAAGTTTGTTACTATGCTCTGTGAACTACTCAAAGTAGCAGAGTCTTAATGATTGCAGACATTAAGGTCACTGCCTCTGTTCTTCCTACAGCTCCCCTCTGTGTCTTCCATCACATCACCCACAGAAGGGCAAAACTGTCCTTTGTTACTCCAACACTTCTGGGCCTCTACTGCCATCATATTTACTTAAGAGAGTGACCTGTGAGTTGTAGGGCAGTAACTACTATGCTTTATTTTGGACTAAAGCATGGTTTTTAAGACATTTTACTTATTAGATGTAAATCTGAATTCATTCAACCGTAAAAAGTATTGTTATCTTTTGCTGATTCCATGTTCATAATAAAAGTTAGCACTGAACGAGAGAAAGGACAAGAAGAAACTGACAAGGTCCTGAGACAGTGTATTTTATACACAGTATATAAAATTTGCATTTTTATTCTCTCCCATGAAAACAGACATAAAGTTACTAATTTCTAGCAACTACAGTCTTAAAAAGTAAACCAGAGAAAGAATAATCTCAAACTGCTGACAGTTTACCTCTTTCAGATGAATTTAAATGGAGAATGAGTATTTCATGCTACCCAAATTATATTAGTTACCAATTCATGATCTGAGATTAAAAAAAACAAACTCAGTGTTTGAGTGTATACTACATATACACATTTCAAGCAAACAGCCACAGATTTTAACGCTATTAAGTACACTTTTCTTTCACGCCTTCAGCTACTTAAATGACAAAACCAATGCAAAGACTAACCTTTCAGAGATTTATAATATGGGAAACTTATAGGGAATTACCTTTTCAAAGAGTATTATGATGTAAAGGAAAGGATAAATGATAAACAGATCTTCACCCAACAGGGTAGGCTCAAAGTCACCAATTTGCTTGGTTTTTATAAAACCATTAACAGGTTGACTCAATCGATTTAGTCAGAATATTTAAATGACACCCCAAAGGACTTTAAATCACAGAAATGTAGGCCTAGAAATACTCATTAATTTACATTCCAACTTTTACTTCACAGATGAAGACACAGGCTCACAGAACTTAAGTGACCCACTGAAGGTCAAAAGCTATCTGACTCTCTAGAAAAGCCTGAAATGGTTGAGATATTGCTATATTTGGCTCATCGGCATTCAAGAATATCCAATTAATTCCAGGAAAAGCTAATTTTAGTTCACTATGGCCCTGGAACCCAGAAATAAACATACCTGTAGCCAAACAAACTTCAAATGAAGACAGAGCTATAAGAACAAGTCAGCTCTAATTCAGAGCCCAAAATTCACCCACCACTACACAAATAAAAGGCTACAAGCTATTTTAAGAAATACCTCTGTGATAAATAATAAATGAAAATAGCCAGAATGATACTTGAAGCCAGTGGTCCTCAACCTCCGGTGCACATAAGAATCAGTCTTCTTCCAAAATATATATACAAGGTGTCCGAATATGTAGGTCTACCTAGTATAGTGCCAAATATCTGTACATCAAGGTTCTCATGAGCACTAGGGTTTCAGATCTCGTTTCCACCAAGTTCATTATTCTGCAAACATTACATATAGAGGTATATATTAGATTTGCCCTAGTAAGACTGTTAAGTTTCATCTCACGAATGAAACCAGGCATGCACAGAAGGCATCATATTACACCACAACAGTAGCAGTATCAGTTTTTACTCTTAACCCAGTGAGGAAGAGGACAACTGAGTCACAGGACCTGAAGCACTCTAATTTTATGGAAACAAGAAGGCTGGTAGCCACCTGCTTTCTAACCAGGAATTTAGGAACGTACCAAGTGTTTATGACACCAGGAAATGCATGCAGCAGAGAAAGTTTACATCATCTGCCCTTCTAGGCACGTGATATAAGAGTGTTTTGGATAAGATATTAACTTTAGTAAGAGGATATTTTCCGTTTACATCTTCTATAAATACCCCTTAAGTTTACACCAGGTGGTTAGAGGAAGATTCTGCAGCTCCCTAGGGCAATAGCAAAGAATGTTTCACTGTTTCTGAGGAGCCTCATTTGCCTGATGCATGACTGTTAAAGGTGCATTTCCCTACACAACCCTAAATCAGTTTTCACATTTGCATATTCCAGATTTACTCAGGAATGTTCAATTTAAGAATCACAGGTGGTTGCTCGGTAAATCAAAGGCTCCCCAAAGATTAGGTTTTATAATGCTTCCTGAAATTTACAGCTCCACTTTGCCGGCCTGTTTGAATTCAGATGACTCCAAGTTGATCCCAAAATTATAAATCAAAGTATCTCAGAAGAGTATTATTCTATTTTAGCACTTTTATAGCTTACTCTATGCAACGTGAAGTGTTATTTGTATGCTTTCTATTTAAAAAAAAAAAAAAGCCAGCAAGGATTTTAGCAGGACTTCTTTCTTCAGTAAACTCATCAGTTTTATTAAACTATCAAATACTTTTTAGCCTAATTTAGACTAACAAGTTCACATGCACAACACTGCCATCCCAAACAAAAGCTAAGGCGGATAAGCCAAGTGCATCCCCCCACTTCAACATTAAACAGACACACGTGCATAAACCTTGGCTAAATGATAAATTTTAATCACTTACAGGCCAGCTTTGATCAAATAACAGATAAATTTAAGAGTCATATCTTTGGAGTCAGTCAGATCCCAGCAGTTCCAGTCCTGGCTCAGATACAATTGGGGTGTGAACTTAGGCAAAGTACCCTGCTCTCTCCGGGCCTCAGTTTCTTCATTTGAGAAGATTGGAGGTGTTAACAGTGGCTGCCTCTTCTCTTTGTCGTGAGGACCAAAGGAGATAATGACTGCCAAGCACTTTCACAGTGCCTGGCACACAGAGAGCACTCCATTAACGTTAGCTGTTGTTCTTAGGAGGACCGCGTCCCCTCCCAAGTCCTCACCACACATCCAAAACACACAAAGCAAAACTCTTTAACAGGAAACACAAAGAAAGAGCTTTAATTCTACAAGGTCCCTCCGATTGCAGGCTCTTCATCCTCCAGTTCCTCAAATGAATGAATGAACGCCTAGGAGGGGCTCTGCAAATAGCTGTCTCTTAGGAATCCCCTTTGCCCACTTTAAGGTAACTGTCTTTCACCACCAATTAAACACCCACAAGTACACCCAGAGCGAGTCATGCAAATTTCAGCGGAGACACCGAATCCAGGCGAGTCCTTGATCCCCACAGGCGACCTCCATTCATTCTCCACGCCCCTATACCCCGACCCCTCTCTTTAAGTTCTGGGACCAGCCCCACCCTCGCGACCCTTCCCCTCCCGCCAAGCGTCTCTACCCTGCCCTCCGCACCTAGCGTGAACCTGTCACCCCACCAAGTGAGGGACTGACGAAGGGGCCCACCTCGCCCCTGCCCGAGGGACCGAGGCCCAGGGTGCAGCCGTCCCCTCGGGGGCCAAGGAGGGGCGAAGTGCTCCGTCCGGCTCGCCTCTCCTCCCCAGGGACCCGCCAGTCCCGGCCGGGCCAGCCGGAGATAGCGTGTAATAAGAGGGAGGGGAGAGCTCTCCGAACCCCCCTTCCCCGGGATCCCTACCAAGCAAGTGAGTCTCTTGCTCCAGCCCCTCCGAGCCTCCCCGGCTGGAGTCATGGTGCCGGGGCTGCCCCAGGAAGCCCCCATAAAAAGGAGGGGGAGACACCCCCATACTCACCCACCGTCTCCTCCCCCTCAGCTGTTTACCTCACAGTCCCTCCAGCCTACAGGGCGCCGCCATCTTGGACGTACAGCACCTCCCCCGTCGTGAAAGGGCCAAGGCCGACGGCGGCCTCCGCCACGAAAAAGAGTCCCCCTCCGGACCTCCCCTCCTTCTCGAAAGGAAGGATAGACGGCCGCGCTCGGCAGCCCCGCCGGAAGGAAGAGGCTCTTCCACTCATAACTGACGATGTGGGTTGGACGAGAAAAAAAGTAAGGAGGGTTTTTATGGAGGGGGGCGGGGCCGGGCGGAAGGATCCGAAAGGAGGCTGCGAAGAGATCTTGTGACTCCGCGAAGGAGGCAAAAAGAAGGGCCGGCGCGGCGGGAGGAGCCACGCGAGAGCCCGAGGGGGCGGGGCGGGCGGTCACGTGACTGGCGGGCGGGGGGACGCGGCGGAGAGGCGTAAACAAGCTGGCGGCGCCTGGGTGTGGTTGGAGCGCCCTGCCCCTGCCCCCCGAGTCGTTTCTGCCCTTCGCTTGCGTGGCGCCCTCCGAGGGTCTCTCTGTGGGCGGCCTCAGAGCAGCGATCCTGTTTCCCAAGGAGCTGCTGGGGCCCGCGTGGGTGAAGGGCCTGCTTGGGAGCTTTGGAGTTGCAGCTCACCTGGGAAGGGGCGGAAAGCTGCGGGCCAGGGCAGCCCTCCTTCCTGGGCTAAACATTTTCAGAAGCCCGCCTCCGGGATTGCGGGGGACCCCCCTGGCTTCTGCCTTCAAGTAGCTCACACTTCACACCTACTCATGACATCTAGGGGAAACCAGCCCTAATAGGAGACAGCTTGAAAATCAGAACGCCTTATTCCGTTTCCTGCTGAAACAAGGCTTTAAGTCCTCCAAGCCTCAGTTTCTTCCTCTGTGAAATGGGCATAATGACATCTGTGACGTGAAGAATCAAGGAGATGAAGTATGGACAGCGTTTAGCCCAGAGTCCTGCGCCTAGTAAATGCTCACTCACTAGATAGGTGGCCTTTATTGCGAGGCTGAGTATGATGGGCTCCATCCAGCACGAACACAAAGCCCTGTGAGAGGAGGCAGAGTGAGATGAAGTCGAACTGTGGGATATGAAAGGCATTTTGAAGGAGTAGGCATCAGGTTGGGTTTTAAAGGAAATGTAGGTTTTGTGAAATACTAGGTCGGTGCAAAAGTCATCACGGTTTTTACCATTAAAACCGCGATGACTTTTGCATCAACCTAATAGAACCAGGCGAGGCGGCTCGGGAGAGAAGGCCATTCCAGGCAGAGGGAACCAAAGGAGCAAGAGCCTAGGGGCAAAAAAGTGTTGGGTGAGTTATGGGAATAACAGGTTTTGTCATGGGAACCAATTGGGTCACAGTGCAAGGCAGCCATGGTTAAGGGGGGCCAGGTGTGTGAGTAGCCAGCACCGTGGGTGCCTTCAGAATTCTGAAAAGGCCCTGGATGGTATCGGGTAGAGCCGCTGCTAGTCAGTATAGGGCCTTGGTGAGAATTAGAAAAATGGCACCCCTGGGCTGTATTTTGGCCCCTATCCACCAGCCCCAAACCCTCCTGGGCCCTTGAGCAGTGAACAACCTTTATAACCATACGTCTAGAGCCACGAAGGCTTAGGAGGGAGGTGAAAATTGAACTGATGATTCCTCTGTTCTAACACAGTCGCTGGGGGGAAGCTAAGAGTTCTAGATTCAAACAGACCAGAGTTTGAATGTAGGTTTCAGCCATCATGTTCTAACTGGATGAGCCTTAGTCTCCTCACCTGCAACATAGGGCTAATAATAATGCTAGTTCATGGGGATTTGGGGTGAAGTCAGTGAGTCATTAAGCTCTAAGTGGCACAGAGCCTACTCCAGTTAATGTTATTTTTGATAACTGTTAAGTGCCAGCTGTCAGCATCCATCACTTCCAGAAACGGGTCCACCAAACACTAAATTCTTCTGTGTCACCACCCAAGCATAGTCTGCATGGGGTCCAGAGATGGAAAGGTCGAGGGAAACGGGGAAGGGTCTGGGTTCTCTCAGTTCCACCAATCTGCAAACTACTTTACAGGAACAGACTCTTCCCTTTGCATTCACACCAGGGAAGGGATTCAAGATTTCTGAAATCTTCAGAGATTTCTGAGACCACCAGTGATGGGAGACCTAAGGAGGAGGGCAGGGGGAGCAGCACTGCTCTGGAGCTCTGACCCAGGAAGCCCCCCCACACCCTGACCTTCCTTGGCTCCATGACCTCATCCTGCAGGAATGCATTCTGCCATGGAGGAGAGCAGCCATAAGCAGAGCTCATCAACTGCTCACTTTCCAGGGGGCCATAACCACATTGTCACTGTTTCTACACTGTCTGGAAGAAGAATGGGCATTGTTACCTCAATATGGGACCACCAGGGGCTTGCAAGAAGAGGCTGAAGGTGACAGG
This sequence comes from Homo sapiens, assembly GCF_000001405.40. NCBI lineage: Eukaryota > Metazoa > Chordata > Mammalia > Primates > Hominidae > Homo > Homo sapiens. Next base: position 132,946,963 of record NC_000009.12, read on the forward strand.
CAGAGACAGCTCTACTACCATCTCCTGCCACTTACCAGGCTGGGCCACCTAGATGTTTTCTGCTTCTCTGGGGTTGATTTTTGTCATTTGCTCAACAGACACTATTCAGACCACTACCTTCCATACACCACCCTGGAGCCTCCCTGTGACGGGGCTTCCTGACCGGCCTGTCTGAGCATGAAAGGGCTGAGCCCTCCATAGGCGGGCGTGCTGACAGGATGCACGTGGTGGAGGACATCTGCTGCATTTGGCTGTGTGACATCTCCCCCTCGCCTTCTGAACAGGTGAACCGCCCATCCTCAATTCTTTCAGTGCTGATGGTCCTCACAATCACAGTACCAGCCCCAGGCCACAGCAGGTGGACCAGGCCTGGCCAATCTGAGATGCCCATCATGGAGCTTGTTAAAAGAAAGCTTAAGACAAGTTCAATTAGATTAAATTTAATCGAGCAAAAAAAAAAAAAAAAAAGAAAGAAAAAGAGAATTCATGAATCAGGCAGCCTCTAGAATCAACAGATTCAGAGAGACTCCCGGGGTCAGAACAAATTTATAGACAAAGTAAAGTGGCCTGGCGCAGTAGCTCACTTCTGTAATCCTAGCAATTTGGGAGGCCAAGGCAGGTAGATGGCTTGAGGTCAGGAGTTCGAGACCAGCCTGGCCAACATGGTGAAACCCTGTCTCTACTAAAAATACAAAAATTAGCCAGGCGTGGTGGCGGGTACCTATAATCCAAGCTACTCAGGAGGCTGAGGCAGGAGAATCACTTGAACCTGGGAGGCAGAGGTTGTAGTGAGCTGAGATTGTGCCACTGCATTCCAGCCTGGGTAACAAAGAGAGACTTGGTCTCCAAAAAAAAAAAAAAAAAAAAACTAAACTAAAGTGACATACAGGAATCAGAAGTGAGGTACAGAAACAGTGAGATTGGTTGCAGCTCGGCGTTTGCCGTATTTGAACAGTTTGAACACTCAGCAGTCTATGAGTGGTTGAAGTATGGCCGCTGGGATTGGCCAACACTCAGCTATTGTTACAAGTGCATACTACTAAGTTAGGTTTTCAATTTTGCGTGCCTATTAAGCTAGGTTACGGTTCGTCCACAAGGACTCAAATATAAAAGTACGGAGTCCTTCTCAGGCCATATTTCATTTGCTTTAACAAGCTGAAATGGTTGGTCTACAGTGGACCTGTGACTTGAGCTGGACTAGAGTGCTCCTCTGGGTCTTTATAGATGGGTGTTTAAAAAAAAAAAGCAATTTTTCTCTTTCCTTTGGGGTCACTAAACTGCGATGAGGAAGCTGTGGCCTCTCCCTTCCCCCGTCCTACAGCAAGGTGTGTGACAAGTCGAGTTAAAGAGTGAAAGAGACAGAGATGGAAAGAGAAATTCATGCTGCTATCTCCTGCATTTCCGGAGTCCCTGAAACCAGCTTTGCCCTGGCCTTCCAAGTTCCATGAAGCAATAACTATTTTGGCCAATGCTAGTTTCATTGGATTTCTGACCCTCATCAACAAAAGGCCTTCTGGATGTGGTGGGATTCAGAGGCCTTTGGAAGGACACCACCAGCCAAAAATATTTCCCACTCTGTGCCCGAAGTTCATCCGCTTGAATTGCCTTTTGGCTTTAGCTTTCAGCTCTCTGTGCAGCAGCCTCCTGGCCAGGTGCCCTGCCGTTGGTGGGCAACCCCCGCAGGATGGGGTCTGAGCTTCTGCTGGCAGCCCCCAAGGCCCTCTGCAGCCCCGGCCTCTCTAGCGCATCAGTTTCCCCTTGCTTTCTAGCACCGTGTCCTCCAGTACCAAGGAACGCCCAGAGGCTTCACACCGCCCTACCTTGGCTTAGGCCGTCTCCTCTCCCTCCGCACCAGATGGCCTCTGCAGCCTGTGCTGGTCATTCTCCGTTTGCCCTTCTCTGTCTGGGCTCCCCTCTGAGCCACACCCGCTAAGCATGTCCTCTCCCTCCTCTTGGATTTGACCAAAGTGCGGCAGGGTCAGGTGAGCGAGGAAGAGCCTTCCCACCTGGCCTGGCCTGGCCGTGAGGCACAGCTCCTGCTGCGTGGCCTGTCTCACCCGTGGTGTTAGTAATGGTTTCCCCCACTCACTTTTCACACCCAGAGGTGATCACGGATCCCCACAGCTCACTAGTCCTTAGGTGCTTCAGCACCTCTTTTTTCTCTGAAGCTGCTCACACCTGTCTTTTTAATTATCCCTTGGAGGGTGTTACTGTTTCCCACCAGGATCCCAACTGCTACAGCCCCTTCTTAGAGAATCTATCTTCAGCCCAGGCTACTCACTGTGAATCAAGCCAAACCCACAGATACACACACACACACACACACACACACACACACACACATCAAGCCAAACCCACAGATACACACACACACACACATACACACACACACACACCCCCAACCCCCTGATTGGACCTGGATCAGGGCTGAAAACCTTCCTCACACTGAACCAGCCTGATTCTCCTTCTTGAGAATTAGAACCGAGAGACCCCAAGACTGAGATACATGGTGTTGGTGGAGGATTGCAACTTTACACAACTGCAGGGGGACCATTCAAACTGCTGTACTCCAGGAGAGGCAGATCACTTAGAAAACACCTCAAACAGGTGCCCTCGAGGGTTATGCAATAAGGCGGGACTGTGCTGGTCCCTGGGGGGGTTCATATGGAGTTGGACCCAGCCATGGCCGTCAGCACCACTCTGGACAGCAGAGGTTAAGCAGGAAGAGCTACTAGGAGCCTTGCTGAGGAAGCCGGCATGCCCAAACCAGCAAGGAGCAGCTGTGGCCACAGAGAGGAAGGAGAGCTGCAGGACTAGCCCATTGCCCAGGAGGCCTGCTTAGGTCTGGAAGATGCCCCTGTATCTTTTCAATAAATTCCACTTTTTCATGCCTGTAATCCCCACACTTTGGGAGGCTGAGGCAGGAGGATTGCCTGGGGCCGGGAGTTCGAGACCAGCCTGGGCAACATAGCAAGACCCCATCTCTACAAAAAATAAAGATTAGCCAGACACAGTGGCATGCAGCTGAAGTACTAGCTACTTGAGTGGCTGAGGCAGGAGGATCACTTGACCCCAGAATGTTGAACCTGCAGTGAGCCATGATCGTGCCACTGCACTCCAGCCTGAGTGACAGAGTAAGACCCTGTCTCTAAAAAATAAAAATAACACACACACACAAATTCTACTTTTACCTGAGCTAGAAGATGTTCGCTTCTGTTCCTGACAACCAACACCACCATCGAGGCTGGAGATGGCCAAACATGCTTTCCTTTCTTCACCCACATCACACCTGTTCTTCCTCCAAGACTCAACTCCAATGTGATCTCCACCAGGAAGTCTTTTTAGGACCCCCAGGATGGCAAAAAGACCCCTGCCCTGAGCCCACTACCCCTATCAAATGCATACCTCCATTCCTTCCACCACACCGCCTGCTTACTCAGGTTGTGCTTATGGGCCTGTCTCCCAAGTTCTCAAGAACTCTGCTGTCCCCAGGAGGTGGGATGGATAAGAGGGCCCTTGAAACCTCTACTTCAAGGTCAAAAGACAGGAACAGGCCAGGCTCGGTGGCTCACGCCTGTAATCCCAATCCCACTTTTTTTTTTTTTTTTTTTTTTGAGACGGAGTCTCACTCTGTCGCCCAGGCTGGAGTGCAGTGGCGTGATCTCGGCTCACTGCAAGCTCTGCCTCCCGGGTTCAAGCAATTCACTACGCACTATACACACTATGCACTACACTATACTATACACTACACTACACTATACACTATACACTTTGGGTTTTTGAGATTTTGTTTAACAATGCCTTTTCCAACCCTTAATCACACACAAATGCTTAAGCTTTCTCTGTTTGTATGGGGTTTTTTGTTGTTGTTGTTTGTTTGTTTGTTTGTTTTTGAGACAGGGTCTTACTCTGTCACCCAGGATTGAGTGCAGTTGTGCAAACATGGCTCACTGCAGCCTTGACCTCCCGGGCTCAGACCATCCTCCTGCCTTAGCCTCCTGTGTAGCTGGGACCACAGGAGTGTGGTATCACACCCAGCTAATTATTTTATTTTATTTTATTAGAGATAAGGTCTCACTTTGTTGCCCAGGCTGGTCTTGAACTTCTGGGCTCAAGCGATCCTCTTGCCTTGACCTCCCAAAGTGCTGGGGTTACAGGTGTGAGCCACCATGCCTGGCCATTTGTATGTTTCATATTTATATTGTTACATTAAAAAATAAATTTATGTTTTACATTTCACTTCTAGGTCTCTGCAGAGGCCATGAAAAATGTGCCATTCAGCTTTTCTGCTAATTGTTGAAGGCCCAGCTGCCACCGCTCTGGATCTACACCCCATTTGCAATGAAGCCACACATCTCGTGAGCCACTCCCAGCCCGTGACTGGGCACAGCAGGGGCCCTAACGCAGGATAGCTCTGAGGAGGTGTGGGACCCTTGACAGTGGAGGACATTGGCCCGAGAACTCTTCATCGACCTGATCAAACCTCTCTTGGAACTGCAAAGCAGTCTGAGACTCTTCTCCCAGTTTATTATCTCCCTATTAACTATCTATAGTGTAGCTCATTGGAAAAGAGTCATTAATTTTGATTATCAAATTCACTCCTTTTTCTTTTTGACTTGCACTTTGGGTTTTTGAGATTTTGTTTAGCAATGCCGCTTCCAACCCTTAGTCACACGCAGTCCCCCTCTCCTCACAGGTTTCAGATCCATATCATAGCTGAAGGCTCTCTCTGCTGTCCAGCTCCTCCTCTGTGTGGGACATTTATCTGAGTTTTAAAATGTCCTTCCCAAAAGTTGACTTTAGTATTATTTTATTATTTATTTTTGAGACAGTGTCTCACTCCAGTCCAGACTAGAGTACAGTGGCCTGATCATAGCTCAGTGCAACCTGGAACACCTAGGTTCAAGCCATCCTCCCATCTCAGCCTCCTGAGTAGCTGGGACTCCAGGCACACACCACCACACCGGGATAATTTTTTTTATTTTTTGTAGAAGTGGGCTCTCACCATGTTGCCCAGGCTGGTCTTGAACTCCTGGACTCAAGCAAATCTCCCACCTCCGCCTCCCAAAGGGCTGGGATTACAGGCGTGAGCCACCATGCCTGACCTGTAGTGTATTATTGATTTATTATTAGGTATTTTATAGTTTTTAATATTATTTTGTGTGTTTTTTTAAAATTTTCAACTTGGTTGTTACTGAAGTAGAGAAATTCTATTGATTTTTGTAGGTTGATCTTATATCTTGCACCTAGTTGAACTCTCTAATTTTACTAGTTTGTCATTTTATTTTTATTTATGTTGAGTTTTCTAGGGATATTATCACATCATCTGAAAATAAAACAGTTTTATCTCTCTCTCTTTTTCTTTTTTTCTGAGATGAACTCTTGCTCTGTTGTCCAGGCTGGAGTATAGTGGCATGATCATGGCCCACTGCAGTCTCGAATTCCCAGGCTCAAGTGACCCTCCCACCTCAACCTCCCGGGTAGCTGAGACTATAGACATGCCTGGTTAATTTTCAAATATTTTATAGAGGTGAGGTCTCCCTATGCTGCCCAGGCTGGTCTTGAACTCCTGGACTCAAGTGAAATTCCCGCCTTGGCCTCCCAAAGTACTGGGATTACAGTCATGAGTCATCACACTCGGTCTGTCTCTTCTTTTTAAATTAGAACTCTCCTCATTTGTCTTTCCCTTTTTATAGTGTTGGCTGGGACCTCCAGTACTATGTCAACCAGTAGTGGTGATATTAGGCATCTATTCATTATTCCCAATCTTCAAGGAAATGCATATAAATTTTCTACAGTAGGTATGATGTTTGCTCTAAGACTTTTGTCTATGACTTTTACCAAATTAAAGAATAGATGTGGCCTTTATCCAATGCTTTTTCTGCATTCATTGAATAGTCAGAAATATCCTTATTTTAGCCTATCAATGTGGTGAAGTACACAGATACATTTTTTTGATGGTCATTTATCCTTGCACTCCTAGGACAAGCACAACTTGATCATGATGTATTTTTAAAAATACTTGTTGATTCGTGTTTTATTAAGGATTTTTGCATTTATTGTATGCATTTATGGTTCTTTTAATTGGAATGTATAGACTATTTACATTTAATGTAATTATCAGTGTAGTTGGGCTTAAGTTTACCTTCTTGATATTTGCTTTCTATTTTTCCATCTGTTCTTTGTTCCTTTCTTTTGTCTTTTTCAGCCTCCTTTTGGATTAATTTAGCATTTTTTAGAATTCCATTTTACCACCACTATTGGCTTCTTTGCTGTACCTCTTCGTCTTATGCTTTTAGTGATTGTTCTAGGATTTAAAATATGAATCTTTAACTTATCACCATCTATATTCAGTGGCTACTATACCATTTCAGATATAATTTAAGAGCTTTACAACAATATACTTCTGACCAGGCGTGGTGGCTCCATGCCTGTAATCCCAGCACTTTGGGAGGCCAAGGCAGGCAGATCACTTGAGTCCAGGAGTTCGAGACCAGCCTGGGCAACATGGCAAAACAGTGTCTCTACTGAAAATACAAAAATTAGCTGGGCATGGTGGCGAGTACCTGTAGTCCCAGCTACTTGGGAGGCTGAGGCAGGAGGATTGCTTGAGCCCGGGAGGCGGAGGTTGCAGTGAGCTGACATGGCACCACTGTACTCCAGCCTGGGTGACGGAATGAGATCCCGTCTCAAAAATAAAATAGGCCGGGCACGGTGGCTCATGCCTGTAATCCCAGCACTTTGGGAGGCTGAGGCGGGCAGATCACGAGGTCAGGAGATTGAGACCATCCTGGCTAACATGGTGAAACCCTGTCTCTACTAAAAATACAAAAAATTAGCTGGGTATGGTGGCACACACCTGTAGTCCCAGCTACTTGGGAGGCTGACGCTTGAACCCGGGAGGTGGAGGTTGTAGTGAGCCAAGATCATGCCACCCTAACTCCAGCCTGGGCGACAGAGTGAGACTCCATCTCAAAAATAAATAAATAAATAAAATAAAATAAACTATACACTTCTATTTCCTGCCCCCTGTTTTTTGTGCTATTGTTGTCATAAATTTTACTTCTACATAGGTTATAAAACCCTAGCTAGGGGTCTATATTATAAAAATATTGTTATTATTTTTGCTGTAAAGAATCAATTTTTTGTGTGTGTATTGGTCTGTCACCAAGGCTAGAATGCAGTGGTGCGATCTCAGCCCACTGCAACCTCCACCTCCCAGGGCTCAAGTGATCCTCCTGCCTCAGCCTCCCAGGTAGCTGGGACTACAGGCACGTGCACCACCACACCCAGATAATATTTGCATTTTTTGTAGAAACAAGGTTTTACCAGCAGGGTGCAGTGGCTCACTCCTATAATCCCAGCACTTTTGGAGGCTGAGCTGCCTGGATTGCTTAAGGTCAGGAGTTGGAGACCAGCCTGACCAAAATGGTAAAACCCCATCTCTACTAAAAATACAAAAATTAGCCAGATGTGGTAGTGCATAACTGTAATCCCAGCTACTCAGGAGGCTGAGGCAAGAGAATCACTTGAACCCAGGAGGCAGAAGTTGCAGTGAGCTGAGATCATGCCACTGCACTCCAGCCTGGATAGCAGAGTAAGACTCTGTCTCAAAAAAAAAAAAAAAGAAAAGAAAAAGAAAAGAAACAGGGTTTTGCTATGTTGTCCAGGGTGGTCTCAAACCCCTGGGCTCAAGCAATCCTCCTGCCTTGGCCTTGCAAAGTGCTAGGATTACAGGTGTGAGCAACCACATCTGGCCAATTTTTTTTTTTTTGAGATGGAGTCTCACTCTGTTGCCCAGGCTGGAGTACAGTGGCGCAATCTCGACTCACTGCAACCTCCTCCTCCCGGGTTCAAGTGATTCTTCTGACTCAGCCTCCCGAGTAGCTGGGACTACAGGTGCGTGCCACCAAGCCCAGCTAATTTTTTTATTTTTAGTAGAGACGGAGTTTCACTATGTTGGCCAGGATGGTCTCGATCTCTTGACCTCATGATCCACCCACCTTGGCCTCCCAAACTGCTGGGATTATAGGCATCAGCCACTGTACCTGGCCAAATATTTTTTAAAGAAACAAAAAACTGAGAAAAAATATTTTATATTTGCCCACATATTTACCATTGCTGGCATTCTTCATTTATTTGTGTAGATCCAAGTTTGCATCTGGTATTACTTTCCTTCTACTTAAAGAACTTCCTTTAACATTTTTTATAAAATGAGCATGCAATAAATTCTCTTGACCTTTGTCTGAAAGAGTATTTTACCCTCATTTTTTGAAAGATATTTTTGCTGGGTATAGAATTCTAGGTTGATGGTTTCTTTCTTTCAGCATTTTTTCTTTTTTTTTGAGACAGGGTCTTACTCTGTCACCCGGGATGGAGTGCAGTGGTGTGTTAGTAGCTCACTGCAACCTCAAAGTCCTGGGTTCAAGCAGTCCTCCCATCTCAGCCTCTCAAGTAGCTGGGACTATGGGTGCATGTCACCATGACCAGCTACTTTTTAAAACATTTTTATTAGAGGTGAATTCTCCTATGTTTCCCAGGCTGGTCTCGAACTCCTGGCCTTAAGTGATCCTCCCGCCTTGGTCTCCCAAAGGATTGGGATTACAGGCATTAGCTACTGTGCCCAGCCTCTTTCAGCTTTTTAAATATGTCATTCCATTGTCTCTTAATTGACAAAATTTCTGAGGAGAAATTTATGGTAATTCTTACCTTTGTTCCTTTTTTTCTGAAGGTAATTTAAATTCTTAACATAAACGGATTGGTTGATTGATTTGAAATCATCCTGAGTGTATTAGTAAGAGTTCTCCAGAGAAGCAGAACCAACGTGATGTGTGTGTGTGTGTGCATGTGTGTGTGTGTGTGTGTGTGTGTGTGTGTGTTTAAGGAATTGATGCACATGATTTTTGAGTCTGGCATGTCCAAAATCTGCAGGATGGGTTGCCAGGAACAGAGAAGAACCACTGTTGCAGTCCAAGTCCAAAGGCTGTCTGTTGGCAGAATTCCCTCTTGCTTGTGGGAGGTCAGTCTTTTGATCTACTCAGGCCTTGAATTGATTGGATGAGGCCCACCCACATAGTGGAAGGCAATCTGCTTTACTGAAAGTCCACTTATTTAAATGCTCATCTCATCCAAAAACACGTTTGACCACACATGTGGCCACTATGGCCTGGACAAATTGAGACATAAAATTAGCCATTATACTGAGTACCTAGGAAAGCAAGTTTCTTGGCCTCTTAAGCTGTGATTTTCTTGTTGTTTTTTAAACTGTTGTAAGGTAAAACTTTCTTCTTCCAAAGAAAAGCTACTATCATACCCTTTTCCTCCACCTCCTTTTGTTATTATTTTTTTTTTGGCAAAGAAAAACATTGATGTAGATTAGAGAACTGTCATTTCCGTGAATCGTCTTCTAAAAAGCTTTGCTTAGCAGGTAGACCAGAAAATTTAAAAATCATGTGTCAGCATAGGATATGAATGTTGGCAAAAGTGACAGGCTGCTCAAAAAATCCCAGGAAATATCCTAAAGGTGCCAGTCCCAGACAGAGACTCCAGGAACCCATGGATGCTCTTCCATCCTTCCCTGCCAAAGTACAGCAGTTTGACTTCTCCAAGTGCACCCTTTAAAATGTACCACCTGTTGCTGGATCCATTCAAAATAACACATATATTTCAGGCCTTCCCTTTTGGGGAAGAATTTTGACCAAAGAATGCATTAGTTGTCTATTGCTGTGGAGCAATTAATTCTGAAATGTAGAGTTATTAGAAACATAGAATTGGAACAACACCACCTATTATCTCACAGTTTCTGTGGATCAGGGATATGGGTGTAGTTTAGCTGGGTCCTGTGGCTCAGGGCCCCTCACAAGGCTGCAGTCTAGATGTCAGCTGGTGCTACAGTCATCCCAAGGCTTGACAGGGGAAGGATGCACTCCTAAGCTCACACACAGTTGTTGACAAGATTCAGTTCCTTGTCATGTGGGCTTTTCCATAGGGCAGCTCACAATATGGCAGCTGGCTTCCATCAGAGAGAACAAAAAAGAGAGTGCAAATAACATGGAAGACAGGGTCTGTCATAACTTAGGCCTGCAAGTGTGCCATCCCATCACGTTTTCCATCCTATTCTTTAGAAGGAAGTCACTAGGTAGTCTCAGTGAGTGTCTAAGGAAGTTACTGCTCACACCCAATGAGAGGGGACCACACAGGTTGTAAATTTCAGGATTCAGGCATCTTTGGGGGTGATTTGCTTCCAATGCTTAGCACACAAACGTGCATGGCTTGGAAAACACCTTTCTCTAACGGCTGCGCTGACACCTTCAGACAAAATAGCAGATCCTTCTCTGGTCCCCACAGTACTCTTCTGTTCATACATCTACCATCCTAGTCATCACAGTAATAATGTAGCAGCTATGAGGAGTTGCTATGAGACCATATTGTTCTAAGCACTCTACATGTATTAAGTGAAGAGTATGTAGTCGTTTATGTGTCAATGCAGAGAAGCACTCATTCATTCAACAATGACATACTAGCATCTCCTCTGCATTTCTTTGCTGGGCATGGGGGAACTCAGTAGTGAACAAGAGAGAGTCCCCAGACTCAAGAACCTTATGAAGACCAGGATGGGAGATAGAGAAATGCAAGCACAATTATAATACAACCCAGAACACGTTGTCATAGCATAAGTAAAAGACACTTTAGTAGCAGACACCCAGACCATTTTTGTCGGTGGTAGCATTTCAATTCAGATATGAAGAGTAAGTGGCAGTTAGCCAGGAAAAGAGAGAGAAAGTTAGAAAGCAGGAACACGTGTAATAATAACAAGAATGAGAAAGGCAGGAGCAGCTGAGAAGCAACTAGCATGGCTGTAACCAAGCATGCTGGGGAAAGAGAGGCAAGAAATACTAATGTCAGCCAACAGGCAACATGCATTGAGTACCGAACAGTTTCCTATGGTTTTGCGTGCATATATTTACCTTCAGAATAATCCTATGCAGTAGGTGTAATTTTACAGGTAAGGGAACTGAGTCAGAGAGACTTGCCCCAGTCACCGGATAATCAACGTCTGAGTCATAACCACTGGAGACACAGTAGGGGCAGATCACGAGGGGTCATGTGAAGGTGTTTGACCTTGATCCTGAGCTCAGTGAGGAGCCTTGAAGGATTTTAATTGGGTCGACATCTGCTGGGGTGTAGAGAATGGGGCCAGGCCAGAAGGCAGGGAGGGGCTGTTTAGAAACAGGATGCAGTACTCCAGGGGAATGGTGATGACAGCCTGGATTAAGGTGGTAAGACGGGAGATAGAGGAGAAAGAGGATGTGTTAGGCCGTTCTTGCGTTGCTACAAAGAAATATCTGAGACTGGGTAATTTATAAAGAAAAGAGGTTTAATTGGCTCACAGTTCTGCAGGTTGTACAAGAACCATAGCGGCATCTGCTTCTGAGAAGGCTTCAGGAAGCTTCCAATCATGGCGGAAGGCAAATGGAAAGCAGGCACGTCACATAGAGAAAGCAAGAGCAAGAAAGAGACAGCGAGGAGGTGCCACACACTTTTAAATGACCAGCTTTCATGAGAAGTCATTCACTATCAAGAGGACAGTACCAAGAGGATGGTAATAAACCATCCGTGAGAAATCTGCCCCCATGATCTAATCACCTCCCACCAGACCCCACCTCCAATATTGGGGATTACATGTCAGCATGAGATTTGGGCAGGGACACACATCCAAACTATGTTGGAAGTTGAACTCAGGATTTTAGCTAGGGTGTGGGTGGTGCCATTCCCTGAGACATGAGGTAGGAACTGGGCTAGAGAACGTGGGCTGATGTCACTTTGGGACCAGCTCAATTGAGATGCCAGAGAGACAGGCCCAGTGGATTTGGAGTTTAGACTTGAAGGCAGAGGCCAAGATTTGGGAAGTGTTGGCATTCAGAAGGTAAATGAGAGACCAGGAGAACTGGCCATGGCAGCTGAGGGTGTGCAGTGGGTGAGCCGGGCCCTCTGGTGAGGACAGAGAGGGCTGGCCTATTGGGATCCTGGCTCTGCAAACAAGATGTGTGGTCCTGGGTGAGTCTCCAAGCCTCAGTTTCTCTGTCTGTAAAATGGAGATGACACTAATACCTTAAATTCCCAGCTCAGAAGGTTCCCAGGACAGTGACATGGTTTGGCTGTGTCCCCACCCAAATCTCATCTTGAACGGTAGTTCCCATAATCCCCATGTGTCATGGTAGGGAAACTGGGGGAGGTAATTGAGTCATGGGGGTGGTTCTCCCATGCTGTTCTCGGGATAGCGAGTGAGTTCTCACGAGACCTGATGGTTTTATAAGGGGCTTTCCCCACTTTGCTCGGCACTTCTCCTTCCTGCCGCCACTTGAAGAAGGACATGTTTGCTTCCCCTCCTGCCATGATTGTAAGTTTCCTGAGGCCCTCCCAGCCCTGAGGAACTGTGAGTCAATTAAACTGCTTTCCTTTATAAATTACCCAGTGCCAGGATTTCTTCACAGCAACGTGAGAACAGGTTAATACGGACAGTCCAGTGAGAGACACGTGTGAATATCTAGCAGAGTGCCCACGCAGTGTGAGCACTGAGTAAATATTGTTACTGTTGATGCCTGCTATATTCATTTCCCAGGGCTGCCATAACAAGTTACTGCAAACTGGGTGGCTTAAAACAACAGAAGATTATTCTCTCACAATTCTCGAGGCCAAAAGTCCCAAACCCAAGGTGTCAGTCAGCAGGGTTGGTTCCCTCTGAAGGTTCCGAGGGAGCAGCTGTTCCCTGGCTCTTTCTAAGCTTCTGGTGGTCACTGGCCATGCTTGGTGTTCCTTGGCTGTGGCTGCGTCAGCCCAGTCTCTGCCTCCATCTTCATGCAGGCTTCTCCTCTGTGTCCCTCTGTGTTTGCTCCTCTTCTTATGAGACCCCAGGCATTGTATTTAAAGCCCACCTCAACCCAGTGTGAATTCAGCTGAACCGAACTTCATCTTCAAAGACTCCCTTTCCAAATAAAGTCACGTTCTGCGGTTCCAGGTAGACATGAATTGGGATGAGGAGATAATTCAGTCCCCTATACCTGCTGGCAAGGAGCATGGACCCAGCAGATGACATGGGAAAGACTGATCCTACTCTGCTCAAGGCCAGGTCCAGCCCAGAACCACCCTACAAAGTGCTGCAGGAGAAAGACGTCAAAATTAGAGTGATGAGGGCAACTTACTGGTGAGGGTGAGACTTGAACTTTGCTTCTGGTTTCATCAAGAATTTGATCAATGGTGATGGAGCAGATGGGCTTTACGACAGTAGGACCCAGCTTGAGCAGAAGCAGGGAAGCAAGACCACAGAAGGCTTGCTTGCTTTATAAATGGTCAGGTGTAGGGAATAGGAGGCAAGAAAAGTCATGTATGAAGGACCCTGGGCTAAATAAGCAGCCTGGGCTATATCTGTAGGCAACGCAGAACCCCTGGAAGTTTGTGAGTTCAGGAAAGAAGGAAAGAGCTGTCTGTGGAATGTTGTCAAAGGCTTCATCTTGACATTGATGCCTGCCAATTTTATTTATTTATGTATTTATTGAGACAGGATCTCGCTTTGTCCCTGCTTGGAGTACAGTGGTGCGATCATAGCTCACTACAGCCTCGAGCTCCTGGGCTCAAGTGGTCCTCCCAACTCAGCCTCCCAAAGAGCTGGGAATATGGGCATGTACCACTACACCCGGATACTTTTTTTATTTTTATTTTTTTAGAGATTGGGCCTAACTATGTTTCCCAGGCTGGTTTCGAAGTCCTGGTCTCAAGAGATCCTCCCACCTCAGTCTCCCAAAACATTAGGGTTACAAGCATGAGCCACCGAGCCTGGCTCAATTAAAATTTAAAATTCTGGGTGTTTTGTCTTCTTGGGTAGGCCACCTCCTCTCTCAAATCCCTGATCACGCCTCTACACACCCCCAGCAATAAATTGTGCCGGGCCACACTCCGCAGCGTGTTGGATGTTAAAGAGTTTCATGGTCACCGTGAGACCATTTCTCAGTCCCCCAAGCAGCAGCATTCACAGCTAGAGGTTTTATTTTAGCTGCGCCTCCCCTGAAGCATATGCAGTGACCATTTGGAAAAAGATAAAGTTAGATCCCTCTCCACACCCTACACCAGAATAAACTTTAAGTGTCAAAAGTGAAATCATACGAGTGCAAGAAGAAAACATGAGTGAATTCTGTGTAATCAGGAGTGAAGAAAACCTTTCTAAAAATGGCTGAACAGTCAGAAACAATAGAAGACCGATAAGTTAGGCGACCTCAAAAAACCAAAGCAAAACAAAACAAAACAAAAACCTTTTCCATGGTAAGAAGAAAGCAAGCAGAGCAAAGTCAGAAGATAAATGATAGACGGAGAGAAAACTTTTGCAACTTATATCACAAACGGCCTCTCTAATATACACAGAACTATTATATCACAGTCTTAATTGTGAAAAGTCAATTATTTGACAAAAAAAAAAAACAACAGAAAAAAGGCATAAATGGAAAGTTTTCAGAAAAATGTAAGTGACCCTAAGAAGTATGAAAAGACAGCCTCACTCAACATAAAGGAAACACAAATTAAAACTACCCTGGGATGCCCTTCCTCCTGTCCTATCAGATTGGCAAAATACCTCTCATTTTTTTTTTTTTTTTTTGAGACGGAGTCTCGCTCTGTCGCCCAGGCTGGAGTGCAGTGGTGCAATCTTGGCTCACTGCAAGCTCTGCCTCCCGGGTTCACGCCATCCTCCTGCCTCAGCCTCCCCAGTAGCTGGGACTACAGGTGCCCGCCACCACACCTGGCCAATTTTTTGTGTTTTTAATAGAGACAGGGTTTCACCATGTTAGCCAGGATGGTCTCGATCTCCTGACCTCGTGATCTGCCTGCCTCAGCCTCCCAAAGTGCTGGGATTACAGGTGAGAGCCACCGCACCCGGCCAAAATTCCCCAAATTTGACAACCCACCTTGCTGGCAAGGCTGTGGGAACAAATCTACACTTCTGGGAGTGGGAGGACAGGACTGCACACCCTCTCTAGACAGGAATTTGGCCATATCTAAGGCCATAATGTGTGCATTCTTTCTTTGCTATGCATCTTCCCTACACACCTACACTCTACACACACACACACACACACACACAACCCTACACTCACACATGTGTGCATACAGAATTGTTTTTTTTTTCTTTTTTTTTTTTTCTTTTGAGACAGAATCTCACTCTGTCACACAGGCTGGAGTACAGTGGTACCATCTCAGCTTTCTGCAACCTCCACCTCCTGAGTTCAAGCAGTTCTCGTGGCTAAGCCTCCCAAGTAGCTGGGGCCACAGATGCGAGCCACCATGCCTGGCTAATTATTTGTATTTTTAGTGGAGACAGGGTTTCACCATGTTAGCCAGGCTGGTCTCAAACTCCTGACCTCAGGTGATCCGCTCACCTCAGCCTTCCAGAGTGCGGGATTACAAGTGTGAGCCTCCTCTCCTGGCCCATAAAAGATTCTTTCTTCTCTCTCTCTTCCCTTCTCTGCTATCGTGGTGTGTGTTTGACTCTGCTTCTCGCCATGTCTTCTCACAAGACTTTGAGGATTAAGTGATTCCTGGCCAAGAAACAAAAGCAAAAATCATCCCATTTCCCAGTGGAATCAGATGAAAACTGGTAATCAAATTAGGTACAACTCCAAAAGGAGATATTGAAGAAGAACCAAGCTGGGTCTATAAGGAATTACACATGAGATGACACACATATTATGTTCTATCAAGGTCACCATCATCACCATATCAAGCTGAAAATGTCACCATATCTGGACAGTTTGACATGTTTTATTAGGAATACATTTTTGACAAGGCGCAATGGCTCACGCCTGTAATCCCACTAATTTGGGAGGCCAAGGCGGGTGGATCACTTGAGGTCAGGAGTTTGAGGCCAGCCTAGCCAACGTGGTGAAAACCCATCTCTACTAAAAATACAAAAAAAAAAAAAAAAATAGCCAGGCGTGGTGGCACCAGCCTGCAGTCCCAGCTAATTGGGAGGCTGAGGCAGGAGAATCTCTTAAACCCAGGAGACAGAGGTTGCAATGAGCTGATATGGCGCCACTGCGCTCCAGCCTGGGCAACAGAGTGAGACTCCATCTCAAAAAAAAAAAAAAAAAAAAAAAGGAATCTATTTTTTCTCTTTGTTTACATGTTGTACACTAGTAGGCTGGGTTCAGTATTACATATATGGGAACTTTCATTTCAAAAAAATATTATTGGTCAGGCGTGGTGGCTCATGCCTGTAATCCCAGCACTTTGGGAGGCTGAGGCGGGCAGATCACGAGGTCAAGAGTTCAAGACCAGCCTGGCCAACGTGGTGAAACCCCATCTCTACTAAAAATACAAAAATTAGTGGCATGTTGTGGCACGCACTTGTAGTCCCAGCTACCCAGGAGGCGAAGGCAGAATAATCTCTTGAACCTGGGAGGCGGAGGTTGCAGTGAGCTAAAATCACGCCAGATGCATTCCAGTCTGGGCGACAGAGACAGATTCCGTCTCAAAAAAATTATTATTATTATTATTGTTATTATTATTTTCCCTTGAGATGGAGTCTTGCTGTCATCCAGGCTGGAGTGCAGTGGCGTGATCTCGAACTCCTGATCTCAGGTGATCCAGCCACCTTAGCCTCCCAAAGTGCTAGGATTACAGGTGTGAGCCACTGCACCCGGCCAAAAAAATATTTCTTATGGCATTATCTGCAAAAGTTGAATATTGGAGACAACCCAAATGTCAATTAATAGGGGACTGATTAGTGTTACAGTTCTTTTAGAATTTGTCTAGCAGGCTTTCTGGTTTTTGCCCAAAAGCCTCTCAAAAAAGTTTAAAAAAGAAAAAAAATAGGGGACTGATTGAATAAACTATGGCGCAGTAAGATGCAGAGATAAAAATGCGAATTTTGTCAAGAACCAAGATTTCCAATGTAAGAGAAAAGAGACACAAATATAAAATCAAGTATTTTTAAAAACCTATAATGCAGGCTGGGCATGGGTGGCTCACACCTGTAATCCCAGCACTTTGGGAGGCCAAGGTGGGAAGATCACCTGAGGTCAGGAGTTCAAGACCAGCCTGGCCAACATGGTGAAACCCCATCTCTACTAAAAATACAAAATTAGCTGGGCATGGTGATGCACGCCTGTAATCCCAGCTACTTGGGAGGCTGAGGCAGGAAAATCGCTTGAACCTGGGAGGTGGAGGTTGCAGTGAGCCGAGACCACGCCATTGCACTCCAGCCTGGGCAACAAAAGCAAAACTCCATCTCTAAATAAATAAATTAATTAAATAAAAACCTATAATGCTGAGAAATTACTTAACGGGTACAATATACACTATCTGGTGATGGATACACTAAAATACCAGACTTCACTACTATGCAATCTATGCATATAACAAAACGGCTCTTGGACCCCTTCACTGTATACAAACAAAACCCAGTAATGCTAAATTCAAACTGAGAATATCAATAGGAACTTGTGAAAATTGTCTGAATCAATTTTCAGCCACTTGTATTAAAAACCCTGACAAGAAGAGCCGGGGAAGGCCATGACGGGCGGGTTCTCATGCATCAATGCCTGGTCACAATCACTATCGCAAAAGATTTTGCAAAAACCACAACCTTGCACAAAGGCCGTCACAATTCTACACACACAAAAATACTTCTGTGAGGACATCTGCCCAGCAACTGCCTGTCCAGTCTTGAACTGTGCTACCCTTGTTACTGATCCTTGTAGCCAAGGATGATTATCTCAAAACAATTTTTCTTCCTTTTTTTTTTTTTTTTTTTTTTTTTTTTGATGGAGTTCCAGGCTGGAGTGCAGTGGCGTGATCTCGGCTCATTGCAACTTCTGCCTCCTGGTTTCAAGCGAGTCTCCGGCCTCAGCCTTCCGTGTAGCTGGGATTATAGGCACCTGACACCATGCCCGGCTAATTTTTGTATTTTTAGTAGAGATGGGGTTTCGCCATGTTGGCCAGGCTGGTCCTCATTTTTTCTTTAAAAACTTTTGCCTTCCTTTACCTCCCAGAATATGTACATATCAATAATTTACTATGGCCCCCATATTCCCATTGCAATGCCTATACCTGAATAAACATTATTTTCTTCTAGAGAGTCTTTCTCTCTGTTTGTTGTTTAGATTGACAAAGTCATAATTACAAAAATAAATTAAAAAGCATCGATTTCCTAGTTCTGAACACTGAAACAGCTTAGAGGCAGGTGCCCAGTAACAAGAACTCCTGGCCATGGCTTTAGATCCCAGCCCTCACTAAATAGAACTAGGCTGAAAGAACTGGCTGCTTCCAGAAATGCAGCAGGGGAAGTACAAGTGGGTCACCTTCTTGTGTTAGAAAGCAAGGACATGCTCGAAGATTGATTCGGAAATGTCAGACCCATACAGAAACTAACCTGGATGTGCTGTTCGTGACAAAATTTGAGGAAACCGTAGTGGGTTGAATAGTGGCCCCCTAAAAAGATAGGTCCAAATCCTAACACTCAGTACCTGTGAATGTGACCGTATTTGGGAAAAAGGTCTGTGCAGATGTAATTAATGATCTCAAAATGAGACCATCTTGGATTAGCCGGCTGGGTTCTAATCCAATGTCCTGTGTCCTTGTATAAGACAGAAGCAGGACGGACATAGACACGGAGTGGGAGGCCCCATGAAGGCAGAGGCAGAGATTGGAGTGGCGCAGCTCCAGGCCAAGGAATGCCAAAGATTGCCCGCAGCCAGCAGGCACTGGGAGAGAGGCCTGGGTCAGGTCATCCCTCGGAGACTCCAGAAGGAACCAATCCTGCCGACACCTTGATTTCCGACTTCCAGCCTCCAGAATTGACAGGCAAGAAATTTCTGTTGTTTTAAGCCACCCAACATGTAATTGCTATAGTGTCCACAGGAGCCATAAAATAGAATTTCTGCAATTTAATGTAAAATGTTGAATAAATAAAAATCCATGAGTTCTGGCACATGTTTACCTATGTAACAAACCTGCATTTCCTACACATGTATCCTGGAACTTAAAATTAAATTAAATTATTAAAAAAATCCATGAGTTCACAGCGATGCTGAAGTTTAAGGGGGAAAAGAGAATGGACAACAAAAATAGGCCAGGCACAGTGGCTCACGCCTGCTTTCTCAGCACTTGAGAGGTCAAGGCAGGAGAACCGCTGGTGTTCAGGAGTTTGAGACCAGCCTGGGAAACATAGTGAGACCCCATCTCTACAAGAAATAAAAAAATTGGTCAGGTGTGGTGGCGCGTACCTATAGTTCCAGCTCCTCAGGGGGCTGAGGTGGGAGAATCACTTGAGCCCCAGGAGTTGAGGCTACAGTGAGCCATGATCACACCACTGCACTTCAGCCTAGGCAACAAAGTGAGATCCTATCTCAAAAAGAAAAAAAAAAAGAAAAGAACAAGAACAAGAAAAAAGAAGAAAAAATCCCAGTTACATCACCTTGCTATGAACATCAGCAATTAAGGAGAGAAGACAAATCACTTACACTCTCATTTTTTAGAACTGTGGTTCATCCCCAGCTAATGAGAGAAAGCTCTTCTTTACAGATAATAAATGTAGAAGGAATGATAGAATTGGAAGAATAATAGTTTTGAAGCCACCAGTGATGTAATTGATTATAGCAAGGAGCTGCCATGGATGCTGAAACCAGTAGGGGAGACTGTGGAGAACAGGATGTTTGCTTGGCGACAAAGTCCTAACCTGCAGATTGCTTCTTAATTCAGTTATGATGGAGAGAACTGGGTGTCACCATTTTAACCAAACTCAGCATCACTAAGGTGGGACAACCTACTGTTAGATGCCTCCTGATGCAGTGAAGCCCACAGCGTCACCTGTGAAGTATCCGTGCCTAAAACATCTCATCTGAATCCAACCAAGCCTAGGACCTGACTTCCAGGACACAGTGAGGTCTTGAAAATAATGTTTATTCAGGAATAGGCATTGCCATGGGAATATGGGTTCCAAGACACAGAGTGCTAGGGTTTAGATGTCCTCTCCAAAACTCATTTTGAAATTAATTGTCATTGGGAAGGAATTAAGAGCCAGGGCCTTTGACAGGTGATTCGGTCATGCCCTCATCAGTAGATTAATGCTGTTACCATGGAGAGAATTAGTTCTTTGGGGAGGGAAGTTCAGCCCCCACCTGTACTCTCTCTGTCTTCGGTGCTTGCCTGCCCTTCTGCCTTTCTCCATGGAGTAATGCAGCACAAAAGCCCTCACCAGATGTGGCCCCTCAATCTTCCCAGCCTCCAGAACTGTGAGCCAAATAAATCTTTTCTTTATAAGTGACCCAGTCTGTGGCATTCTGTTATAGCAGCAGAAAATGGACTAAGACACAGCAGGTGGAGGAAGAGGTTAAATGGCACCATGACAAAACAATGAGAAAATCCCAAATGCTGAACCTTCTACTGGACTGGCCTGGGCTCTTTTAGGGGGAAAAAATCATTACGAAAAGAAAGGGGCAGGGGGTGCTCTTCCATCATAAAGGAAGCTAAAGACATAATACACTCATGCAATGCTTGCAACTTGTCTGGATCCTGATTCTAAAAGAGGAACTATCAAAGAAAACTGGGGGAAACTGCAAAAATGTCCATATAGACTGGATATTCGACAACATTTGGGAACTATTGATAATTTTCTTAGGTACGATAATGACATTGTAGTTGTGTGATTATGTATGAAAGCAATATCCTTATGTTTAGGAGATACATGCTCCAGTATGGGTGAAGTGTCATGATATCTATTATATATATACACATATATACACGTGTGTGTGTGTGTATGTGTGTGTATACACATATTTTTCTTTTTTTCTCAGATGGACTCTTGCTCTGTCACCCAGGCTAGAGTGCAGTGGCACAATCTTGGCTCACTGTAACCTCCGCCTCTGGGTTCAAGCGATTCTCCTGCCTCAGCCTCCCGAGTAGCTGGGATTACATGCATGTGCCACCACGCCCGGCTAATTTTTTATATTTTTAGTAGAGATGGGGTTTCACCATGTTGGCCAGGTTGGTCTCGAACTCCTGATCTCAAATGATCCACCTGCCTTGGCCTCCCAAAGTACTGGGATTACAGGTGTGAGCCACAGTGCCCAGCCATTCTTTTATTTATTTATTTATTTATTTATTTATTTATTTATTTATTTGATTTGAGACAGTGTCTTGCTCTGTCACCTGGGCTAGAGTGCACTGGTGATCATAGCTCACTGCAGCCTCTATCTCCCAGGATCAAGTGATCCTTCTCCTCAGCATGCTGAGTAGCTAGGACTACACATGCATGCCACCACACCTGGCTAATTAAAGAAAAATTTTTTTTTTAGTAGAGACGAGGCCTCACTACATTGCCTGGGCTGGTCTCGAACTCCTGGGCTCGAGCAATCCTCCCACTTCAGCCTCCCAGAGTGCTGGGATTACAGGTGTGAGCCACTATGCCTGGGCTGCAATATATGTATTTTTAACATTTTATTAAAGTAAAATATAATTGTATACACTTAGATATGCATAGGGGACAGAAAGCATATCTGGCAGATGCTAACTATTGTTGAATATAGGTAGTAGATATTGGGGTGTTCATTAGATAAGATTAATTCGCTTTTTTGTTTGAAATTTTATATAATATAAATGTTTAAAAAATATTTGAAGGTCAAAATATAATTAGAATATTCGGTAAGAAGAGTCTGAGATCCTAATCGCAAGGTAGGAACATTCCCTGGGTTCTAGATCTTACTTCACCCCGCTGTACCTCTGCTTTCCCCATTTGTGAAAATGAAGGCCTCAGAGGCATGGAGGTTTTGTGGTTTTTATCAATTAATTGTTATAAAGTACACAGAACATACAATTTATTATCCTAATTATTTTTAAGCGTATAGTTCAGTGGCATCGGCTTAAGTACGTTCATATCAGTCCACAACCACCACCACAACCATCCATCTCCAGGACTTTTTCATCTCGCAAAACCAAAACTCTGTCCCCATTAAATACAAACTCCCCAGTCGCCTGTCCCCCAACCCCTGGCAACCACCATTCCACTTCCTGTCTCTATGATTTGTTTTATGTTTTTTTTGAGACAGAGTCTCACTCTGTCTCCCAGGCTGGAGTGCAGTGGCATGATCTCGGCTCACTGCAACCTCTGCCTCCCGGGTTCAAGCGCTTCTCATGCCTCAGCCTCCTGAGTAGCTGGGACTACAGGCGCGCACCACCAGGCCTGGCTAATTTTTTTGTATTTTTAGTAGAGACTGGGTTTCGCCATGTTGGCCAGGCAGGTCTTGAGCTCCAGACCTCAGGAGATCCGCCTGCCTCAGCCTCCCAAAGTGCTGGGATTACAGGCGTGAGCCACTGTGCCCGGCCTGTCCCTATTATTTTGACTACTCTAGGTAACTCAGGTAAATGAAGTGACCGTATTTGTCTTTTTGTGACTGGCTTATTTCACTTAGCATAACGTCCTCGGGGTTCATCCAGGTTGTTGCCTGTGTCACAGCCTCATTCCTTTCTAAGGCTGAATAATAATACTCCGTCGTATGGACCAACTACATTCCATGTATGCATTCATCTGTCACAGACACTTGGGTTGCCTCTACCTTTTGGCTGATGTAAATAACACTACTGTGAACACGGGTGTGCAAAGATCTTTCCGCGTGCCTTTCAGTGCGTTTGGGTCTATACCCGTGCGTGGGATTGCTGGAACTGGGTGAGATGATTTGTAAAGGACTCTTTCCTGTTTTCCAAATGAGCTTATTACAAGGGCCCCTTTAAAACTGCAAACCATTCATCTTGCAGAAATGTGTTAACAGACCACTTTCACAAGCCCACTCTCCCCAGCATCTCCATCATCCTTGGTGAAAGGAACCTCTTTTCATCACCCTGACTCTCATGGGTTTTGCTAAAAAGCAGCAGGAAGAGAACAATGTTCATCCTTCAGGGAAAATTTCATGAAACAGTTAAAATCTCCGAAGGCGGCCGGTACATGCAAAATAGATGTAAATCGCGTGCAAATCCTGGCTGCTGGAGGGCTCCCTGGTGTTGATTCCCCCACCTCAGCCTCCCGCCTTCCAGCACATTCTTAGTGCTGATCAGTGTTGAGAAGGAACCCCATCGATGGGAGAAGAGAGGGATCTTTCCTAAATGGGTTTTTTATTCCCAAGTCTTCTGCAAAGGGGTGCACATTCTCTGAAGTCTTCCCACAGTGCTCTTCATTTCCTTATATGTTCCTTTGAGGTTTTGCTTCCTGGGTCTGGAGACTGGAGCCAAGCCCTGGGTCCAAGCCTCCCTGACCCAGACAGGAGACAGGGCCTCTCCCCATCAGTAGCCACAGCAAGCTCCTCTGTTTGCTGAACCTGCCCAGACACCAGGCCAGTACCTGCTGGGGGTGCTACTCGAAGGGGCTTGACTGGGGAGGTGAGGACCCACTGGGAGATTTGTACCCTCCTAAGGCTGGCTAATGAACACACACGCACGCATGCACGCACGCACGCACACAGAGAGAGAGCTTGTTGGGAAGAGCACAGAGTTGCATGCATCCATGGCCACGCTTCCTGATCTGTGACGTGCAGTGTGGTGCTCATCAGAAAAGGTTGGCCAGGGGGGTGTGTCTGTGCCCTAGTGGATCAGGCAGATTGCCCCTACTTATGTGGTTGACCATAGCGCCAGCCCTGCCTGGGGGTTGGTTCTTGGTTTTCCATCATATGCTCGGTAATTTCCTGCGGCAAAATGCTCCAAAAGACTAAGAGATGAGGCGTATAAAGCCCCTCCACCCTGTCTGGCCCAGGGTAAGCTTCAACAAACTTTCATTCGCTCCTCCTTCATCTCTGCAGCCTCAGAGTGGGATTTCTGTGAGTCTCTAGGGAGAACACCAATGCGGAAGTCATCAAGAGTTTATGGGGCGGTAACCAAATGTCAGGTGTTTCATTAATAATCAACCTGCCATGTAAATTAGCACCACTCACCTGATAAGAATCAAGCTGACATCACCTAACCCTAACCCTGCCGCAACTAAGACTGCTCTTAACCATCCAGTTAAAGAGAGAAAGGGCAGAGTTTTATAGTCAGCTGTTGAATATTTCTGCTGAGAAATAATAACTCACTATTTTGCCCAGGCCAGTCTTGAACTCCTGGGCTCAAGCAATCCTCCCACGTCAGTCCCCAAAGTGCTGGGATTATGGGTGTGAGCCACTGCGCCCGGCCCAGATGGACTTGTCAATCTTCTTGTTATTTCCTAAACTTAGAAGTGGGGCCCATGGGTTTGACACCCCTGCCAGGGTTTCTGGGGAGCTTCAGGCAGGCCTGTGGCCTGAACGCTGTCCTGTACTTCACCTGCACCCAGAGTCCCTGACTCCCACCCAAGTTCCCTGTGTCCCCCCCACACTCCTTCCATGCTTCTCTGAGGCACACCAGCCATCTCGAGAAGTGGATGCACCCCAAACCTCACCCCATGGCCTCCCACCTGAATACTGCCCTTCCCCATCTGAGGTTCCCTAAGACAGGAGGGTTGAAGGGACTTCAACTTCCAAGCTGGGGGAGTTGTCATCTGCCTGTGTGGTTACTCAAAAGCAAAGGGTCAATGTGGATTAATTTGAATTGAAAACATTATAAACACATACAAGTGGGAAAGAGAGACAGGAAAAGGGAAGCAGGGAGGAAAAGAGGGCAAGAGAGACAGAAGGAGAGACAGAGAAAGAAACAAGAAAAATAGACTTCAAAAACGTTACTGTTGGCCGGGCATGGTGGCTCACGTCTGTAATCACAGCACTTTGGGAGGCTGAGGCTGGCAGATCCCTTGAGGTCAGGAGTTCGAGACCAGCCTGGCCAACATGGCAAACCCCTGTCTCCACTAAAAATACAAAAATTAGCTGGGTATGGTGGCACGTGCCTGTAATCCCAGCTACTAGGGAGGCGAAGGCAGGAGAATCACTTGAACCAGGGAGGCAGAGGTTGCAGTGAGTTGAGATCATGCCACTGTACTCCAGTCTGGGTGACAAAGCAAGACTCTGTCTAAAAAAAAAAAAAAAAATTGGGTTGGGTGTGGTGGCTCACGCCTGTAATCCCAGCACTTTGGGAGGCCGAGGTGGGCAGATCTCATGGATTTAGGAGTTTGAGACCAACCTGGACAACAGAGCAAGACCCTGTCTCTACAAAATTTTTAAAAAATAATTAGCCAGGTGGCCAGGAGTAGTGGCTCATGCCTGTAATCCCAGCACTTTTGGAAGCCAAGGCAGGCAGATCACTTGATGTAAGGAATTCAAGACCAGCCTGACCAACATAGTGAAACCCCGTCTCTACTAAAAATACAGAAATTAGCTGGGCGTGGTGGCGGGCGCCTGTAATCCCAGCTACTCGGGAGGCTGAGGCAGGAGAATCACTTGAACCTGGGAGGTGGATGTTGCAGTGAGCCGAGATTGCACCACTGCACTCCAGCCTGGGCAACAGAGCTAGACTCCGTTTCAAAAACAAACAAACAAAAATTAGCTGGGTGTGGTGGTGTGTGCTTATGGTCCTAGCTACTCGGAAGGCTGAGGCAGGAGGATCACTTGAGCCCAGGAGGTCGTGGCTGCAGTGAGCCATGATGGAGCCACTGCACTCCAGCCTGGGCGACAGAGTGAGACTCTGTCTCAGTGAAAAAATAGTTAATGGGGATGGGACACAGGTGCATATTCTTCTTTTTCTTATTTCAACTCTGATCATATATTACTCTTGTAATTCAAACAGCATGTACCTGTACACAGATAATTATTTTCACTTTTTTCAGGCTGGTTTTTGTTCGAGGAAAGGTAGGCAGGAGTGCCACCGTGTGGTGGGATGGTGAATTGCTTCCCGTGTGGAGCGGAGCGCCTGGGTCGTAGGGTGGGGAGTCGGAGGGCAGTGCCAGCCCCGACGACAGGCAGGGTTTGCAAGCCGGGCTCCCGCACGTCGACTGCCTGCAGCCCCCGGTAAGGAGCCTGGACCTGGAAAGAGGTCCGTAGCCGCCGATGACCAGGTGGACGTTTCCTACTTGGCCTGCTGCCCACTGCTGTCCACCCTTCAGCGCACTCGCAGCGGGACAGAGCCAGCAGGCACTTTTCTGGCACCAAGATGTACATAGAGCAGACGAGCCCCAATGCCCAGCCGGCTCTCTGGGAGCCCCTGGAGGGCAGGGACCACCGGGTCCATTGTCCCATTCCCAGGACTGTTGGGTTCAGCTCATGACCGTCACATTCTGTGGCTGTCCTGGGCCAAGGCCAGAAGCTGCCCAAGTTCACACAGCCGATGCCTGGGAGTGTCGTAGCCCCGGTGCCACCCGGCACAGAACATTCACCCCCAATATCCCACGACCCCCGCACAGAGCTTCCCCAGCCCACCTGCACCTGCCGGAGCTGTCCTTATAGAGGGCCCGTGGCCCGGCCTCAGCAGTGGTGGTTCCCATGTATTCAGCCCTGATATGGTCCCTGCAGGCCAGCGTGTGTGCTGAGGCCCGGCCCACGCCCGTTGTCCACAGACAGAGGACCCCATGACGTTCCTGCCCTTAAGGAGCCCCCAGTCTCACCGAAAAGCAAGTGAGGCCCCATGAGTAACCGAGCAAGACAGGAATCCAAGGGTCGTCACGGGTGGGCCAAATCTGTAGACAACAGATGACTCCCTGGATTGTGGGGCGTCTGGGAGGGCTTCCTGGAGGCGTTGAGAGCTGGATTGAGCTGTGAAGGAGGGGGCTGAAGAGAAAGAACCATTCCAGACAAGGGGAACAGGTGAGGCAAGAAAGGACACAGCATATCCAGGTGATAATGAGAGGACAGTTAGAAGGTAGAAGATAGAAGCCATGGCTCCAAACGCCTCTCTGGCCTTATTCTGTTTAATGACAGCTGTTGTTCCTGCTCAAACCCACCTCTTCCTCTACACTTAAGCAACCTCATGGTTTTGGCGGGAAAGTCTGCCAGCCCCGGCCAATGAGAGGCCCATATCCCTCCCCCTGGGCACAATGATTGGTGCTGGATGTGCTTGTGACCAGGCTGGGCCAATCAGAGTCAACCCTAGCAATCTTTCTGAAACAATTGAGGAGGAATCTCTCTTTCCACTGGGGTTCCTAGGCCCAGAGATAAGAGCCGCATAAAGTGGGTAGAGATCATGGCGTGAGGATGAGGCCAACACAGAGGGAAGCAAAGCCGAGATGATGGAGAGAGAGTCATTCATTCATTCATTTATTCACTCTGTGAAGATATCATTAGTGTCTCCCAAACACTGTTCTAAGCCCTGGAGAGTCTAAGCCCTGAGCTGTGTGCCTGGAAAAACAGTTCCTGCTCTTGTAGCATGGACATTCCTTGTGGGAAGTTAGAGCAATAAATAAATGAATTAAAAGATAGGAAGATGGCCAGGCGCGGTGGCTCACACCTGTAATCCCAGCACTTTGGGAGGCCGAGGCAGGCAAGGATCACTTGAGGTTAGGAGTTTGAGACTAGCCTGGCCAACATGGTGAAACTCTATCTCTACTAAAAACACAAAAAAATTAGCCAGGCTTGGTGGCGGGCACCTGTAATCCCAGCTACTCGGGAGGCTGAGGCAGGAGAATCGCTTGAACCTGGGAGAAGGAGGTTGCAGTGAGCCGAGATTGTGCCACTGCCCTCCAGCCTAGGCGACAGAGCCAGAATCCGTCTCAAAAAAAAAAAAAAAAAAAAAAGGGAAGACAAGCAAGATATTTTCAGATAAGTGTGAATGCTAAGAAGAAAGGGGTGGGTGAAGGAATAGAAAGTGACTGGGGTGGGGAGGTCCTACTTTAGTTGAAGGTCAAGGAGGTCTTTCTGCAGAAGTAACATTTCCGCTAAGACCTGGATGACAAGAAGGAGACAGGCTTGGGGAAATCAGAGAGTTAGGCCATCCAGGCAGAGGGCACGAGAAGTGCCAATGACCTGAATGAGTGAGATTCCAGACAGTATCATTTGAGCATCTGGATCCAACCATGTCAGAAGCTGAAAATTTTCTGTGACATGAATTAATTGTTTCATTGTTATTATTAAATGAGTTTAAATTGTGTTTCTGTACTGGGCACGGTGGCATGCACCTGTAATCCCAGCTACTCAGGAGCTTGGGAGGATTGCTTGAGACCAGGAGTTCAAGACCAGCCTGGGCTACAGAGCAAGACCCCATCTTTTTGAAACTTCCTGCAACTCGCATCTGGAAAAGTGCTGTTATTTGAAAGGGTGCCGACATTGTGAAAAACACGGAGTATTGATCTCTGAAGCTGAGATTTTTGTCCTAAAGGTAAAGGGAAATTATTGAAGGTTTTTAAACCAGGGAAGAATCTTCCTGATCTTTGTTCTTTTTCTTTCTCTAGGCTCAGCTCTCAAAAGTCCTAACCTTCCCTCCCCTTCCTTCAGTCTGCGTTTCTTCCCTAATGAACTTGGCTGCTGTCAGCTCCCTTCAGGGGACCTCCAGCTCTTAGCACAATGCTGTTCTTCTTTGAGACACTTTTCCCTACCTTCCTTCTCCCAACTAACTTAGCCTAGGCATCAACTTAGATATCACTTCCTTCACCAACCCCCCCAAGCCTGGGTCCATTTCCAAATGCCCCAGGCTTCTTTTGTATACTATGTTTATATCACAGCACTTGTCACCCCAAATTGTAAATTTCAGGTTGCTCTTTCCTACCCTCTAGACCAGGAAGGAATATGAAAAGTCCGGCTGTTTTTTGAAACCCCAGCATGTGGTGCCTTGTTGTGGGCACTCGATACACATGTGTTACATAAGGGAGGGAAGGAAAGAGCTGATACACGAAAGGTACCTAATGGTAACTGTTAAATGAATGAATAAACTGATGAATGGGCATGGGAATGCGGAAGCGATTTAGCTCTTGGGAGAGACTAAATGAAGGTGTTGACTCCAGGGCTGCTCACTAAGGGAAGTGCTGGTAGCTTTACAGGCAGCCCTGGAGGGGACACAGAGCATGGGAAGTCCAGGGCTGTAAGGGCCTGGGTGAGGCTGGCTGGGGACTCCTGGCTTCAACTGCTATGCCAGGGGACTGGCTGCCTGGCCACTGCTCTCCCATCAAGGGGAACCTGGGTGGCTTCATCTGCAGGCTGGGTCCCTGGTCTGGGTCTGGGAAGGCTGTCCCTGTGTCAGTTACTCACGGGGGAAGGTAGGGACCCTAAAGTGGGATTACAATCTTAGAACAGCAGTTGAACTGCATGTGCCTGATACAGCCGCTTCCTATTAGAAAACACCCTAAACAAGTGGAGGAAGCGTTTGGTGAGATAAACCATGAAACCATTAAAGATTTAATGGTGAAACCATTAAAGATGTCAATAAAGGCTGCAAACGAACTTAGGAAGCACTTCCATAAAATCATGTTTCACGGAAAATGACACGCTGGTTTACAGTAGCAAAATGTGTGTATGTGTGTATAGGGAAGTGAGAACATGAGGAAACTGGGGACTTGTTGACTTGGAGAGAATATTTTAAGTTTTCTGCATAATGACAAGCAGTTCTAGCTGATTGTTGGCAATGTACAACACCCACAGAATACTCAAGATGTGTCCCTGGCTGGGCACAGCAGCTCGTGCCTGTAATCCCAGCACTTTGGGAGGCTGAGGCAGGAGGATCGCTTGAGGCCAGGAGTTCAAGACCAGCCTATTGTGAATAGTACCACTATAAATGTAAGTGTGCAAATATCTCTTCGATTCTGCTTCCAGTGATTTTGAGTCTATACCCAGAAGTAGATTCACTCACTTTTGACATTGCATTCTCTGAATTTTAGAGGAGACATTTGAGAACTTCTAAATTTCAAATAAAAATAATGATTTAGACCAGACTGGACAGCATAGCAAGACCCCATCTCTAAAAAAAATAAAAAAATTAACCAGGCATGGTGGTGCGCCTGTAGTCCCAGCCACTCAAGAGGCTGAAGCAGGAGGATCTCTTGAGCCAGGGAGGTCGAGGCTGCAGTGAGCTATGATTGCAACACTGCACTCCAGTCTGGGCTACAAAGCCAACTCCTGTCTCTAAGAAAATAATAATAATAATAATAATTTTCTTGAGACAGAATTTTGCTCTTGTTGCCCAGGCTGAAGTGCAATGGTGCGATCTGGACTCACCGCAACCTCTGCCTTCTGGGTTCAAGCAATTATCCTGCCTCAGCCTCCTAAGTGGCTGAGATTACAGGCATGTGCCACCACACCCAGCTAATTTTGTATTTTTTGTAGAGATGGGGTTTCTCCATGTTGGTCAGGCTGGTCTTGAACTCCCGATCTCAAGTGATCCTCGCCTGCCTCGGCCTCTCAAAGTGCTGGGATTACAGGCGTGAACCACTGTGCCCAGCCAATAATAATTTTTTAAAAAGATGTTTCTTTCCACCAAGAGAGACCACAGAGCTGGGAGCAGTGGTCTGCTGTCTGTAGCCTGGGGCTGGGACTGACACCCCAGCATTACTGAGGCCTGGTGACCACAGGGTTGTGTCCTCCTGGCTGGTGCTCCAGGGCTGGCCCAGCAGAAAGACCTCGCCTGAAACACCCCTTTTTCTTCATTTTGAACCTTGGACTTGCAGTTTAAATTGGGGCTTCCTGTCACCAGACTTGTTTTCTTTATGAGGGAAACATAATATCTCCAGCACCCGGGCTGGAAGAGCAGACAAAGCAGCCTAACAGTGCTCTGTTTGTGGCGTTCTCATCTTATGCAAAACCTCCTGAAATAAATCAGTCATCCTGCAAGCGGGAGGAGGCGGGGGCCAGAGGAGGAGGGAGAAGGTGGGGAGCCAGGGGATGGGACGCCCTGCCAAATGGGAAGAAATGCCCCAGCCAGCTCAGCCAAGCTTTACCGCCCTCACTCCCCCCAGCATCAATGGGACACCCCAGAGGCCCCCACTGGCCTCCCCATCACTTTGTCTGCCACCAGAGGGCAGCACACACGGGCTCTGGCACCTGGCCTTCAATCTGTATGGCAGCTTCAGCAGGCCGAGCGTCTCCTGGCCTCCGAACTCACTGCCACACCTCCAGGGTGCCTCTACCCGCTCAAAGGTCATATCTGGGGGAAATGCAAATTTGATGTCTCTTCTGAGATATGACCTCTGCAAGGACAAGAGGGGCCTCTATGCATGTGGCCGGCTCGGGTACTAGGGGCATTGCACCAGCCTGGCTCTCACAAGCCTCAGGGTGCTGAACTTGGGGAGGGAGGGAGGGGAGGAGGCAGCGAGGAGGGAGGCAGGGAAAAAAGGAGGGAGGAAAGGAGGGAAGAGAGAGAGAGGAGAGGAGGAGAAGGAGGGAGGGAGGGAAGGAAAGAAGGAGGGAGGAAGAAGGAAAATAAGGAAGGGAAGGAAGGAGGCAGGGAGGGAGGAAGAAAGAAAGGAGGAAGAGAAGGAAGGAAAAAGGAGGGAAGGAGGGAAGGAAGAAAAAAGGCAAGAGAAAAGAAAGAAGAAAAAAACCAAAGAGCAATGACTTCCCTATGCAAAATCGAGTTTTATAAGTTAGAGCTTTTTCTAACTTTAATTTTTAAAATTTAATAATTTAGCCATCACTTTCTTTTTGTGCAGATGTTATTCAAAATTTCCAGCGAAATTCTGAATTTCTCTGCAGAGAGAAAGCGTGCCGCTCCAAGTGTCGAGGGTTAGAAATGAGAATTCGAAGTCTTGTGTCCTGGAAAGTTTTGATAAGCAAATACGGCTGAGCTCCCGCGCTCTCTTCATTGGCTGCTTGTTCACCGCCAGATTTTGACACAAATAATCAGATTGAAAATCAGGGAGGGGAACAGAAGAGGAAAAACACACAGAGAGACAGAGCAAAAAGGAGAAGTATCTATTTGTGCAAAGAGTCACACAGTTGACAGAGTGGAGGCCAGTCCCGAGAGAGGCTTTGCAGTTCCCACCTCGGGAAGCTCCGGCAGAACCCAGGCGAGGGACAGCTCCGGACAGGTGAGTGCTGGAGGATGCGTTTCTACGCTTTTGTTTTGAAATGTGCCTGTGCGCCGCAGGTGGCTTCACAGCAGGCTCCCTGGCTCCTCCTGCGGTCCTAGGAAAGGTGAGGTGGGCTGGAAAAGCTCTGGAAGGCAAGGAGCCAAGGGAGAAACAGGGTGAGGACGTAGCCTCGTCTGAGCCACTGTGCTAGGAATTGCGCCTTTGCCGGCTGCGCAGAAACACTTTTCAAAATTTGATTTTAGGCTGACAGACGTCACCTTCGGGCACAAAGTCATACCCACAACCCAGCTGTCCTGGGGACCTGGGCAGTGCTCAGGGAGACACACTTCCAAGTGCCTGAGTTGTGTTCCCCCTCGGAGACAGTCCCAGACTTTAGGGACTTGACTAAAGTTCCTGGGACACTTTTTTTTTTTTTTTTTTTTTTTTTTTTGAGACAGAGTGAGACTCTGGAGCGCAGTGGTGCGATTGCACTGAAACCTCTGCCTCCCGAATTCAAGCGATTCTCCTGCCTCAGCCTCCCAAGTAGCTGGGATTACAGGCGCGTGTTACCACGCCTGGCTAATTTTTGTATTTTTAGTAGAGACGGGTTTCACCATGTTGGCCAGGCTGGTCTCGAACTCTTGACCTCAAACGATCCACCTGCCTCAGCCTCCCAAAGTGTTGGGATTACAGGCATTAGCCACTGCGCCCAGCCAAATTCCCAGGACACTTTGAGAGTCAGGCGCTCTCCCCTCCAGAGCCTACTAAGGGGAGATGACAGGGCTGCCCTCTCCCACACACTGCCCAGGCTCCAGGAACAATAGGACCGACCATGGAGAGGTACTGTTTCAGCTCGCCTTTCCCTGTGGCTGTTGTTAGCCCTTTCCACCTATTTTTGGAGAAAAAAAACCAAGTTTAAGTGTTGAGGCATCTGAGGAGACATGCTCACTCTAAAACAGGACTTGTGAAGAGGAGGTCTGCAGAATCGCCGTGGGTATGTGCCCGTGTACATTTTTCCGGGGAGAAAGTCCAGAGCTTTCACGAGTTCTTAGGGAGTAAATTCGATTACAATCTGTGGGCATGAGTCTGGTAGATATTAGAAGCCAGCTGAGCTGCACCTGACCGCCTGGACGCGCCTGCATGTTTCTTAGTAGGCAACAGGCAGAATATTTCTTCCAAGTCTAGCAAAGTGTCAAGTTTCTTGTCCTCGGAAGTATTGCAGAAGGAATTCTTTGGACAAGAAAATGCGTAATTCCCCTTGCTCTTTCTGTCAGAGTTTGGTCTTCCTGAAGAGAGTTCTTGGGGAACATTGGAGAGCTATACCTGGTTTCGGTTTGATTAATGGAATCACTCAAAACCAGCGCAGACCATTGCCCCGAAGCTTTCAGCGGGGCAGGGTAGGGTGGGTGGGAATCTTATTGGACAGTACAAGGATTTTCAAAGGCTCTGGGACCAGATGGCTCCAGATCACCCAGGGAAAACAGCCTGATCAAATGGGATTCTTCACTGTCTGTGCCACAATATCCAGACCCTTGGTTGAAACATCAGCAAACACCACCCCCTCTTAGTCTAGAGGGAGGCTTTTCGTGTGTTCCTTGCCAGGAATTCAAGCCAATGGGAGCTGCTTTAGTCTATAATATAGAGATATGCAGAAAGAGTTTCATTCACTCACTTGTCTTTTTATTTTGATAAAATACATATAACATAAAATTTCCCGTTTTAGCCATTTTCAAGCGTACCATTCAATGGTATTAAGTACACCCACATGGCTGTGCAACCATCACCACCATCCATCCACAGAACTGTTTCATCTCATAAAGCTGAAACTTCATACCTATTACACAGTAACTTCCATTCCCTTCCCCTCACCTCTGGCAACCTCTATCTATTTCTGTCTCTATGAAATTGCCTATTTTAGGGACTCATATAAGGAATCACACAGTATTTGTCCTTTTGTGATTGGCTTATTTCACTTAGCATAAATCCTTCAGGTTCATCCATGTTGTAGCATGCGCCAGCATTTCCTTCCTTTTTAAGGCCGAATAATGTTCAATCATATGTCTAGACCACATTTTGTTTGTTTGTTTGTTTGTTTGAGACAGAGTCTCTGTCACAAAGCTGGAGTGCCATGGTGCGATCTTGGCTCACTGCAACCTCTGCCTCCCGGGTTCAAGCGATTCTCCTGCCTCAGCCTCCTGGGTAGCTGGGATTACAGGCACCCACCACCATGCCTGGCTGATTTTTGTATTTCTAGTAGAGGTGGGGTTTCGCCATTTTGGCCAGGCTTGTCTTGGAACTCCTGACCTCAGGTGATCTGCCCACCTCGGCCTCCCACAGTGCTGGGATTACAGGTGTGAGCCACTAAGTCTGGCCATAGACCACATGTTGTTTGGACATTCATCTGCCATGAAACCTGGGTTGCTTCCACTTTTTGCCTATTGTGAATAGTGCTGCTATAAACATGAGTATGCAGATATCTCTTTGAGTCTCCCCTTCCAATGATTTTGGGTCTATACCCAGAAGTAGATTCACTCACTTTTGACATTGCATTCTCTGAGCTTTGGAGGAGACATTTGAGAACTCCTTCTAAATTTCAAATAAAAATGATGATTTAGACCGGCCTGGGCAACATGGCAAAACCCCGTCTCTACAAAAAATACAAAAATTAGCCAACTGTGGTGGTGCATGCCTGTAGTCCCAGCTACTCGAGAAGCTAAGATGGGAGGATCGCTTGGGCCTGGGAGGTGGAGGTTACAGTGGGCCAAGATCAAACCACTGCACTCCAGCCCAGGTGACAGAGTGAGACTCTGTCTCAAAATAATAATAATAATGATGGTGATGATGATGATGATTACTTTCTGCTGGGGCCCCTGGGCCTGACCTGGGCTCATTTTCCCCCGACTCCTCCACGGACAAGTCTTGTTTTCCCCTTGAATCTTTTTTTTTTTTGACAGAGTCTCGCTGTGTCACCCAGGCTGGAGTGCAGTGGCGCCATCTGGGCTCACCGCAACCTCCGCCTTCTGGGTTCAAGTGATTCTCCAGCCTCAGCCTCCCGAGTAGCTGGGATTACAGGTGCCTGCCACCACACCCAGCTAAGTTTTGTATTTTTAGTAGAGACGGGGTTTCCCCATGTTGGCCAGGCTGGTCTTGAACTCCTGACTTCAGGTGATCCGCCTGCCTTGGCCTCCCAAAGTGCTGGGATTACAGGCGTGAGCCACCACGCCCGGCCTCCCTTGAGTCTTTAAACATAAAGGAAGTCAAAAAGGTTCTCTGTAGCTGACCCTGAGAACCAGCTGAGTCTTACCCAACCCTCCCAAAAGGGGAACCCGAGTGACAAGTCTTTTAGTCAAGGTGGTTCAATCTCTCACTGAAGGTCAACGAATTCTACATGGGATTTTAGAGCAAAAGGGAAGTTTAGAAATCTCTTAGCCCAACCGTCCCTTTTAAGAGATAGGAAAACCAAGCCCCAGGTTGGTGGCTGATGCGGTCACAAGCTCCAGGACCCCAAATCAGACTCAACTCCTTGGGCAACAAAGGGGCCTCATTACAGGGACATCACAGGCCTGTTGACCCAAGTCCAACTGGAAGTTAGGGTGCTGGCTCCTGCCAGGGTGCAGGGTCGCCTGTCTTCAAGAAGCACTGACTGAGATTCTGACTCAGGGTCAGGGGGACTCTATCAGGATCGGGGGTTATGGAGTGATAACAGTGAGCCTCTTTCCGGAGGTCCGATACCATCAAGTCCTCTGTTTTATGAAGAATTCCTGAGCTTCTTTCATAATCTCTGCTCTTAGCTCCTTCTCAGAACGGAGTTCATGTCAATCAAAACCAAGTGGTTGTTAATTAACTACAGTATAGGTGATTGGTTCCTGTTTTTTCTTTAAAAAAAAAACAACTCTGCTAACAGGGGCCAAAAGGAAGTTCACCGGGTGCATTTGGCCCCTCTGTGAGCCAGAGGGCTTGGCCGTGGCGTTGGCTGTGTCACTGTCACTTGCCAAGCTCAGGGGAGAGAACACTGGGGGGAGGCAAGAAAGCGGGTGTGGGGCTCAGGGGAGATCACTAGAAGAAGCATGAGAATCACCTTCCTGAGGCTGGAGAACCCCAGAAGCCAGCCCCATCTTGCCCTGTGCCTAAGTGAAAAGTGCTTGGCCAGGGCTCATGAGCGCTAGAAAGTGTCCTTGTTGTGGGGCCCAGGGTTAGAGTCAGTTGACCTGGGTTCTCCTTAGGCCCTGAGCCCAGGAGAATACCAATGCTTCCTGAAGGGAAGTCTGTCCCTGGCCTGGCCCCACCAAGACTCTTCAGGAGCCATGTGGGTCTTTTAGGAGCCTGGAAAAGACTTGAGGGTCAGAGGGTTTGATTTTTCTCCCTCCTTTTTTTTTTTTTTTTTTTTTGAGACAGAGTGTGGCTCTGTCACCCAGGCTGAAGTGCAGTGGTGGTGTGATCTCGGCTCACTGCAACCTCCGCCTCCCGGGTTCAAGCGATTCTCCTGCCTCAGCCTCCTGAGTAGCTGGAACTGTAGGCAAGTGCCACCATGCCCGGCTAATTTTTGTATTTTTTGTAGAGACGAGGTTTCACTGTGTTGGCTAGGCTGGTCTCGAACTCCTGATCTTGTGATCCGTCCGCCTCGGCCTCCCAAAATGTTGGGATTACAGGTGTGAGCCACTGCACCCGGCCTGATTTTTCTCCCCTCTTGCCCCAGCACCCTGCATTTCCCTCTGTGCTGCAGGCGGTGTTCACCGGGTGCTGTGAGGACCTCTGACAGTGCTGGGTGGCACAGTGGCTTGAGAGTAAAATCCTAACAGGCCAGGAGCCCTGGGTCTGAGTCACTTTCCTCTCTGCACCTCAGTTTTCCCACCTGCAACCTGGGAAGACACTGCTTGACACGGGCACACGAGGGAGCTTCAAACTGCTGTTTTCATCCCTAGCACGTCGGCTCCACTCCCTCTGCAGAGAGAAGCCCATGCCGGGCACTGCCCAGCACTTGGCACCCATTCTGCACCGAGTAACTGCCCACCTGCTGGGCTGAAAGTCAAGAGCATGGAGGCCTGGGGCCAGACAGACCCCAGTCCTTCCCTGCTCACTCTGCCCCAGGGTCCTGAGCCCTCCAGGCTTCAGCTCCTTCTTTATAAAATGGGACAGCAGCGGGACTCAGCATCTGGATTAAGCATCAGAATTAAAGGTGTAATAAACAAGGCAGGCTAAGCAGCCCCCTGCCAGAAGGTTTGACCAGCTCCTCTTCTATCACAGAAGCCTTGGCGAGTACCTTTGGTTCTAGTTGATTTCCTCATAAATATTATGCGCAAAAAAGGATCATCTTTTGATATTTTGATAGGCAAACCATGACCCTCACAGGCCCCCTCAAAACAAAGTGCAAGGGGAACCCCACACCCCCAGTCCTCCTCCTGCTCACTGGGTCCCCTCCTCTCCCCCTAGGGTCTGGCCTCCCCATGGGCTTTCTTGAAGCGAAGAAGAGTTAAAAGCGGGAAGGAAGGGGGGTGTGGGGAGCCCTGGTGAGGGAGGGGGAGGAGGCAAGAGGAGGAAGACGTGTCCCTGGGAGATAAGGCCGTGGGCTGCCCCCGGCCCGAGCCTGTGTTCAGAGAGCCGAGAATCTGACCGCGGGAAGGGACCCCAGAGGCCTTCAAGGTCCTTTCTCCTAATTTTAGAGCTCAGAGAGTACAGGGCCTTGAGCGCGGCCCTGGCTTCTGGGAGGCTGCTGCAGCCCTTGGCACAGGGCTTACCCCGTCCTTTGAATGCACCTGCAGTGGGCTGGGTGCTGGGATGCGGGGGAGCACATGCTGAGCACCTCTCACACTCGCTCCTGATGGATAAAGGTCCTTTCTCGCTCCCCACCATCCCATGTGGTTGGATTGGGATCCCCGTTTAGCAGATATGAGCACTGAGGCTCAGTGATGAGCCTTACAGCAGGCAAGGGCTGGGCCTGAGCTTGGCCCCCTGTGCAGAGCCCCCAGTCCAAACTCTTGATGCCCCCAGGCTCTGGGCCAGGGGGAAGCAGGCCTGGGCATAGTCGGGTCCCTCTTCTGCCTGGCTGTGGTTCATCTCCTTGGGGAAGGGGTGAGTCCCTGGCCCTTTTCCAAGCTGCATTCTCTAATCTCCCACCTCCCACCCTGCTCCTGGGCCAAGGCCTTATCACCCAGGCCCTCACTGCTGTTCTGAAGCAGCTGTGATCCCTCTCCCGCCTTCTCCGGACCCTATCACCCCTGCAGCCTTGCATGGCGGCTGGCCCAAGGGGTGGGGGGGTGGGACTCCTCTGACGCCTCAGGCATGGGCCTGGTGTCGGCCTGGGTGCAGCGTGGGGGCAGAAAGGATAGAGGACCACCAGAAGATGCTCTCCAGAGTGCCCGGGGGAACCTCACAGGCTGAGTGCAGGGATGTGAACCATTCTGGGGGCCAGGCAGGGCTCTCAGCTCCAGAGGGCTCTGCAGGGGAAGCCAGGAGTCCTGGGGTGGTCAAGTTGGTCCAGCCCTGTCACTCCCTGACTCTGCCTGGGATGGTCCCTTGACTGATGTGGTCCTTGGTTTCTTCTCCCACTCCCTGACTGGTGGGGTTGGTAGTGATGCTGGGCTGCCCACGGAAGCTGGGGGCTGTTCGCCTCTTCTCCTGTGTCCATGAAGCCTCAGGCCTCCAGGTGCAGTGGAGTTGGGGGTCCTCTCAGGTCTTGAGTCCCCACACCCCACTCCTCAGAGAGAGAAAGCCCCTGTCTCTCTAGGGAACAGACTCTGGGCCAGGGCTGTGGACAAGGCGCAGCCGTGCTCTGGCGGCTGTGGCTTGCGGCTTGCAGGAGCACGTGGATTGGCAATGTCCCCTCGTTTGCTGCAGCTTCTCTGCCAGAGCCCCCAGTGATAGACACTGAACACCTGTGATGCACCTGTCAGCACTGCAAGCCTGGACATCCCCACTTACAGCAAAGGGGATAGGCCCAGAGAGGTTAAGTGTGTGTCCCAAATTGCACAGCAAGTGAACTGAGATTCTAACCCACGAACCACTGATTCCAAAACCTAAGCTCAGACCACCCGTTTCTATGGCCTCTGAAGGTGAATCTCACTGGTACCCAAATGTAGCTTTCTAGAATTGGGGTCCACTGTGTGTCACAGAGGGAGACCCCAGTCCCTGCCTTTCCTTTTCTGCTCCATTGCAGCCCAGGTCATGCCAATGGGAGCAGGCTTGTCTGAGCGTTTTCTAGGGGGCGATGCATTCATTTCCTGGTGAAGGAGCAGTGAGGGAAGTTAGGATTTGTAGCTGCCGTAACAAAATAGCACAAACAGGTGGCTTAAAACCAACAGAAATTTATTCTTTCATGGTTCTGGGATCTAGAAATCCAAAATCGAGGTGTCCGCAAAGTGGGTTCTTTCTGCAGACGCCAGGGGAGAGGGTTTCATGCCCCTCTCTGAGTTCTGGCGGCTGTCGGCACTGCCTGGCATTCTCTGGCTGATAGAAGCTCCGAGTTCTGGCGGCTGTCGGCACTGCCTGGCATTCTCTGGCTGATAGAAGTGTCACTCTCTGCTCTGTTGTCGGCACACGGCGTTCTCCCTGGGTGTCTGTGTCTCTGGGTCCAAATTTCCATCTTCTTATAAGGACACGAGTCATCTTGGATTGAGGGCCCATCCTAACCCGGAATGACCTCATCATAACTTGATTACATCTGCAAAAACACCCTATTGCTAATAAGGTCACATTCACAGGTTCTGGGTGGACATGAACTTTGGGGGCCACTGTTCAACCCAGTATAGCTGGTGTTTTATCTCAGGAGGAGGTTCTGAGATATGGAGGGGTATTGTTCTCTTGTCCTTCCTAACCGCTCCCATCCCTCCCCCTTGCAGGTGTGGGGTGCACACTGAAAATGCCACGCTCCTTCCTGGTGAAGAGCAAGAAGGCTCACACCTACCACCAGCCCCGTGTGCAGGAAGATGAACCGCTCTGGCCTCCTGCCCTTACCCCGGGTGAGTCAGAGCCCGGGCTGGCGCCTGCTGCACCCACGGGGGGCTCTCTGCTCTGCGTGATGAGGGTGCAGCAGCGTCCCTCCTGCAGCAGCCTCTTCTTCCAAGTCTGGAAACAGGAGTGCAGTAACTGTGGGTTGCAGATGAAAGGAGTAGACAAATGAGTGATGCCCTCATCCCTTCTGCCCTGTTAGGGAGACGAGAGTGTCAGGTTGGAGCCAGTACTTAGTTACTGGCATGTGGGGCCTCACTGGAGGCCCAGTCTAGGGCTGGAGTTGGGTTGCTCAGAAAAACAGACTGGTCCAAAGTCTTCCCCGGGGTCTCCTCCTGGCCTCTTCTTGCCGCCGCCTGCTCTGGGCAGAGCCCGGGAGTGTGAGCCGCCAGAAGCAGCGGCACGTGGCTGTCTCTCTGGGCCTCCTCCTCCTAGGAAGGGCGTGCCCTCCTTGCTCCCTCTGGGCTTCCCAGAAACCGTGGCTATTGATGCTGATGGTCCTATCTCCCCACAGTGCCCAGAGACCAGGCTCCAAGCAACAGCCCTGTCCTTAGCACTCTATTCCCAAACCAGTGCCTGGACTGGACCAACCTCAAACGAGAGCCGGAGCTGGAGCAGGACCAGAACTTGGCCAGGATGGCCCCGGCACCAGGTACCCCGCTGTGACCCACTGTCATTCCCCAGGGAGTGCCAAGGGGAGGAAGGATGAAGGGACTCTTGCAGCAGGGCCCCTTGGGGCCCTGGAGTCAGGAAGGACCCACGAAGTCACTGGATGCAGCCCGGGCTCTGTGGCTTCTGCTTGGGCCTCTCAGACAGGGAGCTAATTCCCGGATGTGGGCTAGGTGGGAGAAGAGGCCAGAAGCAGCAGCTGGGCCGGTCCGTGCAGGGAGTGAGGTGGGCACTGTGGAGTGAGGCTGGGGGTGTCTCTGGGCTGGAAAAGCTGAGGAGCCACAGTGAGGACCCAGACATTCCTGGCAGTAAGTATCTGGGTTGACACCCTGAAACCCTCCACATGAGGTGATGAAGGTAGTGGTGTGTGGTAGAGGGTGGTGGGAAGGGGGTGCCCTGTGTTTATTTTATTTCATTTTATTTTTTGAGACAGTGTCTCACTCTGTTGCCCAGGCTGGAGTGCAGTGGCACGATCTCAACTCACTGCAACCTCTGCCTCCCAGGTTCAAGCAATTCTCCTGCCTCAGCCTCCCTAGTAGCTGGGATTATAGGCGTGAGCCACCACGCCTGGCTAATTTTTGTATTTTTTGGTAGAGACAGAGTTTCACCACGTTGGTCCGCCTGGTCTTGAACTCCCGACCTCAAGTGACCCACTTGCCTCAGCCTCCCAAAGTGCTGGAATTGCAGGCATGAGCCACGCCACTGTGCCCAACCCCCTGTGTTTAAATGAGTAACCAGGCCTGTGTCGTTATCTCCACAGAGGGCCCCATTGTGCTGTCCCGACCCCAGGATGGGGACTCTCCACTGTCCGACTCACCCCCATTCTACAAGCCTAGCTTCTCCTGGGACACCTTGGCCACAACCTATGGCCACAGCTACCGGCAGGCCCCCTCCACCATGCAGTCAGCCTTCCTGGAGCACTCCGTCAGCCTGTACGGCAGTCCTCTTGTGCCCAGCACTGAGCCCGCCTTGGACTTCAGCCTCCGCTACTCCCCAGGCATGGATGCGTACCACTGTGTGAAGTGCAACAAGGTGGGCAGCGGGGGGTGTGGTGGGCACCTGGGCCCTCCTCTCCGCACTCCCTCTCAACTCACTGGCAGCTCTGGGCGTTCTCTGTGCTGTGAATGTTGGGGCTCTGGTGGGATTAAGGATTCAAAACGTTCATCCTCATCACCATTCATTGAGCTCTGACCACGTGCCTGGCCCTGTGCTAAGCAATTGACAGGCATGAGTGCCAGAGTCAGATGAAAGGTTAAGGTTCAGAGAGGTTAAGTCACTTTTCCAGGATCAGACAGCAAGTAGATATCAGAACCAGCATTCAAACCCAGCTTCGGCCAACTCCCAGCTCTTAACCACTGGGCTATTCAGCCTCTAGATGAGGCAAGGAGGGGCCTCCAGATCCCCTCTCTCACATCCAACTTTGTAGAAGGGAGACTGAGCCACAGAGAGGCAAACGGACCTCCCTGGGACACACAGCAAGCAAGCAGCAGAACTGGCAATCCAGTGCCCCTTACTCTGTGTACCCAGCCTTGGCCAGAGCTGGGCATGGAAGAGACCATGGGACCCCAGGCCTGTCCCTGTCACCGCAGCCCCCAGTGGCCTCACATGCTGCCCCTGCTCCCAGGTCTTCTCCACCCCTCACGGGCTCGAAGTGCATGTGCGACGCTCCCATAGTGGGACCCGGCCCTTCGCCTGTGACATCTGCGGCAAAACCTTCGGCCACGCTGTGAGCCTGGAGCAGCACACGCACGTCCACTCCCAGGTGGGCACCTGGCCCAGCGCAGGACTCCCAGCCCCACTCCTTCTCTGTGCTTCCCCAGGGAGCCTGGGGGCTGTGGCTGGGTCCCTCCCCCTGCCCCTGGGGGTGACACAGATTGGGAGGGGTCCCCTAGTACCCACCTCCCTGGGTCTGGGTCTCCAACACCTGCCCTTAACAAACTTCAGACTCTTAACTAAACCACCGTGCAGACCACAACCATCCCTGCCTCAAGGAACTCACTCTAGGTTAATGGTCATGAAATGTGAACCCCTAAAGAACCTCTGAGATCAGTCAGTCCATCAGTCAATCAACGAACATTTATTGAGGTTTATTTTGAGCGGGATACCGTGAAGATTACAAGGAAAAATCCCACAGGAGACCAATGAGACTCCAAGCCCCAGTTTCACCTCAGAGGCAGAGATGAGGGGTCCCCCGGTCCTGCTCCTCCAGGCCGCCCCAATGGAGTGTCCTGTTCCGCAGGGGATCCCGGCCGGGTCCAGTCCTGAGCCTGCACCTGACCCCCCGGGGCCTCATTTCCTCCGGCAGGAGCGCAGCTTCGAGTGCCGCATGTGCGGCAAGGCCTTCAAGCGCTCGTCCACGCTGTCCACCCACCTGCTCATCCACTCAGACACGCGGCCCTACCCCTGCCAGTTCTGCGGCAAGCGTTTCCACCAGAAGTCCGACATGAAGAAGCACACCTACATCCACACAGGTGAGTGAGTCTCACCTGCCTGTGCCCCCTGGGCAGAGCACCCCCACCTTTCCCTGAGAGATGCATCAGAGGCCCCCAGCGTGAGGCTGGGGGCGGGGTCTAGTTACAAAGTCAAAGGCCACTGCTGATGGAGGGCTGGGCACCTGTGCTACTTAAGTGCACTTAATGCATGGAAAAAAATACAGGGAGGAAACAGCAAAATCTCAACACTGTTGATCTCATGGCAGACATGAGACTAGCAGGCGAACTGCTCATTCATTTGTTCACTCATTCACTCACTCACTTGCTCATTCATTTGTTCACTCATTTGCTCATTTATTCACACATTCGCTCACTCATTTGCTCATTCATTTGTTCACTCATTCATTCATTTGCTCATTCATTTGTTCACTCATTCATTTGCTCATTCATTTGTTCAGTCATTCATTCATTTGTTCACTCATTTGCTCATTCATTTGTTCACTCATTCATTCATTTGTTCACTCATTTGCTCATTCATTTGTTCACTCATTCATTCATTTGTTGATTCATTTGTTCACTCATTCACTCATTTGCTCATTTATTCACACATTCGCTCACTCATTTGCTCATTCATTTGTTCACTCATTCATTTGCTTATTCATTCCTTCACTCATTCATTCACTTGCTTATTCATTGCCTCCTTGCTATTAGCTGAGTGCCTCTTTTGTGCCAGGTATAC
The DNA here is from genome assembly GCF_000001405.40 of Homo sapiens. NCBI lineage: Eukaryota > Metazoa > Chordata > Mammalia > Primates > Hominidae > Homo > Homo sapiens. The sequence goes on from NC_000009.12 coordinate 132,990,608, forward strand.
CAGGCTTGGAGATGTATTGATAAACAAGATGACTCGGCAGCTGCCCCTAACCACCCTATAATCCAGTAGGGGTGGAGGAGGGTCCAAGTTGTATCTTTGCTTCTCTCTCTTTTCTAATTATTTTCTAAAGTGAATGTGAGTTGGCCATGAGAGAAAACACAGGAAGGTATTGGAAAATGAACCCGGGGGCAGGGCAGGGGAGCAGCAGGCCTGGTGAGGAGGCCCTGACCCCGCCCTTGCTGTGCTGCGCTGCCCTCCCTGCAGGTGAGAAGCCGCACAAGTGCCAGGTGTGCGGAAAGGCCTTCAGCCAGAGCTCCAACCTCATCACCCACAGCCGCAAGCACACAGGCTTCAAGCCCTTCAGCTGTGAGCTGTGCACCAAAGGCTTCCAGCGCAAGGTGGACCTGCGGCGGCACCGCGAGAGCCAGCACAATCTCAAGTGAGGCTGCGCCGGCTCCCAGCTCCTGGCCAGCCTGCCCTGCGGTCCTGTCACCTGGAGGCCAGCCTCACATGCCCAAATCTCCAGTCTCCTGGAGGTGGGACTGGACAGGAGTCTACCAGCTTGTTTTGAGACTCATGAAATTGCTGTGTGACCTTGGGCAAGTCACTTACCCTGTCTGGATCAACATTTCTCCTGCTGCCAAGTGTGGGAGCCTGGCTGGGTCTTTCTCAGCAGAAGTTGTTTCCAGGTGTGCTCAAGTGCCTTCCTCTAGCAGAGCACAGAAAGCTAGAATACCCCCAGGGAGACAGGGATGCCAAGAGTAGACCAGAGCTGGGACCCACAGACAGAACCTCCACCTGCCTGCTGCCCACTGAGCTGGGACCTGGTCACCTTGGATTTTAGCCGGCCTCTTTCTGGCTATAACAGGCAGAGTCGGAGCTGCCTCCCACCCCAGTCAGAAGCCTGGCACCCCCTCTGCTTCGGCCAGATGTGCTGGCTGACTCCGACTTCCGACCAGCACTCAGCTGGCCTCTGGGGATTCTAGCTCCACAACCAGGCCGTGAGGCTGGAGAAACTGGCAGTTATTGCTGTCAAAAGCCTGTTCTCTCAACTGCTGTCAATAAAATTAAAGATACAGATTTGCTGCCATGTGACCAGCATTTATTAAGTGCCTATGAGGTCCAGGGTACTGCACGAGGCTTTGGGGAGTGATGCGGGGAGGCTTGAGGAGCAGAGAAAGCCATGGAGGTGCTCATAGGCAAGTTGTGGAGAAGTGTACTCAGCCCCCACGTGCACAGACCCGCTGACGAGCCAGGAGCAAGCAGAAGGGGCCCGTGCGACAAGACCACAGGGGTGGGCAAGGCTAGTGCAGCTGGGGCGGTATCCGTTTCCTGTGGCTGCTGTGACAAATGACCACAAACTTAGTGGCTTAAAACAACACACATTTATTCTCTTAAATTCTAGAGGCCAGAAACTCAAAATGAGTCTCATGGGGCTAACATCAAGGTGTTAGCAGGACTGCATTCCTGCAGCAGGCTCCCAGGAGAGTCTGTTTTCCTGTCTCTCACCTTCCCAAGGCCGTCTGTGCCTCTGATCTTGGCCCCTTCCTCTGCCTTCAAAGCACATAACTTGGATCTCTGCTTCTGCCTCCATCTCTGTCTTCTGCTTTCAACCTTCTTGCCTCTCTCTTATAAAGACCCTTCTGATTACACTGAGCTCAGGTATAAATCATCCCATCTCAAGATCCTGAACGTAATCACCGTGATTGGCTGAATAATGGCCCCAAAGATGATATCCACATCCTAACCCTGGAACCTATGAGTGTGACGCTATAGGGTAAAAGGGACTTTGCAGGTGTGATGAAGCTGAGCCTGGTGCCACACCTGTCTAGCTGTGTGACTTCAGGTGAGTTCCTGAACCTCTCTGGGGCTCAGCTTCCTCCTCTGTAAAATGGTAAACACAGCAGTCCCTTCCACCGATTCGCTGAGACCATTCTTACAAAGTGGCATACAGGTCCAGCCCAGCACGTAGTAAGTGCTGCCGAGTTGTGAACATTCCTTTTTGAAGTCCTGTCCATCCTACAAGGCCCACTTAGCCATCTCCTCCATGAAGCCTCCCTGGGTCATCCAGCCAGAAGGTCTTCTCTCTCCTCTGATACCGAGCAACTCAGTCTCTTTGCTTACAGCTTAGGAGCCATTGAATGTGGAATGCAGTTATGTGTGGATAACTTCAGGAGGTCTTCTGTCTGAGCTCCAGCCGCACCCCACCCCCCATCCCACACCAATCCTGTGCCTGGCCCACAGCCATGGACACCTCTGAATGAACTTGCAGGTACTGAGCTAAGCCAAGGGTTTCCATACATTGTCTCTAACCCACACAACCTTCTGCAATGGAATGCCATTCTCCCATTTTACAGATGGGGCAACTGAGGCCCAGAGAGGTCAAACATAAAAAAAAAACACAGATATGGGCCAGGCGCTCACGCCTGTAATCCCAGCACTTTAGGAGGCTGAGGCGGGCAGATCACTTGAGGTCAGGAGTTCGAGACCAGCCTGGCCAACATGGTGAAACCCTGTCTCTATTAAACATACAAAAATTAGCTGGGCATGGTGGCGCGTGCCTGTAAACCCAGCTACTTGGGAAGCTGAGGCAGGAGAACTGCTTGAACCTGGGAGGTGGAAGTTGCAGTGAGCCGAGATGTTGTCGTTGCACTCCAGCTCTGGGCAACAGAGCAAGACTCCATCTCGGAAACAAACAAACAAACAAACATAGATACTAGGGCTTACCCTTTCCAGGTGTGCTCAGGTGCCTTCCTCTAGCAGAGCACAGAAAGCTGGAATACCCCCAGGGAGACAGGGATGCCAAGAGTAGACCAGAGCTGGGACCCACAGAGAGACCCTCTTTCCTAGAGAAAGAAGGATTCTTTCCAAAGAAACGCCACTATCGTCCGATGGTTTCTGTCGGTTCATGAACTGACTTGTTTAACGTGTATTTGATTGCATGCCAACTTATGAGGCTCAACCTGTCATGAAATGGCAAATGTCCCATGCAAACGCCCAATTCGCATCCATTGTGGGCAGCTCAAACCTGGGTCAAACTAGAAGCTGTTCAATGGATCATCAGGGGAGTGAGTGACAAGTCCTCAGACTCATGTTCGTGGTTCCAGAGAGGCCCACAGAGCCGGCTGGACATGCCTCAGACCCGTTCTGGTGCTCCCCAGGCGTGCGCCACAAGCCTCCGGGGGTTCGTTTGCTTTAGACGGAGTAGAGATCACATTGCTCAAATAACTGGGAGGAACTCTGGGTTAACGTTCAGTCTATTGCAACTGCTTCTTAGAGCCTATAACGTGTGATACGCATGTGTCCATCCCCAAGGGGAGGATTTGGGTGTTCAGTGTTTTCCTAAGGTTAATTTGGGAACCAGAGAGGGAGAGGGAGAGGTTGGCCTACTTGCCCAAAGTCACACAGCAGGTAAAGGCAGGACTGGGATCAGAAACTGATTCCGAGTTGAGGCTATCTTTTTGGAGTCTGTGTACTCTCCCTCCCACTGAAACCCAAAAGTGTTTCTTCCAGGTCTCTTCTCTGGTGTGCAAGGGGCTTGGGCCCCCAAGAGGAATGGAACTCTCACCCACCCCCAGGCTCTGCATTTGGCTAGGCAGAATCCTGACATCCATTTCCTGCCAGAAGCTCTTCCTGTTTCCTTTAGCCAGAATTCCTCTAAGCAAACCTGTCAGGTGTGCGGGGTGGGCTCGGGGCTCGGGATTTGCATGGGAGGGTGGTCCCGTCTCCTCAGCAAGCTCCCTGTCGGTGTCCTGTCTTGAAATCCAGCTCTTGGAATCAGGAGAAGAGGGACCCTGGTGGCCAGAGCACCAGAGCCAGCAAAGCCTTAGAAACCACCTGTTCCCACCTCTCCTCCTGTCCAGGAGGACAGAGAAGCCCAGAGAGGGGAAGGGCCTTGCCCACAGCCACACTTCTGGGGCCAGGCCTGGAATGGGCTCCTGACTCATCTCTTACACACACATGCACACATGCACACACACGGATTGGGAGCTGCTTTGCATACTCCCTGTTTGCTAAACAAAACCAAACCAGTATCGGGATTTCAGCCACTTCTGCAGCAGGGCGGGGCAAGGCGGAGGAGCTGAGCTGTGAGGGGAAGCCAGACAATGTTCCTTCTTTGTCGACTGAGGTTTGGCGAGATCGAGATTAAGCTTGTCGGGCTCCTCCAGTGAGTGGGTGTGTGGGGTGGCGCCAGCGGAAGGCCACAGCAGCCTCAGAGCAGTGGGGGCTGGAACCCCATTTGCATACAGCAGAGAAAGAGGGCAGGTAGTGGGGAAGCCTGTGACACCTGCTTCCAGGGGAAGATTCTGCACTGGCTGGGAAGGCTTGGCTTGGGCTTCCTGGCCCTGCTGAGTCCGTGGATTGGGGCTCGGGGGTTGCTGTGAGCCAGAGGGCGGTGCTGCTGACCCTTCCTCATGCCTGAGAAGCTGCTGCAGGCTGGCCTCATGTGCAGAGCTGGGAGCCCCTAGGAGAAGGCAGCCCTGGAGAAGACTTGGATGGGCCCCAGTGGGACAGAGTTCCCTGGATGTTCCGTCTCCTTCTGGATGCAGAGGCTATGCCCATGACACTGGGGCGGGGAGGTGGCCCAGGAGGTGCTGTGGGGCACCACCCACCTGCAGTCTGTGATTTCAGGGAAGTTCAAGCTCCCCCACCAATTCTCCACTTCCCGTCAGCTCCCTGCGGCCAACTACCTGGCCTGCAATTCCTGCCACCGGAGTTGCAATGTGACCTGGAAGGCACTGTCCAGCCCTGTGGAGACTGTCCGTGGCTTCCATGTGCCACACAAGGAAACAGAGGCCCAGAGAGGAGAGGTGCTAGCCCAAGGTCACATTGCCATTAACAGCATAGTACGACAGAACCCAGGTTTTCCAGCCCCAGTCTAGTGGCCGTCCTAGCAGGGCCTCTGGGTTGCCTGACTCCAGGGTGCTCCATGTGCATAGAATACGGTGTAAATGGTGTTGGTGGGGTGGGTGGCTGGGTGGGGTGGAAGCGTTCCTTAGACTGTGGCACTGACCCCCTGCTTCCAAGGATTGAATGGGGACTCGTGAGACCTCAGGATGCTGCTGGTGACATGACCCAGAATATCAGTTTACTCCATGGTAATTAACAAAACCAATATTTTAATATCAAAACTAGCCAGCCACATTAGGGAGTGGAATGTAACATCTGAATTAATTTTCAGATAAAATGTCCTGTTCGTGGTGACAGCTTCAGGCTACACTGCAGGCCCTGCACCCCGCATTCCCTCTGGATGCAGGAGAAGCCCCTCTTCCAAGCAGGCCACATCCCACAGGGCAACCAGGCCCAGGGCCAGGGCCTCCTGAGGGACAGACTGAGAGGTGCCCAGTGAGCCCGCCATGGAAATCACTGATAAGGATGGAAATGCATCTCCCAGGGTGAGCCTGGAGATTTGTGCGTGTGTGCACTCACACACATGTGTTGGCCCCAGCCTGTCTCTATCTGCCCGACTGGAGTGAGCTGGCCTGGAAGCGGGGTGGACAGACCGAGGTAAGGAGGCAGGGACCGGGCACTCGGGCTATAGGGAAGTGGAAGTAAACAGGGTTCTGTATGATCCAGAAGATCAGGACCTGTCCTGAAGGTTCCCTGGAGATCAGACATCCCCCACCCCATCGCCTAGAGAACTGAGCCCCAGCCCCAGCTGCTCACCATGACCTAGCCTTCAGGGCTGACCCCAGTCCCCTGACTTCAAACCCCTCTCTGCAATCCCTGCCCTATGGGGGCTCCCACTCAGTGTGGTGTGGGTGAAGGCTGTTCCACGGGAAGGAACCGAGAACACAGAAGAATCTGGGCTGGCCAGAAGTGAGAAGGAAGCAGGAAGGAGTGCAGGGAGTGGGCACAGCATGGCACACGCTGTGCATCAGGGGAGACTGAAGACCCCCAGGAGTTCTTAAAGGCATTGCAGCCGTTGACTTATGGGCCCGAAGCCCCGAGGGAGCTGCTATGACATGGGCTGAGCTTTAGAAGGAAGACCCAGGTGGGTGTGCAGTGCGGCCTGGGGGCACAGAGCAGGGGCACTGGCTGGAGGCCGGTCTTGTCAGTATCAGGAGCGACAGCAGCTCCAGCCTCAGTGTCAGTCTGGCCTGGGCTCTCCCTGCTACCCTGTTGAGGCTGCTCAGGGAGGGGAGGGCGGCCCGGCCCTGGATGGAGGGCGGGACCCAGAAGAGTGAGGCCCCACCCCACCCCGCGTCCTGGGGTCACTGGACAAGCAGCAGGGCCCTTCTTGCTATTCCTAAATGTTCTCAAGAGAACTCAATGCTGTTTCCCACCCTCGAGCCTTTGCCCCTCGTGTTCCCTCTGCCTGAAATGCCCTCTTCTTGTTCTGAACCCTCTCAGGCTTAAGTCAAGTTCATAAGAAAAGCTTTTGAAATGTGATCGCCCATGACCCTCCATTCCACTCCTAGGAATGTATCTTCAAGAAATAGATATGGGACGGGCACAGTGGCTCACATCTATCATCACAGCATTTTGCAAAGCCCAAGTGGGAGGATTGCTTGAGCCCAGGAGTTCAAGACCAGCCTGGGCAACATAGCCAGATCCCTTCTCCACCAAAAAAAAAATTGGCCAAGAGCAGTGGCTCACACCTGTAATCCCAGCACTTTGGGAGGCCGAGGCGGGTGGATCATGAGGTCAGGAGTTCGAGACCAGGCTGGCCAACATGGTGAAACCCCGTATCTACTAAAAATACAAAAAAAAAAAAAAATTAGCTGGGTGTGGTAGCGGGCGCCTGTAATCCCAGCTACTCAAGAGGCTGAGGCAGGAGAATTTCTTGAACCCGAGAGGCGGACCTGAGAAGCAGAGGTTGCAGTGAGCCGTGATCATGCCATTGCACTCCAGGCTGAGTGACAGAGCAAGACTCCGTCTCAAAAAAAAAAAAAGTTGAGAAGTAATTACTGATGGGAATGTAGATTCAGCTGCAAGAGCATCTTTGCAGCCTGTTTATAATGGCAAAAAAAAGAAAGAAAGAAAGAAAGAAATCAGAACCATCCTAATGCCCATGGGAGGAGGCTGGCCAAGCCGTTGGTGCAACAGATGACCACATGGCCAGGAAGAAGAGCAAGCATGCTTTAGAAGACCTGACCCGGGGAGGAGTTTATCAGGCTGATGTGGAGTGAGGAATGCATGTGGCATGCTAGCATGCGGGTTCTGTAAGCCTCTGTCTGTGTATGCTTAGTAAAACACAGCTGAAGAAAGTCCACAAAACCATTGACCGCAGTTATTTCTGGGGGCTGGAACAGAGGGTTAAATTTCACTCTCAGTGCCACCTTTAAAAGAGACTTGTGACTGGGCATGGTGGCTCATGCCTGTAATCCCAGTGCTTTGGGAGGCCAAGGTAGGTGGATCACTTGAGGTCAGGAGTTTGAGACCAGCCTGGCCAACATGGTGAAACCTCATCTCTACTAAAAATACAAAAATTTGGCCGGGTGCGGCAGCTCACGCCTGTATTCCCAGCACTTAGGGAGGCCGAGGCGGGCGGATCACGAGGTCAGGAGATTGAGAACATCCTGGCTAACACAGTGAAACCCCATCTCTACTAAAAATACAAAAATTTAGCCGGGCATGGTGGCGGGCGCCTGTAGTCCCAGCTACTCGGGAGGCTGAGGCAGGAGAATGGTGTGAACCTGGGAGATGGAGCTTGCAGTGAGCCGAGATTGTGCCACTGCACTCCAGCCTGGGCAACAGAGCAAGACTCTGTCTCAAAAAAAAAAAAAAATTTGGTGGGCTCCTGTAATCCCAGCTACTCGGGAGGCTGAGGCATGAGAATCACTTGAACCCCAGAGGTAGAGGTTGCAGTGAGTAGAGATTGCGCCACTGCACTCCAGCCTGGGCAACAGAGCAAGACTCCATCTCAAACTTTTTTTTAAAGAGACTTGGCGTTTGTTGCAGATTTTTGGTAACTAAAAAATAGAAGAGAAAATAATTTTGCAGAATAAATGTATTGATAGAGGAAGCTATTGATATCTTAAGTGAAAATGAGGTTTAAAAAATCAGTATACAACCCATGATTCATGTTGTTAATTACATACACACACACACACACACACACACGGAAGGAAGTGTGCAAGGATAAACGGCAGTGTCTTTTTTCTTCTTATTTTTTAGTGTGTATGTTTTATTTTTCTGTATTGGGCGTGCATGATAACATTATCACTGGCATGACAAAAAAGACTCTGTCTGCTGAAATATGATTTCCCGGCCTTGAGGTTTGTGTCTCTGTCCCCTCCCTCAAAGCTGCAGGTCCCTTCAGGCCCCTCTAGTGCAGTGCAGAGCCTTGCAGGCAGGTGACTTTTTACTTTACAAGTGCTGGCTGTCTCGCCCCCACCCTGCTACTCTGTGAGCCACCTCCTGGCAGATGCTGGGTCCTATCCTTTGGGGCCAGGGCCTACTAGGTCCCCAGTAAGTTTAGGATGGGTATGCAACCTCCCGACTCCTTCTTAGCAGCTGGGGCAGGGCCTCCAAGGTAGGTAGAGTGACAGCCTGGTTTGGGAACAGTGGGGTGGACACTGGACCTGTGACTTCTCACAGGGTCCCCAGCTCTTCCTCTGGTCTGGGTCAGGGGCTGTCCGGGACCACCTCCATGGGTGTCTAGCTGGAGTTGGGCCTGGCCCGGAGACAGGCAGGACCCAGGGTTCCCGGGGGATGGGGGCTGCAGGGATGCTGCGGGAGGGAAATCTGAGGCAGGGCATGTTCCGACCCGGCATGCTCAGGTTTGGCCTGATAAGTTTATCGCACGGTGCCGGCTGCCAACCGTCGGTGTGGAGTAGAACCATGGGCCAAGCAGGAGGGCACTCCTGAGCCGATAGCGCCTTCCAAGTGTTATCAGGGGCCTGGTGGCCCAGAGAGCGGGAGAAAGGGACCAGAGGAGGGAGAGAGAGAGAGAGTGAGGGAGAGAGACAGACACAGACAGAGAGAGAGAAAGAGAGAGAGAGAGAGACTTCCACCCACTTCACTCAAAGGACAAGCTGGGGAGGAAGAGGCCTCCGAGGTTCCTCAGGGGTCCTTGACGTCCCAGCCTTGAGCCACTGCAGTGGGGAATCAGCCCCGGGCAGGCACAGGCTGAAGACCCCATCAAACCCAGGCATAGCCTTCCAGATCACCAGACAATGCTGCCACTACTCAGCTCTTCCGCAAGACCTAGGGAAAAAACTCCCTTTCCTGGAAGGTCCTGGGGCTCCAGGATGCACGTGGAAATCCCTGGGAGCAGGAGGGCCAGGCAGCCGGGGGCTGCTTCTTTAATTACTTGAACCCCATTCCATCCCACCCCAACCCTTTTCCTCCCTAACCCCAAGCCCCAAGGCCTCGGGTGAGAGTCAGGCTCAGGTTATCTTTTGTGAGTCCCTCTGGGGTGTCCAGCCTGGCACTTGTCTCCATCCAGGGAGGCACGGCTTTCCAACATTACACCCCTCCTCATGACTGGGGAAACTGAGTCTGAGAGTGAGCAGGAGAGCAGGCAGGGGGGCAAGGACCCAGGAGACCAGGAGGAAGAAGAGCAGGAAGAGAAGGGAAAGCTGGGAGGTTCCACGCCCACCCTGAGGTCTGGAGGTCCGACAAGTGCTTCGTGATCTGCAAGGAAAAGTCGCACATGAGGCAATGCCTCCCAGCCCTAAGTGCAGCCACAGGGCAGCCTGGTCCTCAGCTGTGCACAGCCACCTGGCGGGGGGAGGCAGGCGCCGGCATCCACAGGGTTATCTTTGTGGGGTGGATTTTTAAGTCCTTTTGTTTGTTTGTTTTTGTTTTGTTTTGTTGAGATGGAGTCTCACTCTGTCACCCAGGCTGGAGTGCAATGGCGTGATCTTGGCTCACTGCAGCCTCCACCTCCTGGGTTCAAGCGATTCTCCTGCCTCAGCCTCCCTGGGTAGCTGGGATTACAGGTACCCACTGCCATGCCTGGCTAATTTTTGTACTTTTAGTAGAGATGGGGTTTCACCGTGTTGGTCAGGCTGGTCTCAAACTCCTAACCTCAAGTGATCCACCTGCCTCGGCCTCCCAAAGTGCTGGGATTACAGATATGAGCCACCACGCCCACCTAAGTCCCTTTTATATACATATATACAGTTTTCCGTGGTTTCTATAACAACAATGTTTTGGGGGAGGGCGTGGGGAAAGAAAGGTGATTTGTTCATTTGTTTTAAGAGGCAGAGAAGGAAAAGGCATTGCTACCAAGGCTCTCTGACCTGGTGGGAACGGTCCCAGCCCAGGATCAGTCTGTAGGTGCCCACCTCTGCCAGCCTGGGGTGCAAGCAGAGGGCCATGCCAGTGTCTGCAGAGCCAGCAGTGTGTCCCCTGGAGTCATGTATGAGAGACTGCACCCAGGACCCTCACAGAGGCACAAAGACCACCCTGACAGGTCAGAAATCTTTCATTCATCAACTCCTATATCTATCGAGTGCCTGCCACAGGTGGTGAGGATCGGGCCGAGGGGAAAACAGACGAAATCCCCGCCCTCTTGGAGCTCAGCGGGGATGCAGAGACTAAACAAAGCCAGGAGAAACAGAATGCAGAGAAGCCGGGCGTGGTGGCCCGTGCCTGTAATCCCTGCACTTGGGAGGCAGAAAGGGGTGGATCACCTGAGGTCAGGAGTTCGAGACCAGCCTGACCAACATGGCGAAAACCCATAACTATTAAAAATACAAAAATTAGGCCAGGTGCGGTGGCTCACACTTGTCATCCCAGCACTTTGGGAGGCTGAGGCAGGCGGATCACCTGAGGTCGGGAGTTCGAGACCAGCCTGACCAACATGGAGAAACCCTGTCTCTACTAAAAATACAAAATTAGCCTGGCATGGTGGTGCATGCCTGTAATCCCAGCTACTCGGGAGGCTGAGGCAGGAGAATCACTTGAACCCAGGAGGCAGAGGTTGCGGTGAGCTGAGATCGTGCCATTGCACTCCAGCCTGGGCAACAAGAGTGAAACCCCATCTCAAAAAAAAAAAAAAAAAAAAAAGTTAGCAGGGCGTGGTAGCCGGTGCCTGTAATCCCAGCTACTCTGGGGGCTGAGGCAGGAGAATCACTTGAACCTGTGAGGCAGAGGTTGCAGTGAGCTGAGATCGTGCCACTGCCATCCAGCCTGGGTGACAGAGTGAGACTCTGTCTCAAAAAAAAAAAAAAAAAAAGAAAGGTGTGGGGGTGTTGATGACGTGGAGATCACCAAGTTAGATGGGTGGCCAGAGAGACCTCATTAAGAAGCACTGAGTTTCCCTGCACAAGAGAGGGGGTTGTGGAAGGACAGCCCTGGATGGAGTCAGGAGACCGAGGGATGTCACTCTGCTTGGCTGGGTGGCTTTGGTCAGACACTGCCCTCTGGGCCTCAGTTTCTTTTTCTTTTCTTTTCTTTCTTTCTTTAAAATTTTTTGTTTGTTTGTTTGTTTGTTGAGAGAGGATCTCACTCTGTCACCCAGGCTGGAGTGCAGGGGCATGATCACAGCTCACTGCAGCCTCAACCTCCTGGGCTCAAGTGATCCTCCCACCTCAGCCTCCCGAGTAGCTGAGAGTACAGGCATGTGCCAACATAACCAGCTAATTTTTGTATTAGACAGGGTTTAGCCATGTTGCCAGCCTGGGCTCATACTCCTGGGCTCAAGCAATCTGCCCACCTCAGCCTCTCAAAGTGCTGGGATTACAGGTGTGAGCCACTTCGCTCAGCCAGTTTCTTTTTCTTTTTTTTGTGCAGACAAGGTCTCACTGTGTTGCCCAGACTTGTCTTGAACTCCTGGCTTCAAGCCATCCTGCTGCCTTGGCTTCCAGAATAGCTGGGACCACAGGTACTCACCACCACTCCAGGCTAATTTTGTACTTTTTGTAGTGATGAGGTCTCACTCTGTTGCCTAGTTAGTCCTGGCTTCAAATGATCCTCCTGCCTCAGCCTCCTGTAGACACCTCTTGACTCCCAACCTCTGCTCTTTCTGTCCCCTCTACCCAAGTGGCTCTTTTCCTCCTACCGATTTGCTCAGCTCTCTCCTAACTGTCCTGGGCACAGCTCAAGCCTCACCTCCTCCGGATGCCTTCCCAGGCAGTTCTCTTCCCTCTGACACGTTTGTGGCACGATCACAGCACTTTCCTGTGAACGCTGTGAATGGCTCAGGGTGCGGGGTAGGCACACAATAAATGTAGTTGTTATTTCATTGCCAAAAGCTCTGACCTTGGAGCCCAGGTTCTGGGCTGGACCTGCAGGGCCACAGGTCCTCCCAGTCTGGGGTTGGGGAGCAGGTGGGGAGCAGGTGGGCCCCCCCATGCTGTGATGAGCTGAATCCTGCTGCACTCCTCGGCTGTCCCTGCCGACAGCTGGAGCTACAGACACCAGGCTGAAGCCCAGAGCTATTTCTGCCAAGGGTGACTTGGAACTTCCTCCCGGATCTCTTAAAAATAGAGGGGTTATCGTGGCCGTCAGGCCCCTTCCTCCACATGGGGAACTCGAACATGATTTCTGGGGAAGGCCTAAGCCCCAGGCCTCTCTCAGCCCAGCAAGGACTTATCTCTGAGCTCAGCTGGGCAGCAGGAAGGGAGCGAAGCGACCACCGTGGGCAGCTCTTCCTGCCCCAGGAGCCCCTTTTGGGAGCAGCAAGGGATGTGGCCACTGACTCAGGGGTGTCAATCACCCATCTTCCCCGGAGCTGCGGTTGCCCACCGGACTCTGAGGGGAATCAGAAGTCAGTCGCGTAGAGAGCATCCTGGGGAAGCCTCAGGCACCGTCCGGCCTGGCCTTTCTGCTCCAAGCCCTCCCCCTGCGCCCAGCACGACCCCATCTCTGTACACTACCATGAGATCACTGGTGGACAGCTGTCTCTACTGTGTGGCCAGCCCCAGCAGAGGCTGAGGGTCGGGCACCTGGAGGTCAGGCTGGGGTCTACCACTCCCAGCAGCTGGGTCCTCTCTGCAACAGAGGGCATTCCTGGGGGCCAGCCCAGCTCCTCTGGGGATTTCTTCCCACTTTGTAGACCCCAGACTTAGTGCCAATAGAAGACCACTTCTCGCAGGGTACAAAGTCTGTTCAACAAGTATTTGCTGGGCGTCCACTCTGGGCAGGGCCTTGGCAAGACCCAGGAGAGGAGACGCTGTGGGGGGTCTGGAGGCCCAAGGGGGTTACTAAGCCCAGCCCTGGGGTTAAGGGAAGTCTAATGAGGGAAGTCGACATTTGCAAGACAAAAAGAATTTGATCTGTTGGAAGTGCAGAGGGCTGCCCCAAGCCAAGAAAACAGCGGGGCACAAAGCCCTGGGGGAGACAAGAGGCCTCCCCTGCCCCCAGCTCTTGCCCAACCTGTTAGGGAGCAGTGCTCTAGCCAGCGCCTTCTCAGGGCTTCAGGAGGCCAGTGTGCAAAGCAAGGGTGACCTAGTGGGGTCCTGGGGGCTATCCTGTTGGGGCTTGGCAGCCAGCCACATGCATCTTTGGTCATTGCCACGGTCACGGTCCCTGCCTTCCCATCCCTGCTGGCTCGTGGGATGTCTACGGGGCTTGCCTGGCACCCCCGGCCCTCCTCTGCACTCCTCAGGAAGGAAGGTTCAGGATCCCTGAGCTCAGCCTCCCCAAGGCAGCTCTTTAGAAGCCTACAATCTTAGCTGGAAACCGTCACGGTTAAGGGTTTCCTCCCGGTGGCTCCCCAGCGCCCCTCAGCCCGGCCTGAGACTTATCACTGCCCCCCAGCTGGTGCCCCCCTCCTCCTCCAACCACCTCACCCTGGGTGATTCAGCAAATCTTCCCTCCATGAGGGGAAAAACAAGAGTGAAAAATCACAATGTCAGATTACAAAGCCCTAACTGTAGGGCAGGCCCCTGGCAGGGAGATAAGGGTCTCATTCCCCACCCTCAAAGCCTCTCTGGCAGATAAACCTCCTAGAGCAGCATGGGCTGCACTGCTGCAGGTGTGGGGTGGGGAGGCCTGGCCTCACGGAAGTCTGGTCAGGGGACACAGGGCCCTGCCAGGAGCTGAGGGCCCACAGCTCGGCCACTGTGCAGAGCTGGCCAAAGAGGAAGTGCCACGGCCAGCATTGATGTTGCCATCCCAACAACTGCCTTGGAGGGAAAAAGAGAAGGGCAGGGCCTTCTGAGAAAGTTCAATGACAGGATGCCCCACAAATGCCCTTCACCCTGGGGTGTCCCTCTGCCAGCTCAGCCTGCAAACCATGATCCCTTGTACGACTGCAGCCCAGCTGTGTTGCAGAAGTAAAGGTGTCTGCCCCCATGAAGCCAGCCCAGAGGAGGGAGGAGCTGGGATGCCATTCCTGGGAGGGGGGCCTCCTCTGGGGAGGCCTGGGTGGACTTGAAGGCAGCTCAGCCTCATCTGCCCTAGAGACCTTGCCAGGAGAAATCCTGGGTCTCCAAGCCAGGAGATCTGCTAGGCTGGGAGACCTGCCCTGGGAGCCACTTGTCAGCAGGGGACCCTGTGATTGTGGGGATGAGGCTGGGGGTAGGAAGGGGCGGTCACTAGGCTTCCTCTGCTGGTGGAGGACAATGAAATGATGGCTTTGAAGCTGAACTCTGTGCTGGGCCCTGGTGCTCTAAGCAAGTCATTTCTCTACTTTTTAGCCCCGTATGCTGTCTGTAAAGTGAGATAAGAAAACCCACCCGCAGGGCTGTCCTGGGGAGTCCAGGTGCATGCCAAGCAGGAGTGGCACAGGTCCTGGTCTCTGTTTCCCAGGGTTGGGGACCAGCATCTGGCTGGAATGGGGGTGGCTTTGGGATAAGTGCCTGCATAGCTCTTGGTATCCAGGGCCAAGGGTCCAGCTGCCCAGCATTCTAAAGACTCTCCATTGTCTGGGGAAGCTCTCTGAGGTCATTTCCCACAACACCATGGGATGGCTGCGGTGGGCTAGGGAAAGGAGGGTGTGCAGCAGGCACATAAACTTTCTAGAGTAGTGTGGGTTGCACCACTGCAGGCATGAGGTGGGGCGCCCCGGTGTCACAAAAGTCCGATCAGGGGACATATGGTCCTGCCAGGAGCTAAGGGCCCAGAGCTTGGCCACCGTGCAGAGAGCTGGGCGAAGAGGAAGCGCCGCAGCCAGTGGACTTGGTTCCACTCAGCTGCAAAAGGAAGAGAGTTGGTCAAGACGACGTCTGCAGTCCCTTCACTATAAAATTTTGCAAAATACAAACTGCTCAGTGGGTGTGTAGTTGGCCGAAGGTACTCCACCAAAGAGGTACCAAAAGCTGGTGGGCTTCAAAGCAGCATCGTCCCCAGCAGCCAAAAAGTGGGCACCCCAAGTGTCCATCCACAGATGATGGGTAAACAAAACGGGGCCTGTCCATGCTAGGAAATATGACTTGGCCATCAAAGGGAATGGAGCTCTGACACATGCCACACGTGGACCTTGAGGACATCATGCTGAGTGAAACAGGCCAGTCACAAAAGCACAAGCACAGGATGATTCCACTTATATGAGGTCCCTAGAGTAGTCAAATTCATCGAAAGTAGAATGGTGGCTGGCAGGATCTGGGGGAGGGGAGTGGGGAGTTAGTGTCTAATGGGTACAGAGCTTCAGTTTGGGAAAAGTTCTGGTGTTGGCTGGTGGTGATGATTGCACAACAATGTGAATGTACCCAATGCCACTGAACTGTACACTTAGAAATAGTTAAGAAGGTAAAATTTATTAAGTATATTTTAGTAACCCCTCCCCCCGCCCCCGCCAAAAAAAAAAAGCCCATGTGCACAGTGGTCTCTGCTGAATGAAGACTTGAAAACCAGAGCCCAGCCCTAAACAGCTCATGCATAGTCCAGGCAGAGAAACAGAGCAGGTAATGCCCCCTCAACTGATGGCAGACGGGCCAGGGAGCCCTGCTCTGGGCTGGAGCAGGGAGGCACCTTCAGGGTTGTGGGAGATCTGCAGGGAGAGCCACTTCTCCCTAGGGGTGGGTGTCTGAGCAACAGCACCAGAATCCCAGCGACATTCTCTCCTTCCTCCTTCCAGACTGGCTTTGCCTGCCTCTGAGGCTCTGGGAATGCTGTTCCCTCCACTTGGAAGGCAGTTTCCTCACTTCACCAATTCTTTATCTTCGTCATCCCAAACCCAACCCACATGCACCCCACAAGAAAACCTCCCCTTGCCAGTTATAGACTCTCAAATCCCCCAGAAATTCTGCCCTCTGATGTTGATCATAATTGTCATGAAATAGCTATTTGTGTCATTGTGTGACACGTTCTATGAAATTCTCCATTGCTTCCCCAGTACTCATTAAGGAAATGCTTTTTGTCAGATGGACAGATGGATGGTTGGGTGAGTGGATGGATGGATGAATGATGGATGGATGGATGGTTGGATGGATGGATGGAAGCATGGATAGATGGATGGATGGGTGGATGGATGGATGGTGGATGTGTGGATGGATGGATGGATGAACAGATGGGTGGATGGATGGATGGATGGATGGATGGATGGTTGGATGGATGGATGGATGGATGGTGGATGTGTGGATGGATGAATGGATGAACAGATGGGTGGATGGATGGATGGATGGATGCATGGATGGATGGATGGATGGATGGACGGATGGACGGATGGATGGACAGATGGATGGATGGATGGATGGGTGGGTGGATGGATGATAGGTGGATGGATGGATGGATGGATGGATGGTGGTTGGGTGGATGGATGGTGGATGGGTGGATGGATGGACAATGGGTGGATGGATAGGCAAGCAAACTGAAGGGTCTACCCACCCAAAGGGGCCAATGCATGGAGTGCCTAGGCCTGGATAACAGGGTGCAAGTATACGTGTGAATGGGTGCTTTCGAGTCTTTTGCCTAGAACCATGAATTACAGTTCAGGCCCACTGTCAGTCCTACCTGACACTGTGTGGACTGTGGACCTGTCTGAGAACGGCTTCCTGGATCTAGAGGTTTGGCTGAAGGACAGCACTCACCATCTCCTGGGAGGATGAGCTCTCAATCTGATCTGATCTGATTGGCTTGGAGGACCCATCCCAGATGGCACCATCCAACTGTACCTAGCACTTGCTGTGACCTGGGCTGGCACTAGCTGAGCACTTCCCATAGAATAGCAGGAGCTACTTTTCCCTGTTTTACAGACATGGAAACTGAGGCACGCATTTGCCCAAGGTTTGACTGAACTTTAAAGGACCTCTTCCCCAAGGCTTTTTAATCCCAAGGTAAACCCTTCCCAAGGAATCAAGGGGTCAGGGATGGACCTGTGGCCCACTCTCCTCTACAGATCCCCTAAAACAGACAGCAAGTTCCCAGTGTGGTGCTCTGGGCCGGCGTGGAGGGGTCAGGAAGGGATGAGCCTGGAGTAGGGAAGCACTTTGGAGAATGCCAGACCCGGGGCCCTTCCCTCCCTCTCCACCTCCCTCCTCCTGTTCCTTTCCTCCTCTTCCCTCACTCTTCCTCCCCACCTCTTCCCTCCCCTCCTCTCTCTCCCTCCTCTTCTCCCCATCTCCCTTTCCTTCTCCTCCTCCCTATCTCCCTTTCCTTCTCCTCCTCCCTCTCCCCTTTCCCCACTCTTCCTAGCCACAGGTGGGGTTGTGGCCCTGGCTGAAACTCTTGAATGACTTAGTGATTCTTTCCTTCCAGCATCTTGAGTTCTTCCTGGACCTAGGGGTGGGGGGGCACTGCCAGTGGCCAGGGGAGGGGACTGCGGGGCACGCATGGGACTCCCTGGCTCGGTCCTCTGTTCTCTCCTCCATTTATGGGTTCGCTCACTCAGCAGCATTGATTTCATGCCAGGCGCTGGGGAAGCGGGGTCCAAAGAGACACCCCCGACCCTGCTCAGGGATGGGGGCAGTAGGTGTGCTGCACGGAGGGGCCTCTTCAAGTGGGGGCAGAAACCCCTTCCCAGAGGTCACCCAGAACCAAAAGGGGAGCAGGAAGGAAAGGCATGGAGGTCCTGGGGAGGCCCTGGCATCGCAGGGCCAGGAATTTGGGGGTGGGGCAAAGTGGGAGTGGTTAGGAGAAGACAGGGGTGGGAGCAGCGGGACCCACTCCCACAGTCTCTGGTAAAGCTTTGGGTCTCTGCCCCAGAGCAGTGGGATCGACTTGCATTTTCGGGGGAGAAGCATCCCTGGTGTCCTGGTGGCCAGGGAAGTCAGGAGCCCTGCAAGGTGACTGGAGCCCTACAACTCAGGGGGCAGGGGTTGCAAAGACCAGCCAGGCAGCCCCCTCAAGATGGAACCGCTCACGGGTCTAGGGAACCAAGGTGGGCCACCGCTGGAGGGTGGCCTGAGTCCTCTGAGGCCCCTGTGGTCCCAACACAGGCAGGTCTCCTGGGGGGAGAGACAGAAATGGTTGTGGCTCCAATAGGGAACAATGTAGTAATGTCTAACTAAATCACAGAGGCACACACCCTTTGGCCCAACAATACCTTACAGATGCCTAGCCCATGTGTACACACTACAGTGATTCACTACAAGCATTTGTTTTTGGGAAAGGTTGGAAACAACCTAAGTACCCATTAAAGAGGGTTGCGTAAATAAATCATGGTCCAGCCACACAGGGGAATACTGTCCATCTGTTCAAAGAAATGAGGAAGCACTTTCTGAATTGACAGAGAGTAATTTCCATGATATATTGCCAAGTGAAAAAAGGAAGGTAGGAAGGGAATGTATACCAAGGCACCATTGGTGGTCAACGAATTGATAGTTGGCTGTAATAGATGAAGGAGTCATATTATAATCTCTGGGGAAGCCAGTAAAAGCATGTGCAACTATTTATTACAGGGGAAGTTGAATAAGAAAACCCATTTGTGAGTTAGTTGTTTGCTTTTTAAAAAGGGGATGGAGAATATATATATATATATATAATTTTGTTTATAACATTGTAGATTGTCTCCAGAGAGATAAACAAGAAACCGTTGACATTGATCACCTCCAGAGAAAAGGTGATCTCAGTGTCTGGGGGAAAGGAGTGGGAGGGAGACTTTTCACTGAGTGCCTTTTTGTGTCCTTTGAATTTTGAAACACATGCATATAGTTACCCATCCTCTTAATAGAGAAGTGTAAGTGGATGTGGGAGATGCCTTAGAAGGCTGTTCCCAGTGGCGAAGTGGAGGCTGTTCCCAGTGGTGTGAGTTGAACCAGGGTGATGGATGGATGGGTGGAGAAGATGGATTTCTGATGAATTTAAGAGATAGAGTGGACTGATGTGGCAGCAGATGGATGAGGGGCAAGTGGGGAATCCGGGATGACACCCACGTTTCCGGTGCTGCCATTCCTGAGAAAGAGAATCCTGCAGGAGGGAGTCATGGGAAGAGATCTGGGAAGATACAGGGTGAGTTCAGTTTAAGCATCATTTGTTTTTTTTGTCTCCCCCTTTGACTGTCCAGGGTTCTCCCATCTCCCCTGTGAATAAATTTCCCCATGTGGGTGTGGTCTTAGAGAACGGACAGTTCCCTGTGTGGCCCCTGCCTGTTGGAGTAAGTCCTGGGCTTAGATGCTTCCTTGGTCACCCTCTAGCAGGTAGTCCCATAACCTAAGCCCTACCCATTCTTGTCCATTCTAGGAGTTTTGATGTTCAATAGGTGATGCAAAGAACCCACTCACCCTCCAGAGCCCCCCAGGTCCCCTGTCTGCCCCATTGGTGAGGTGACTCACTAAAAAGGAACCTGGGAATTCTTTGGGGGTGATTGAAATATTCTGTGTCATGATTGACATGGTGACTACATTTATATAGTTGTAAAGTCATCAAACTATATACTTAAACTGGGTGTATTTTATTGCATATAAATTATACCTCAATAAAGCTGATTTAAAAGTATAACACATGCTGGGTGTGGTAGCTCACACCTGTAATCTCAGCACTTTGGGAAGCCAAGGTTGTAGGATCACTGGAGGCCAGAAGTTCAAGACCAGCCTGGGCAACATAGTGAGACCCCATCTCTACAAAAAATAAAAAAAAATAAAATGGCCAAGTGTGGTGACACGTACCTGTAGTCTCAGCTACTCGGGAAGCTGAGGTGGGAGGTCGAAGGCTCAAGGCTTGAGACCAGGAGGTCGAGGCTGCAGTGAGTGCTACTGCACTCCAGCCCAGGTGACAGAGCAAGACCTTGTCTCAAAAAAAAAAAAAAAAAGAAAGGAAAAAGTAATAATAAATACACACATACATGTATGACGTGATAACAACAGAACAAAAGGCAAGAGGCAAAGAAGCATTCAAATGTGTCTTTACATTGTTATGGAAGTAGTAGAAGTACTAATTTGTATTTGACTTTACCAGATCAAGGATTCATATTGTAATCCCCAGGGTAACCAGTAAAAGTTTATACAACTATTTATTAGAGGAAAAATAAAATAACAAAATATAATTAGTATTAAAGAAGGAAAAGGAAGGAAAACCATATAGAACAGATAGAACAAATAGAAAACAGTAATGTGAAAGCTTTAAACACAAATATATTAGTATTACATTAAATATAAAAAGATTAAATATTCCAGCTAAAAGACACAGGATCTTAGAAAAGAGAAACAACTACATGCTGCCTATAAGAGATAGACTTAAAATATAAGAATACAGTGGCTGGGTGTGGTGGCTCACACCTGTAATCCCAGCACTTTGGGAGGCCAAGGAGGGTGGATCACCTGAGGTCAGGAGTTTGACACCAGCCTGGCCAACATGGTGAAACCTCATCTCTACTAAAAATACAACCATTAGCCAGGCGTGGTGGCTCGCACCTACAGTTCCAGCTACTTAGGAGGCTGAGGCATGAGAATCACTTGAACCTGGGAGACGGAGGTTGCAGTGAGCTGAGATCACACCACTGCAGTCCAGCAACAGAGTGACACTCGGTCTCAAAAAAAAAAAAAAAAAAAAAGATAAAGAAAGATTGAAAGTGAAAAGATGGAAGATGGAAAAAGATATATACCATGAAAACACTAACCAAAATAAATCTCTTACAGCTATATTAACATCACACAATTTAGACTTTACTAGAGATAAAGAAGAACATTTCATAATGATTAAAAGAAATGATATAACATTTCTAAATTTATATGTGCATAAAAATATGACCTCAAATATATACAAAATAAAACTGACAAAACTAAAAGGAGAAATAGGCAAATTCACAATCACAGTGGGAAATTTTAACACATCTCTCACGGAACAAGCAGACCGAAAAACAAAAGCAAACAAATAAAGCAAATTAAGAAGAATATAGAACATTGTACCTGATGCTTTCAAATGTACACAGAACACTTAACCAGACTGACCATCTGCTGGGCCACAAAGCAAGCCCCAGTAAATTTCAGATAATGCAATCATGCAGAATAAGTTCTCTGATCATGGTGGAACTAAGCTAGAAGTCAACAACAAAAAGGTTATTTTTAAATCCCCAATTTTTGGATACTAAGCAATAGACTTTAAATAACCCATGGGTCCAGTGGCTCATGCCTATAATCCCAGCACTTTGGGAGGCCGAGGTAGGCAGATCATGAGGTCAGGAGTTTGAGATCAGCCTGACCAACACGGTGAAACCCCGTCTCTACTAAAAATACAAAAATTAGCCAGGCGTGGTGGCACGTGCCTGTAATCCCAGCTACTCAGGAGGCTGAGGCAGGAGAATCGCTTGAACCTGGGAGGCAGAGGTCGCAGTGAGCTGAAATCGAGCCATTGCACTCCAGCCTGGGCAACAGAGCGAGACTCCATCTCAAAAAAAAAAAAAAGATGAGCGTGGCAGTGCACACCTGTAGTACCAGCTACTCAAGAGACAGAGGTGGAAAGATTGCTTGAGCGCAAGAGGTTGAGGCTGCAGTGAGCCATGACTGCACCGCTGCACTCCAGCCTGGGTGACAGAGTGAGACCCTGTCTCATTAAAAAAAAAAAAAAAAAATTCCATGATAATAATAATAATAATCAGGCTGGGCATGCCAGTGGCTCACGCCTATAATCGTAGCACTTTGGGAGGCCGAGGCAGGTGAATTGCCTGAGCTCAGGAGTTCAAGAATCAGCCTGGGCAACATGGTGAAACGGTGAAACCCCATCTATACTAAAAATACACAAAAAATTAGCTGAGCATGGTGGCACACACCTGTAGCCCCAGCTACTCGGGAGGCTGAGGCACGAGAATCACTTGAACCCGGGAGATAGAGGTTTCAGTGAGCTGGGATCACACCACTGCACTCCAGCCTGGGCAACAGAGTGTGACTCTATCTCAAAAAAATAAAAAAAATTAAAAAATAGTAATAATAATCAAAAATCACAGTGGATTTCTCTTTATTTTCAACTGAAGAGAAGACAGAGAAAGAGAGAGAATGAGGATATTGAAAATTGCGAAAGACAAATTCTCCACCATAACAATGAAAAAACTAAGAATGAACTAAAACTATAAAGCTTCTAGAAGAAAATGTCGACTATCTTTATGAATTTAGAGATTGGAAAATATTTTTAGTACAACATAAAAGGAACCATAAAGCATAAAAGAAAAAATATATGTTTAAGCTAAACATATTCTTAAGTGTGTTTTAGCCATGTCAAAGCTAACAACTTCTACTCATCAGCAGGCAGCATTAAGAATGTGAACAGCCAAGCCATGTTCTGAGAAAACTTTCCCACTCCATATCACCGACAGAGGACTTAAATCTAGAATATATAAAGAACTCCTAAATTAAAATACAATAAACTTTATTTTACTAAAACTAACTTGATTTAAAAATAGGCAAAAACTGGCCAGACCCAGTGGCTCACGCCTGTAATCCCAGCACTTTGGGAGGCTGAGGCAGGTGGATCACTTGAGGTCAGGAGTTTGAGACCAGCCTGGCCAACATGGTGAAAACCCATCTCTACTAAAAATACAAAAATTAGTCGAGCGTGGTGTTGGGTGCCTGTAATCCTAGCTACTCGGGAGGCTGAGGCAGGAGAATTGCCTGAACTTAGGAGGAGGAGGTTGCAGTGAGCCGAGATCAAGCCATTGCACTCTAGCCTGGGCGACAGAGTGAGACTCAGTCTCACAAAAAAAGCAAAAACCACTTTGGAAGGCTGAGGCAGGAGAATACCTTGAAGCCAGGAGTTTGAGACCAGCCTGGGCAACATGGCAAGACCCTATCTCTAGAAAAAAAATTTGAATTATCTGGGTGTGGTGCTGCATGCCTGTGGTCCCAGCTACTTGAGAGACTGAAGCCAGAGGACTGCTTGAGCCCAGGAGGTGGAGGCTGAGGCTGCTGTGAGTCGTGATCGCACCACTGCAATCCAGCCTGGGCAGCAGAGTGAGACCCTGTCTTAAATTTAAGAAAGCAAAAAGCTTTGAACAGACATTTCACAAAACGAGTTATTTAAATGGCCAAAAAGCATGTTAAAAGATGCTCAATAACATCATTAGTCAGGGAAAAATGTAAATTTAAGACACAATGAGATATGACTGCAACCTATTAGTACAGCTAACATAATACTAAGTGTTGTTGAAGATGTGGAGCAACTGGAAGTCTCAAACACTGTTGGGATGAATGTAAAATGGTACAACTGCTAAAGAAAAGAGGTCATCAGTTTCTTATACAGTTCAGCACACACTCTCCATGTGACTTAGCCGTTCCATGCCCAGGTGTCTAGCCAAGATGAACATTCATATCCATAGACATGACTTGTACAGGAATGTTCATCACAGCTGTATTTGTAATGGTGGAAAACTAGAAACCGCGTAATCTGGTTACACAGGCTGCGTTACAACTTATCCCCAAAATAGAGTGGCTTGAAGCAATAGTGAGTATTTATTCTCTCTCATGGTTTCTATAGATCAGATAATCAGACAGAGCACAGAGGCAATAGCTTCTTTCTCCTCTGTAGTGTCTGAGACCTCAGCTACAAGACTCAAAGGCTGGCAGTTGGAAGCATCTGAATGTCCTTTCATTCACATGTCTGGCATTGGATGTTGGCCCTTGGCTTGGGAGACTGGCTGTGGCTGTCATCTGGAACACTTGGTCTCTCCGTGTGGCCTAGGTTTTCTCACGAAATGGTGGCTGGGTTCCAAGGGCAAGCATCCCAAGAGAGGCCATGTTGCCTTTTATGATCCAGCCTTGAAAGTTCTGCAGCATCCTTTCTGCCACTTTCTATTGGCTGAGGCAATTGCAAAGGTTCACCCAGGTTCCAGGGGAGGGAATATAGACCACCACCTCAAAATGGAGGATTGTTGGACATCACATTGTAGGAAGACCATGGGGAATGGGATATTCATTGGGCAGCCACTGCTGGGAAATGCAATCCGCTACACCACCAAATGGCCATCAGTAGGAGAATGGATGTTATGGACTGCATGTTTACATCCCTCCAAAATTCATATGTTAAAACCCTAACTCCCAATAGGATGATAGTAGAAGGTGGGGCTTAGAAGGCGATTAGGTCATGAGGCTGGAGCCCTCATGATGAGATGAGTGTTGTTATAAGAAGATACCAGAGAGGCGGAGTGGCAGTGAGCTGATATCGCGCCACTGCACTCTGGCCTGGGCAACAGGGGGAGACCCTGTCTCAAAACAAACAAACAAACAAATAAATAAAAATAAGAAGATACCAGAGAGAGCTGGCCCCCTCTCTCTGCTCTGCCATATGAGGATACAATGAGAAGATGGCTGTTTGCAAAGCATGAAAAGCACCCTCAATGGACACTGAATCTGCCAGCACTCTGATCTTACACTTCCCAGTCTCCAGAACTATGAAAAGTAAATGTGACTGAAGCTGCCCAGTCTGTGGTGTTTTATTATAGCAGCCTGAACTAAGACAATGAAGAACCAAATGTTGGCATAGCACATTTATCCAACAATATACTGGCCAATAATATGAAAGAACAACTCTTGATACACACCATATAAATGAATCTCAAAATCATTATGTTGAACAAAAGAAGCCAGACAGAACAGATATGGAGTATAATTCCAGCCAAACTGTTACATATGGTGAGAGAAATCAAACAGTGGTTGGGTCTGACAGCAATGGACATATTGACTGGAAAGAGGCATGAGATGTTCTGGAATGATGGCAGTGTTTTTTTTCTTGATCTGGGAAATGGCCCCATGTATATGTATTAATTCACAGGCAAAAATTCATGAAGGGCAAGGCGCAGTGTCTTATGCCTGTAATCCCAGCACTTTAGGAGGCCAAGGCGGGCAGATCACCTGAGGTCAGGAGTTTGAGACCAGCCTGGCCAACATGGTGAAACCCTGTCTCTACTAAAAATACAAAAATCAGCCAGGCATGGTGGCGTGTGCCTGTAGTCCCAGCTACTCAGGAGGCTGAGACAGGAAAATCACTTGAACCCAGGAGGCACAGGTTGCAGTGAGCTGAGATCGCACTATTGCACTCCAGCCTGGGTGACCGAGCAAAACTCTGTCTCAAAACAAACAAACAAAAAATTCATGAAGGTGTACACTTCAGATTTGTGCATTTTACTACAAATAAATTATACCCCAATGGAGTACTATAAAAAGGTCATAAGAGAATATTATGAATAACTTTATCTCAATAGATTTGCAAATTTAGATGAAATTGAATAATCCCTAATAAAACATAACTTACCAAAGCTGACACAATAAGAAATGGAAAATCTGAGTAGTCCTTGATCTGAATCTGTAATTTAAGACTTTCTCACAAACCTCCCTCCCATTCCCAACATTTAAAAAAAGAAATCATGTACAAAAACAAAAATTAAAAAAGACAAAATAAAAAAAGAAAAGAAAGATAAGTCATGTACAAATTTACACAAAGAGAATGGAAAAAGAGAGAACACTTTTCAATTTATTGTATAAAGCTAACATAAACCTTGCTGTACAAAACTGGCAAGGACTTTACAAGAAAGAAAAATTACAGGCTAGTCTCTCTGGAAGACCTCTAAAGGTGAATATACTATACAGGCACACCTGGTTTTATAATGCTCTATTTTATGCAATTTTCAGATATTTCTTTTTTCTTTTTTTTTTTGAGATGGAGTCTTCCTCTCTCGCCCAAGCTTGAGTGCAATGGCACAATCTCGGCTCACTGCAACTTCCGCCTCCTGGGTTCAAGTGATTCTCCTGCCTCAGCCACCTGAGTAGCTGGGATTACAGGTGTGCACCACCATGCCTGGCTAATTTTTGTTGGCCAGGCTGGTCTTGAACTCCTGACCTCAGGTGATCTGCCTGCCTCGGCCTCCCAAAGTGCTGGGATTACAGGCGTGAGCCACTGCACCCAGCCTGTTTTTTTTTTTTTTTTTTTTTTTTTTTAACAAATTGAAGGTTTGTGGCAACCCTGGGTCCAGCAAGACTATTGGCTTCATTTTCTTAACAGTGTATGTTCACTTCATGTCTCTGTATCACAATATTTCAAATGTTTTCATTATTATATGTGTTATGGTGATCTGTGATCAGTGATCTTGGATGTTATTATGGTAATTGTTTTGGCGTACCTCAAACTGCACCCATATAACAGCAAACTTAATCAATAATTGTTGTGTGTGTTCTGACTGCTGCACTGACTGGCCATTTCCCCATCTCTCTCCCTTTCCACAGGCTTCCCTCCCACCTGAGACCCAAAATACTGAATTTAGACTGATCAGTGACCCTACAATGGGCTCTAAGTGTCCAAGTGAAAGGAAGGGTCCCAGGTTTCTCCCTTTAAATCAAAAGCCAGGAATGATTAGTGAGGAATGTTGGCATGAGGAAGGCAGGTTGAAAGCCAAGGCAGACCCAAAGCTAGACCTCTTGTGCCAGACAGTCAAGGTGTGAATGCAAAGGAAAAGTTCTTGAAATAAATTAAAAGTGCTACTCCAGTGAACACACAAATGATAAGAAATCAAAAAAGTCTTATTGCTGATATGGCTAAGGTTTGAGTGTTTCGGATAGAAGATCAAACCAGCCACAGCATTCCCTTAAGCCAAAACCTAATGCAGAGCAAGGCCCTAACTCTCTTTAATTCTAGGAAGGATGAGAAAGGTGAGGAAGCTGCAGAAGAAAAGTTGGAAGCTAGCAGAGATTGGTTCATGAGGTTTAAGGAAAGAAGCCATCTCCATAACACAAAAGTACAAGGTAAGCTGGGCGCGGTGGCTCATGCCTGTAATCCCAGAACTTTGGGAGTCTGAGGCGGGCAGATCACCCGAGGTCGGGAGTTTGAGATCAGCCTGACTAAGATGGTGAAACCTCGTCTCTACTAAAAATACAAAATTAGCCTGGTGTGGTGGCACATGCCTGTAATCCCAGCTACCCGGGAGGCTGTGGCAGGAGAATCGCTTGAACCCGGGAGGTGGAGGTTGCAGTGAGCCGAGATCACGCCATTTTATTCCAGCCTGGGCAACAAGAGTGAGACTCCATCTCAAAAAAAAAAAAAAAAGTACAAAGTGAAGCTGCAAGTGCTGATGGAGAAGCTGCAGCAAGTTATCCAGAAGATCTAGCTAAGATCACCGATGAAAGTGGGTACACTAAACAACAGATTTTCAATGTAGATGGAACAGCCTTCTATTGGAACAAGATGCAACCTAGGACTTTCCTAGCTAGAGAGAAAAAGTCAATGAGTGGCTTCAAAGCTTCAAACGACAGGCTGACTTTTGTTAGGGGTTCATGCAGCTGCTGACATTTGGTTGAAGCCAGTGCTCATTTACCATTCCAAAAATCCTAGGACCCTTAAGAATTATGCTAAATCAGCCAGGTGCGGTGGCTCATGCCTGTAATCCCAGCACTTTCAGAGGCTGAGTTGGGCAGACTGCTTGAGCCCAGCAGTTCAAGACCAGCCTGGGCAACATGGCGAAACCCGTCTCTACAAAAATTACAAAAATTAGCCACGCATGGTGGTGCATGCCTGTGAAACTCCCAGCTACTCAGGAGAATGAGGTGGGAGGATCACCAGAGCCCGGGAGGTGGAGGGTACAGTCTGTGCCACTGAACCCCAGCCTGGGCCACAGAGCAAGACCCTGTGAAAAAAAACAAAAGAAAAGAATGATGCTAAATCTACTCTGCCCATGCTCTAGAAATGGAAGAACAAATCCTGGATGATAGTGTGTCTGTTTGTGGCATGGTTTACTGAATATTTTAAGCTCTCTGTTGAGACCTGCTGCTCAGAAAAAAAAAAAGATTTTTTTCAAAATATTGCAGCACAGTTCAATGACACTGAATACATCCACATTGTTGCGCAACCATCACCATGTGACTTTTTTTTTTTTTTTTTGAGATGGAGTCTCGCTCTGTTGCCCAGGCTGGAGTGCAGTGGCGCGATCTTGGCTCACTGCAACCTCCGCCTCCTGGGTTCAAGCAATTCTCTTGCTCAGCCTCCTGAGTAGCTGGGATTACAGGTGCATGCCACCATGCCTGGCTAATTTTTGTATTTTTAGTAGAGATGGCGTTTCACCATGCTGGCCAGGCTGGTCTCAAACTCCTGACCTCAAGTGATCCACCTGCCTTGGCCTCCCAGAGTGCTGGGATTACAGGTGTGAGCCACTGCGTGTGGCATGGCCCTATTTTTAAAAATTTTTAGAGACAAGATCTCTCTATGTTGCCCAGGCTGGTCTTGAACTCCTGGGCTCAAGCAATCCTGTCTCAGCCTCCCAAACTGCTGGGATTACAGGCATGAGCCACAGTGCCTGACCAGGTAAACCTATTTTTAATATTTTGACGCTGGGCACGGTGGCTCACGCCTGTAATCCTAGCACTTTGGGAGGCTGAGGTAGGTGGATCACCTGAGGTCAGCAGTTCGAAACCAGCCTGGCCAACATGGTGAAACCCCATCTCTCCTAAAAATACCAAAATTATCCAGGCATGTAGCCTGTAGTCCCAGCTACTTGGGAGGCTGAGGCAGGAGAATCGCTTGAACTTGGGAGGCAGAGGCTGCAGTGAGCCGAGCTCGTGCCATTGCACTCCAGCCTGGGTGGCAGAGGGAGACTCTGTCTCAAAATAAATAAATAATAATAATATTTTGCTTTTTCGCAACGGGTTTGCCGCCAGAACACAGGTGTCGTGAAAACTACCCCTAAAAGCCAAAATGGGAAAGGAAAAGACTCATATCAACATTGTCGTCATTGGACACGTAGATTCGGGCAAGTCCACCACTACTGGCCATCTGATCTATAAATGCGGTGGCATCGACAAAAGAACCATTGAAAAATTTGAGAAGGAGGCTGCTGAGATGGGAAAGGGCTCCTTCAAGTATGCCTGGGTCTTGGATAAACTGAAAGCTGAGCGTGAACGTGGTATCACCATTGATATCTCCTTGTGGAAATTTGAGACCAGCAAGTACTATGTGACTATCATTGATGCCCCAGGACACAGAGACTTCATCAAAAACATGATTACAGGGACATCTCAGGCTGACTGTGCTGTCCTGATTGTTGCTGCTGGTGTTGGTGAATTTGAAGCTGGTATCTCCAAGAATGGGCAGACCCGAGAGCATGCCCTTCTGGCTTACACACTGGGTGTGAAACAACTAATTGTCGGTGTTAACAAAATGGATTCCACTGAGCCACCCTACAGCCAGAAGAGATATGAGGAAATTGTTAAGGAAGTCAGCACTTACATTAAGAAAATTGGCTACAACCCCGACACAGTAGCATTTGTGCCAATTTCTGGTTGGAATGGTGACAACATGCTGGAGCCAAGTGCTAACATGCCTTGGTTCAAGGGATGGAAAGTCACCCGTAAGGATGGCAATGCCAGTGGAACCACGCTGCTTGAGGCTCTGGACTGCATCCTACCACCAACTCGCCCAACTGACAAGCCCTTGCGCCTGCCTCTCCAGGATGTCTACAAAATTGGTGGTATTGGTACTGTTCCTGTTGGCCGAGTGGAGACTGGTGTTCTCAAACCCGGTATGGTGGTCACCTTTGCTCCAGTCAACGTTACAACGGAAGTAAAATCTGTCGAAATGCACCATGAAGCTTTGAGTGAAGCTCTTCCTGGGGACAATGTGGGCTTCAAGGTCAAGAATGTGTCTGTCAAGGATGTTCGTCGTGGCAACGTTGCTGGTGACAGCAAAAATGACCCACCAATGGAAGCAGCTGGCTTCACTGCTCAGGTGATTATCCTGAACCATCCAGGCCAAATAAGCGCCGGCTATGCCCCTGTATTGGATTGCCACATGGCTCACATTGCATGCAAGTTTGCTGAGCTGAAGGAAAAGATTGATCGCCGTTCTGGTAAAAAGCTGGAAGATGGCCCTAAATTCTTGAAGTCTGGTGATGCTGCCATTGTTGATATGGTTCCTGGCAAGCCCATGTGTGTTGAGAGCTTCTCAGACTATCCACCTTTGGGTCGCTTTGCTGTTCGTGATATGAGACAGACAGTTGCGGTGGGTGTCATCAAAGCAGTGGACAAGAAGGCTGCTGGAGCTGGCAAGGTCACCAAGTCTGCCCAGAAAGCTCAGAAGGCTAAATGAATATTATCCCTAATACCTGCCACCCCACTCTTAATCAGTGGTGGAAGAACGGTCTCAGAACTGTTTGTTTCAATTGGCCATTTAAGTTTAGTAGTAAAAGACTGGTTAATGATAACAATGCATCGTAAAACCTTCAGAAGGAAAGGAGAATGTTTTGTGGACCACTTTGGTTTTCTTTTTTGCGTGTGGCAGTTTTAAGTTATTAGTTTTTAAAATCAGTACTTTTTAATGGAAACAACTTGACCAAAAATTTGTCACAGAAGTTTGAGACCCATTAAAAAAGTTAAATGAGAAAAAAAAATAATAATAATAATAATAATAATAATATTTTGAGAAACTGCCATACTGTTTCCACAGTGGCTGCACCATTTACATTCCTCTTTTTATGTTTTACACATCTGCTGTTTGGTGAAATTTTCTACAGAGTAGCTTTTAACTCTGAGCGCTGTACTTCCTTTGACCCTGGACTTCACGCCCAAACATCAGTAAACTGTCACAGAAGGTAGTAATAATGTGTATTCCTGGAAGCCATTTCTACATGGGATGATCAGTGATAACTATTAAATTAAATGACTGCAAGCCACACATGCAGTCCATTCAATCCAAACTAAATGCATTCCCAATTCAACTTCCCCTCAGTCAAATTCCCCAAATGCCTGTGACTGCTTCAGTGTCTCCCAACACCAGGGGACATGTGATAGAGGGCAGGTCCCATAGAAAGAGACAGCAGGCTGGCTGTGGTGGCTTACGCCTGTAACCCCAGAACTTTGGGAGACGGAGGCAGGCGGATCATCTGAGGTCAGGAGTTCGAGATGAGCCTGGCCAACATGGTGAAACCCCGTCTCTACTAAAAATACAAAAATTATCCGGGTGTGTGTGGTGGTATGCCTGTAGTTCCAGCTACTAGGGAGGCTGAGTCAGGAGAATCACTTGAACTCAGGAGGTGGAGTTTGCAGTGAGCTGAGATGGCGCCACTGCACTCCAGCCTGGGCAACAGAGCAAGACTCTGTCTCACAAAAAAAAAAAAAAAAAAAAAAAAAAAGAAAGAAAAGAAAAGAAAAGAAAGAGATAGCAGTTTAAATTGCAGTTAAAATCTTGTGTTTTCAGTTTTTATAAAAACATGCCTACGTGAATACAATGATAAGGGACCTACCAGGGCCTTCAAAAAGTACATGCACTTGAGGGAATCTGATGCTTAAATTGTATTAGCTTTATTATAAATTTCCCTTTGCCTGGTACATTTTAAAAAATATTTATTTTAGGAATATAACTCTTTATGAACAGACTTTGAAAATCAGTACTATATGTATGTAACTTAATTTTGCTTCAGAATGACGAATTGGTTAAAAGGGAGAATATCCTTTGGAACAGGTTGCCCCACTTGGAAATAAAAAGAAAATTGTGAAATATCTGCATAAACCCCATCCCCAGGTCCCCATCATTTGCCACCCAGTGTTGGAACCGTGTGGGAGTATTCTTGGACCTGGATGTGGGTGTGTGTATGGTCGGACGTGATCGGGAGCAGGCTGGTCCCCCCTGGCCCAGCACATGGCTTCCATGAGGCTCTAAGCTCCCCAAGCTGGGTTCACCTTCCGTCGCTACTTCGCCCTTTCTTCCAGGTTGTCCTGGGCACTGATGGTCACCAGGTGGCGATGTTGCCCAGGAGGACGCTCTGTTGCCATCTCATGGCCAAAATTCAACACTACACTCTTCCTCCTGCTCAGGGTGCAGGAATCCGTTCCAGACCAGGGAATACTAAATAAATACCCACTGTGTGCTTCACAGACTGACCTAGCATCCCAGGAAGGAATATTCAGATTCTGGGACCCGAAGAAAACTTTTTTTTTGAGGTGGAGTCTCGCTCTGTTGCCCAGGCTGGAGTGCAGTGGCACAATCTCAGTTCACTGCAGCCTCCGCCTCCCGAGTTCAAGCGATTCTGCTGCCTCAGCCTCCCGAGTAGCTGGTACTACAGGCGCCCGCCAACACGCCCGGCTAATTTTTTTTTTTTTTTTTTTTTTTTTTTAGTAGAGATGGGGTTTCACTATGCTGGCCAGGCTGGTCTTGAACTCCTGGCCTCCAGTGATCCGCCTTCCTCAGCCTCCCAAAGTGCTGGGATTACAGGCGTAAGCCATTACGCTCCGGTGCAAAGAAAACATTTTTGAAAGCCCTCCTTGTCTTCAGTTAGTAGAGGATCAATATCCCCCCACCCAAGCCCCATCACAGAAGGGCCTCCCCAGACAGTATTAAGTATTCAAGGCCCCAGACAGAAGTCAGGTGTGGGGGTTGTGGGGTTGCCAGAGTGTCAGGCCCCCCACCGCACGAGATTTGGCCCTGTCAATCAGCCAGTAGCCCCTTTTTTGCCTTGGGACACCTCAGCAGACAGGACAGCTGTGTGATGTTCCCCACGTCTACAATCAGGAAGCAGGGGCGGGGCTTCAGCTGGATGCTGGGGCAACTGAGGGCGGGGACTGGCAAGTCCTTAGTGCTTGAGCTGGGACCATAGGTGGCAGGGCACGGTGGCACCGGCCACCCCCTAACTTCCACACCGCTTGCCCCTGCTGCCCAGGGAGGATGTGAGCCTGTGTGGACCTAGTTGAGAACTCACTCTGTGACTTCCGGGATCTGGATGCAGCGGCTGGGGTTGGCAGGGCCCACTGCAGGGAAACGGTTAAAATGCGCTGGGCTTCGTTTTTCCCGGAAGCCCTCATTACCTGGTATTACCTTAGGTGTGGATTCCTTTATTCGCCTGCTGTCTGTCTCTGCCAATCAAATGTGAGCTCCGTGAGGGCGGAGGGGGGCGGTCCTCTCGGCTTCATCATCCGAGCCCAGCACAGGATCGGGCACATCGCGGGGAGCATTTGGTAAATGGATGTCTGAATGGCTGCTGTGAAGTGACCGGTCTTAGTTCAGGCTACTAGAACAAAAATGTCATAGACTCGGGGGCTTAAACAACAGAAATTTGTTTCTCACAGTTCTGGAGGCTGGGAAGTCCCAGGTCAAGGTGCGGGCAGATACAGGGTCTGGCGAAGGTCCTCTTCCTGGCTGGCAGGCGACCGCCTTCTTGCTGTGACCTCACACAGCAGAGTGGAGTGAGCACGCACTCTTGTCTCCTCTATGAGGGCACTAATCCCGCCACGAGGGCTCCACACTCGTGACCTCATCACCTCCCAAGGCAGCAACTCCTAATACCAGCTCAGGGAGTTAGAGTTTTAACATATAGTCTGGAGAGTGGGTGGGGACAACACTTGCTGCAATTCAGCCACCCAGGCTGCGCTGCGACATTTACACCATGTGCCCCCAGTGACGGTCAGTAACTCAAAGAGGACCCCCAGCCTGGAAATGGGTGGTCTCTGGCCCCATAGGAGGGGTAAAGAATGAAGCGGGGAGGCCTGATTTATAGTGAGTGAGCTCCAGTAACTTAAGAGAAGAAAACCTGACCTGCTTATGCCAGAAAATGTTATGACTCGGCCCTGCGCAGTGGCTCACGCCTGTAATGCCAGCATTTTGGGAGGCTGAGGCAGGTGGATCATGGGGTCAGGAGTTCGAGACCAGTCTGGCCAACATGGTGAAACCCCGTGTCTAATAAAAATACAAAAATTAGCCAGGTGAGGTGGCATCGTCCTGCAGTCCCAACTACTTGGGAGGCTGAGGCAGGATAATTGCTTGAACCTGGGAGGTGGAGGTTGCAGTGAGCCGAGATCATGCCACTGTCCTCCAGCCTAGGCAACAGAGCAAGACTCCGTCTCAAAAAGAAAAAGAAAAAAAAAAGAAAATGTTATGACCCAAAAATAAATTCTGGAAATGCTCTGGAAATTCAAGGACTCCCTGATCTGTATTCATCTCCTAAGGTGACTGTGAGAAATCGCCACACACTGGGTGACTGAAAACACAACACAAATGTGATTTTCAGAGTTCTGGAGGCCAGCAGTCCGGTAGCAAGGTGACAGTAAGATCCAATTCCGCCCCCCCCCCCGACTCACGTCACAGGAAATTAAACATTTAAGCTGAAAAAATGTTCAAACCAAGCAGGGCAGTGCCCATGCACAGAAGTGAGGCCCAACGGGCGAAGCGGACTCATCCTCCCTCCTCATGCCAACAGCAGCTCAAAGCTTCTCAATGGCAAAACTTCTACCAGGTCCTGTCTAAGGCCAAGATTCCTCCTAAAACCCAAACCATCCCCGAGGGGGCCAGCTCCTCGGTCCCTTCAGCAGGAGGGTCCCTGAGTCTGGAAAGAGGAGCTCAGCTCCAAGGGGTGGTGGTGGAAGATGCACCCTTCTGTGTCTTGTGCCAGGGGTCCCCACCTGTGGGCAGCAAGCCACCCAGGTGCCAAGGCAAGAGACCGAGGGCACAAGCTGTTCCAGTATAATAAAATATATAAAATAACAAGAGTTATACTACATATAGATCATAGATATATGTAAGTACCACTAATCATCAGTTTGTAGTAATTACTCTTTATTCAACTATTATAATAATCCTCGCTCTACAATCATAACCTAGGAAAAGCCAGGCCATACAGAGATAGGAGCTGAAGGGACATGGTGAGAAGTGACCAGAAGACAAGAGCATGAGCCCTCTGTCACACCCAGACAGGGCCACCAGAGGGCTCCTTGGTCTAGCGGTAATGCCAGCGTCTGGGAAGACGCCCGTAGCCAAGCGGACCGTGTTCTAGCAGTAGCATCAGTGCCAAGGAAAAGCACCGGCTACTTAGCAGACCGGGAAAGGGAGTCTCCCTTTCCCTGGGGGAGTTTAGAGAAGACTCTACTCCACCACCTCTTGTTGAGGGCCTGACCCGCCCACAGTTATCCGGAGGCCTAACCGTCTCCCTGTGATGCTGTGCTTCAGCGGTCATGCTCCTGGTCCGCTTTCATGTTCCATCCTGTACACCTGGCTCTGCCTTCTAGATAGCAGTAGCAAAATTAGTGAAAGCACTAAAAGTCTCTGATATGCAGAAATAATGGTGTAAGCTGTCTCCTCCCTCTCTTTCTCTCCACCTTGGCTGCCAAATAGGGAAGGGCCCCCTGTCCAGTGGACACGTGACCCACGTTACCTTACCTATCATTGGAGGTGGCTCACACTCCTTACCCTGCCCGCTTGTCTTGTATCCAATAAATAACAGCACAGGCTGGCATTCGGGGCCACTACCAGTCTCCACGTCTCAGTGGTAGTGGTCCCCCAGGCCCAGCTGTCTTTTCTTTTATCTCTCTGTCTTGTGTCTTTATTTCTACGATCTCTCGTCTCCGCACAAGGGGAGAAAAACCCACAGACCCTGTAGGGCTGGTCCCTACATCCACCCTTTCCCTGAGCAACAAACGCTGGTTGCAGCACCCAAGCGTCCTTCAGGAGCTCCGAATCTCTCCCGTGTGGAAGTGGCACATAGAGGCTGCCCCCCACCCCCAGTGTGCCCAATCCGCCCATAGGAGGTGGCTAGAGCTGTAGTGCCCTTCTGTCCAGTGGGATGAAATCTGCCACCCCACAGCAGGGCAAGATGCGAGAAGCATGCTGCGTTAGTCTGTTTTCTGCTGTTATAACAGAATATCCCAGACTGGGTAATTCCTACAGGAAAAACATTTGTTTCTTGTAGTTCTGGAAGCTGAGAAGTTCAAGGACACGGTGGCAGCATCTGCTAAGGGTCTTTGCATTCTTGCTGTGCCATAACATGGTGGAGGGCACATATGCAAGAGGGCAGGAGAGAGAGAGCCGGAGAGAGCTTGCCTCTATAACAAAGAGATAAGCAACTCACTCCCACAACAGCGACATTAATCCATGCATGAGGGCAGAGCCAACATTAATTTATTCATGAGGGCAGACAAATTAAGTTTCCAACACATGAAATTTGGGGGACATTTTCAAACCATAGCATATGCCCTGAATCCAGGCAGAGAAAGTGTCCCCTCAGTGCACAAATATTGTCACAGCTGCCTGCTCTGAATGCTGCAAGGTTTTGGAGAACGTTAAAGCTACTTCTTTTTTTTTTTTTTTTTTTTTTTTTGAGATGGAGTCTCACTCTGTCACTCAGGCTGGAGTGCAGTGGCATGATCTCTGCACACTGCAACCTCTGCCTCCTGGGATCAAGCGAGACTCCTGCCTCAGCCTCCCGAGTAGCTGAGATTACAGGCATGTGCTACCACATGTGGCTAATTTTTGTATTTTTAGTAGAGATGGGGTTTCACTATGTTGGCCAGGCTGGTCTCGAACTCCTGACCTCAAGTGATCCACCCGCCTTAGCCTCCCAAAGTGCTGGGATTACAGGCATGAGCCACCGCTCCCAGCCAAAGCTACTTTTTAACTGGGTTCCTGATCTTTCTTGGCCTGTCTCTGCTCCCAGCCTTGCCTTACTGCTCCTGCCTCTGACCTCCCGCTTTGGATCTCAGGCAGGACCAAGTCTAATCTCAAAAAGCTTGGTCTGATGCCCTGGGGTTGGTCCCTTGTCTTCCCCTCACACTCAGCCCCTCCTCACTTCCTGTGCACTAAGGGACACTCCTTGTCTGACAAGCCTTGATTTAGTGTCCCTATGACCATGCCCTGACCCGGGGCTCGATTGAAGGCTCAAATAAGACAAGTGGCCTCATTCAGTTGTTCAATAAATACTTCCTGAGCACCTGCTCGGTGCTCAGCCCCATGCAAAGCAGTGGTGACAGTGGGAAGACAGTGGTGAATAAGACAGACATGGTCCCTGTCTTCAGAAAGTTGCCACTCAAGTGGAGAAGTAAAAAAGAAAAAAAATAATAGTGCTTCCGGCTCCATGATGCAGTGGGTTTGGGGCCCCGGGCAGCGAGGATGGCACCAAACTAGTGTTTTGGGGTCAGGGAGGATTTACCAGGCAAATTGAAGTCTAAGGCAACAACCTAAAGGAGAGGAGTAGTTAGCCAGGTGGTGGGCCAGGGATGCTGGGGAGTCACTGGAGGCAGGGACAGACTGCGATCTCATTCTGGAAAGATCACTCTTGCTTCAGTAAGGAGGAAAAATACAGCAGACAAACTAGAGGGTCACTGGATTGCATGGTGGGCTCACTAAGGTTCCAGGTGGTTTGGAATCAGCTTTCCAAATTCAGAAACTCAATCTCAATACCCGGAGGTGGGAGTGCCATATTTAGCAAATTAAAAAATCACCTAGCTAAATATGAATCTCAGATAACACATATTTAGTATAAATATGCCCCAAATATTGCATGAATTCAAATTTAACTGTGTTCAATATTTTATTGGCCAACTCTACCAACAGTGACCAAGTCTTCATGACTGTCTTATGTGCACCAAACTCACAGGGATCTGATGTAAATACACCAATTTATTGATTTACAATTGCAGGCAAGGTTAAAATATACATGTTATTCAGTTTCTCCTTTCTGGAAAATGAAACAGTCAGAAGACTGGTGAACATGGAATGAGGACAAAAGGACACAAGGAAGTTTGAAAGGAAATTTCATCTCAAGGCATGGTAAATTCTGGAGAATCATCCTGGCCTCCCTACAGAGAATCCTCTTTGGTGGCAGAAAGTGCAGGTCCCCCCTGGAGAGGGCAGGTCAGGGACCACCGGGTCCTCGTGTGCAGCTCCCTGTGGAAACACGTGGTTCTTCTAGCTCAACCATCATCTGCTGGTGGTTGATTTCCCACTGTACTCTCAGGAGGTGTTCTTTCAAAGCTTTGGGGCTCCTGACCCAGCCTTCCAATTACAATACAATATATTTCACATTGAGGTTACACTTTAGAATGTATTCAGTGGGCTGAATTCATGTAGCTATTTATTCTGCCTTCTTAAACCCAAGGAGAGCAATCAGGTACTCTTCTGATTAAGAAATCACAGGCTGGGCACGGTGGCTCACGCCTGTAATCTCAGCATTTTGGGAGGCCGAGGTGGGCAGATCATGATGTCAGGAGATCGAGACCATCCTGGCCAACATGGTGAAACCCCATCTCTACTAAAAATACAAAAATTAGCTGGGCGTGGTGGCGCATGCCTATAATCCCAGCTACCCGGGAGTTTGAGGCAGGAGAATCGCTTATACCAGGGAGTCGGAG
Organism: Homo sapiens; assembly: GCF_000001405.40. Classification (NCBI taxonomy): domain Eukaryota; kingdom Metazoa; phylum Chordata; class Mammalia; order Primates; family Hominidae; genus Homo; species Homo sapiens. The sequence goes on from NC_000009.12 coordinate 133,028,896, forward strand.
GTTGCAGTGAGCCGAGATTGTGCTACTGCATTCCAGCCTGGTGACAGAGTGAGGCTCTGTCTCAAAACAAACAAACAACAAAAAGAAATGACTTTAGGCAACATAGTGAGACCCCGTCGCCACACACACACAAATACAAAATTAGTCGGGTATGGTGGTGCACGCCTGTAGTCCCAACTACTCAGGAGGCTGAGGCAGGAGGATCACTTGAGCCCAGGAGTTCGGGGCTGCAGTGAGCCATGATCACACCACTACACTCCAGCCTGGGTGACAGAGGGAGATCGTGTCTTTCAAAAAAAAAAATCACTTCAGAAACGGGGTACCCATACCCAAGGGGTCACTTGCTCTTACTAATTTCTAGCTGTAATGCAAGTGGCATGATCATAGCTCACTGCAGCCTCCAACTCCAGGGCTCAAAGGATCCTCCTGCCTCAGCCTTTTGAGTAGTTGGGACTACTGTGGCATGCACCACCATGGCCGGCTAATTTTGTATTTTTTGGTAGAAATGGGGTCTTCCCCTGTTGCCCAGGCTGGCCTCCAACTGCTGGGCTCAACTGATCCTCCCGCCTCAGCCTCCCAAAGTGCTGGGATTACAGGCGTGAGCCACTGTGCTGGGCCATGATTCTCATCTCCCAATATTCTCAAACCCAGTCCCTTCATCTCTTGACTGGATTATGCAGTCTCGGAGCTGGTTTATCTGAACTCACTTTCTCCCCCTTTGATCTGTTCTCCACACAACAGCCAGAGAGGTCTTTCAAATGCATGAATGGGATCACTGCTCCGCATAAAACCCTTCAAGGGGCCAGGCGCGGTGGCTCACGCCTGTAATCCCAGGACTTGGGGAGGCCGAAGCAGGCGGATCATTTGAGGTCAAGAGTTCAAGACCAGCCTGGCCAACATGGTGAAACCTCGTCTCTACTAAAAATACAAAAATTAACCGGGCATGGTGGCAGGCGCCTGTAATCCCAGCTATTCGGGAGGCTGAGGCACGAGAATAGCTTGAACCCGAGGCGGAGGTTGCAGTGAGCCGAGAAAGCGCCACTGCATTCTAGCCTGGGCGACACAGCGAGATTCCTTCTCAAAAAAAGAAACCTTCAGGGGCTCTCCACGGCACTGGGAAGCAGCCAGCCCGACGGGTGGACCCTTTTCGTGGGTGCGGGTCTCTGACCTCGGTCGGCCTCGGACCTCATCTCCTCCCTGTTTGAGGGGCCACACTCCTCGCTCCGGGGCTTTGCAGCAGCCCTGGGCGCCTACCGGACAGACGCCGTTCTCCCCGCCTGGGTCTTGAGTAGGGCCCAGCACACAGTAGGCGCTTAATGTCTGCCTGCCTAACAGACGAACGCCGGATGCCCGCGTTCGGCCCCGAGCCGGCGCTTCGGGGCTTTCTGTGGAGGCGGGGCGATGGTTACAGCACAGTTCCCCCGCGCTCGCCTTTTCCACATCCACCTCCGCGAGGCCCCCCGCAAGCGCCGTTGGAAACCTAGTCCCGAGGGGGCTGCAAGAGCTTGGGAGAAGAAGCGCCAACACCGACAGAATACCAGGCCGACCCAATGCGGAAATCAATTCTCAGCCGGGACCTTTTCCCCACCAAGCAGGCGGGCCGGAAGTCTGCCTCTGGCCCGCCCCCGAGGTGTCATTGGGTGGAATACCCAGAAGAGGGCTGGGACGTGGTTAACTCTAGTTCTTTATTGGTTAAAACGTACGAAGCTGGAGGAGAAGGTGGGACCTAGCTTCCTCCGGACTTCTCATTGGCTCAAAAAAAAACTCGCTCGGCCCTCGGATTCTCATTGGCTGAAGTCGAGGGAGGTTTGTGTCTTATTATCCTCCGGGTCCCTCGCTGGCTAGTAGGAGAGACTGGTGCTTGCCCCGCCCGGTGGACTAACTCGCTTAATTTTAAATAAAAAGTCGAGGACACGGCGGTCGTTTTCCCGAAGACATGGGCCCTCCCATGGGCCATTTGCTCCCTGGAGGCCCTCGCGTCTTGCTGAGCCCGGGGAGTTAGGATGACGCGAGCGGTGAGGGAGCCCGGAACGATTCCTTCGCGGAACAATTGAGGCGAGGCCTTTGGGAGTACTTTGTGGGACGGACCCTGGCGGGCCCTGCCAGACGCACAGGGATGGCGGCGGAGGCGGCCGATTTGGGGCTGGGGGCCGCCGTCCCCGTGGAGCTGAGGCGGGAGCGACGCATGGTGTGCGTGGAGTACCCGGGAGTGGTGCGTGATGTGGCTAAGATGCTGCCGACTCTGGGCGGCGAGGAAGGCGTCTCCCGGGTAAGGGGCTGGGAATCTCGGTGTTGGAATAAGAGCTCGGAGTCGCAAAGAAAACGAGCACTCAAAGGATTTCTCAGCAAGGGAAATTTAGCAAATTTACTTACGCAGAAGGGTGCTGCTCGCTCTTCTGGCCGCTGCAAGAGAGCCAACAGAACAAAGAAGGGAAGGATTTTTGTTTTTGTTTTTGTTTTTTTGTTGGTTTTTCAGGCGGAGTTTCGCTCTTGTTTCCCAGGCTGGTGTGCGGTGGTGCGATTTTGGCTCACTGCAACCTCCGCCTCCAGGGTTCAAGCGATTCTCCTGCCTCAGCCTCCAGAGTAGCTGGGATTACAGGCGCATGCCACCACGCCCGGCTAAATTTGTATTTTTTAGTAGAGAGGGGGTTTCACCATGTTGGTCAGGCTTGTTGGAAATAAATTTTGGGTGCCGCAAAGAAGAATCAGCACTCTGGCAAACAGTTTTCTCAGCAAGGCAAATTTCCTTCTATAGAAGGGTGCATCTTGCGGATGGAGCAATGGCGAGAGCACACCGACAAGGAAGGGGAAGGGGTTCCTATCTCTTACACAGCTAGTCTCTACTGCTGTGTCTTTCCCATATTGGCTAGGGTTGGACCGCACAGTCTAAGCTAATTCCGATTGGTTATTTCAAAGAGGGCAGGGGCACAGGCCTGAGTGGCGGGGTGAGTAGTTTTGGTGGGAAGGATGGTTACAGAGCAGGTGACTCAGGATGACTAAGGACAGAGCAGGTGATAGAAGCTAGGAAGGGGTTGTTTACTGAAACTAGGGGCAAGGAGGCGTAAAGAACGAGGGGTTAAACTTTAAAATGGAGAACAAAGAACAGGGAAGCTGAACATACTGACATATTGGTTCTTTGAAATGGAACTCATAACTCATTGTATTTATTAATTTTCCCCCTCTTGAATTTAAAGGAAGGTAAAAGGCTAAAATCTTTGAAGTGGAATTTACTGTGTCCTATAGGCTGGTCTTGAACTCCTGAGCTCAGGTGATCCACCCGTCTTGGCCTCCCAAAGTGCTGGGATTATAGGCGTGAGCCACCGTGCCCAGCCTGGAATGGGTTTTTATCCCTAAGGCAGTCAGTCCCTGTTTTTGTGTCCTGTCCCTGCTGGTTGGAGTTGGACCACACAATCTAAGCTAATCTCAATTGGCTATTTTAAATAGAACAGGGGTGTGGGTTACAGTGACGGGACGAGCGATTTCGGTGGGAAGACTAGTTTCGGCGGGAAGGGCAGTTAAACAGAGCGGGTAACTAAGGGCAAGGAGGCACAAAGAACAAGGAAGTTAGACTTTGAAGATGGAGAACAAAGAACAAGGGAGTTGAACAAGCTGAACCTTTGAAGAAGAATTCACTGTATAGAACAGTTTCCCCCTCTTGATTTTCATACTTCTTTCTCTTCAAACCTTTTTAGCATGTCTCGACTTTGCTGTTCTTGGTTTTCTAAAAGTAGAAGTTTGTCTGAATAAGGCGGGGGGAAATTGGAGGTTAGTGAGAGCTGTCTCCGTAAGTCTTTGTATTAACCCTCAGGCACAGGGTATGATACAACATCCTACGAGAATAAACACGTTTATTACAATGGCAAGGGACATAAGGATCGAGGACATAAGTCCTTTCCACCTGCCGAACAATCTTCCCGTTAGATCAGTGAAGAGATCGTTTATCCCAGAATTTTAAGCTAGCTCATTGGATAAAGCAGTAAGACCTTGCAGTGCCTTTGTTATGGTTCCGTCAGGAACAGTATTATTTGGGATAAAAGTACAACATTGGGTTCCAAGCATGACACAAACGCCACCCCTCTCTGCTAGTATCATTTCTAATGCTATTCTATTTTCCCAAGCCATTTGACTGGTGGGTCCTAGTTGTTCAGCTGTTCCTTTGATAGCATTCCTAGTATAATTAACAAATTGTTGCTGGTTGTAATAGATGTAACTTATCCAATCTACATTTTTATTTATAGTTAACCACCAGAAAAACATAGACTCAAATCCCGCAGCTATTTGATTACAAGCCTTAAATTCATCAGGTACCCCTCGGGGAACTCCAGTGGCATCTGTATAAACACGAGGGTCAAAGGAACCACGGGGGGCATCTCTTACTCTACGGTGTCTTGTTTTTACTTCTTCTGGTTGATGAAATGCCAGAGTGAAAGGGATGGCCAATTGGATCAGAGCACAGGTACCGCTCCAGTTACTTGGCAGAGTATCCAGTTACGGTCCACCACAATGCCACCATACATCTGCTCAGGATAAATGACTAGGGGCAGATTCATGGGTAAGCTCTTGGAAGGGCTTAAGCTCACTGCATCCTGTTAGGTCCCCAAGGAATGCCAAATTTTCCCTGTCACAAGAGACACAAAGTAAAATTGGCACTGGGAGACAGAAGCTGGATAGCCCTCAGGGGCTGACCCGCAGGGTGTTGAACCTCAGGGAACAGCAGAGAGAGAGCTCGGCACGATTTATCACCCCAGGCTGTGGGGTCCTGGAAAAGAGCTACCGTACAGCCCATGCCCACTCGTCTGGAGGACCATCCAAGTGGAAAGGGGACAGTCTGGGCTTCTGGTCTACTGTGTGCACAAGTGTAACAATCACTTTTGTTTAAAGTGCGGACAGAATATTTAATCCATTCCATCCAGGCGTTTGCATCTCAGTACCCTGTTTCAATTGCTAGAGTTTGCTTTAGGTCTCTTACTTCTACAGCTGCTACTTTGGCTGGGTCGTTGTGGAGACCGGAGGGGAACACTGGGCCTGATATGTTTGGGGAGAGCGTTGGGTCCCATACGTTCCCTGGACTCTGGGTCTGGGTTTCTTCATTGTTTTTAACCGCCGATGGTCCAGTCAACCTTAGAGAGGGTTCCTATGGGATCCCGTCCTGTAACATCTGCTCCTAACCCGTACCGTCCGAATACAGAGGGTTCTTGGGCCATTGTTTGGGGATTATCTATAATTAGCAATAAGGGGTTACACCGCAGTGGCTTACAATTTGGTGGAGTGGAGCGATGGATAAGTTAGAGTTTTTGTTTGAGTTTCCGCAACTTATTTAAAGGAGGGGGGTTGGCTGTCCGCCTCCCATATTGACTGGTCCACCAAACATTTGCCCAGTCACCACAGGGGCCCTTTAAGGCTCCATACTTATACTTGTTTGACTGTCTGCGATATGGACATGGATACTTAACTACATCGGATAGCTGCCTTTGAGCTTGTTCGTATCTGCACGGGGTAAGAACAAGTGTCGAACTGAAGGGTCAAGGGATGGTTAGCCTGAGTCACATTGATGACAAGATGACCTTATGTTGGAAAGAAAAGGAAAAATAGACAAGTGATTATTAAGCCCTTTTTAGGGTTAGTTTGGTAGGGGTGGGTCCCGGGGTGACAGCCCATTTTTCCCTGTCTGTGGACATTACTCCTTTCACCTGGCGTGTAGTGTGCCCATCCCTTTTCAGCCGTTCGAATCGCTGTTTCAGTAGTTAAGAGTACCAGATAAGGCCCTTCCCAAGCTGGTTCAAGTTTTCCCTCCTTCCAGCTTTTGATGAGAACGTGATCCCCAGGCTGATGCTGGTGTGCTGGAAACTCTAGAGCTGGCGTCTGTGCTCAGAGGCCTTCAGTCCTGAGGGAAGAAAAAGTGGAGGAGAGACCAAGTTTATAGTTTTTAAGAAACTGATCTTTGTTTCAAACGTAGCAATGTCAGCAATGGAGTGTAGATAAGGCAACCCATATAGCATTTCATAAGGGGATAAGCCAACATCTTTCCAAGGGGCAGTTCGGATTTTTCACAAGGCAATGGGAAGGCATTTAGTCCATGGCAACCGAGTCTCTAAGACTAATTTGGTTAAGTGACTCTTCAGAGTTTGGTTCATTCTCTCCACTCTTCCTGATGAAGGTGGGTGCCAGGGAGTGTGGTATTCCCCTGCTATGTCTAGTACTTGGGCTAGTTTCTTGACGGCATGTGCAGTGAAATGAGTCCCATTATCTGAATCAATATTTTGTATTAATCTGTTAAACCTGGGTATAATATTCTCAATCAATGCTTTAATTACATTATTAGCAGTTGCACTTGAAAAGGGAATAGGTTCCCTCCAGTGCGTAAGGTGATCTACTATCACTAATAAGTACTTTAGGCAACCGACTGGGGGCATTTCGGTGTAATCAATTTGGACACTTTGGGACGGTCTTAACCCTGGACTCCTTTCCCCCAGGGAGTGGTTTTCTTAGGGTCTGCTTATTAGTCTTTTTGCATATTAGACAACTATCTGTAACTTGTCTTTCCAGAGTATAAATTCCTATACATCCCTAAACCCTGAGAACTGCATCACACATGGCTTGGGGTCCCCAGTGAATTCCTTGATGCAGCTGAGATAAGACTTCTCTCTTGAGGGGTTTGGATAACATTTCTCTTTGGTCTGGTAACACCCATTTCCCTTCAGAATTCTCTTTGGCCCCTATTTTTATTAATTTCCCTTTTTCAGTGGAAGAGAAGATGGGAACTGCGGTCGGGGGAGGAAGACAAGGGGTTAGGTGAAAAGTGAGCGTTTTGAGGAAATGGCAGCTTGTTTGGCTATTTGATCTGCAAGGTTATTACCTCGACTTTCACAAGAAAGACCTTTCTGGTGTCCTGGGACATGGACAGTAGCTATTTCTTCTGGCAGCTGGAGGTTACCTAACACTTGGGTGATTAATTCCTTGTGGGCAAGGTCTTGGCCTTTGCTATTAATGAGACCTCGTTCGGTCCAAATTTTTCCAAAGGTATGAGCTAGCCCGAAGGCGTACTTGGAATCAGAATAAATAGTTCCTTCTTGGTTTTGCAAGTGCTTTAAGGCTTGATTCATTGCAAACAATTCACATGTTTGGGCAGACCAATGACTGGGCAGCCTTCCTGACCCTCCTTCTGCAAGGGCTTCCCCATAGACTACTGAATATCCATTATGTCTTTTTCCTTCAGTTACCTGGGAAGAGCCATCTATAAATAAGTGCTGCCCTGTTTGAAAGGGGTCTCCCTTACATCGGGCCTGAATCTAAACACTCATGCTCAGGTCCTTTTAGATTTGGATTCCCTGTTAGGAGACCTGCTGGGTTAAGTGAATTATCAGTGGTTAGTGTTAAATCATCTCTCTAATAGGATAGCTTCATACTTTAAAATTTTTGAGTCAGTGAGCCATCTCCCTGCTTTCTGGTTTAAGATAGTTCTAACTTGATGAGGCGTGCTCACAACTAAATCTCCCCCAAAGGTCAGCTTTCTGCTTTCTTCAGTTAACAAAGCCGTAGCCGCAATGGATTGAATACATTCAAGCCATCCACAGGTTACTGGATCTAAAACTTTCGACAGGAACACCACAGGTTGCCAGTGACCCCCGTGTTCTTGAGTAAGTACCCCTAAAGCTACCCCCTTCTTTACATTAATGAAAAGATGAGATGGCTTTTCTAGGGAAGGCAGGGCTAGGACGGGGCAGTTATGAGCATATGTTTTAGTTCTTCAACCTGGTGGATTTCTTCAGAGGTCCACAGAAGAGGGTCAGGCTTTTCTTGGGCAAGCTTTAGGTATAAAGATTTTGTTTTTAGGGCATATGAGTCAATCCGTAAGCGGCAATATCCAACCAATCCTAGGAATGTTACGAGTTCCTGCTTAGTTTTAGGCAAAGTTAAGAAGGACACGATCCCTTCGACGTGTTCAGTTCCTGTCCTTCGTATCAAGTGTCCTAGGTATTTAACTTCTGGCTCTACAGATTGAAGCTTTCCCTTTGAAACCCCATAACCCTTTTCCTTGCAAATGGTTAAGGAGGTGGACGGAGAGGGCAGCTATCCGTTCTGTAGCTTCACCAGATACCAGCGGGTCATCCACGTATTGGAGCAGGCATGTGTTTTGGGGTAGAAATTTGTTCTAGAACTTGTTCTAGAATCTGACCGAAGAGGTTAGAGGAGTCTGTGAAGTCTTGGGGGAGAACTGTCCGTCGATACTGTTGCTTCCGTCCGGAATGGGGATCTTTCCATTCGCAAGCAAAAATGTCTCGGCTGTCCTCAGACAAGGGGCATGCCCAAAAAGCATCTTAAATATATTACTGTAAACCACTGATGGTCGTATGGAATTTTGCTGAGGAGGGTGTAAGGATTAGGGACAACAGGGTGAGTAGTCTGGAATATCTGGCTGATGGCCCAGAGGCCTTGCACTAGTCAGTATGACCCATCTGACTTTCTTACAGGCAGTATTGGGATAAGGGGACACACCGGGTTCAAGGAGCCCGTCCCTAATGAGACTCTCAATGATAGGTTTTAGGCCTATTCTGCCTTCTAAGGGGATGGGATATTGCTTCCTTCTTACTATTTCCCCCCGGGGTTTTTAACTTTATATGTATGGTGGGGGGGTGGGACTTGGAGTCTTCCCCAATTCCCTTCCCTTGACCAGAGATCGGGATGAATGTATTTTTCTTCATGGTGGTAAGTAGGTTTAATGAGGTGAGGAATCCTTCTGGGCTAACATGTAAACCTATACCTAACTTTAAGTCTCTTCCTAACGGGTTAGTTCCTGCTTCAGGGATTAGCAGAAATTTAACGTGGGCTGTTCGATTTTTATGTTTGAACTCTGCGTCTTCTAAGATTTTTGCTCTAAATCCTTCTCCCTTTACCCCTGAAACAAAAAGCTCTTCTGAGGAGCAGCTGACGCTAGACGGAAGGGAACAAACAGAAGAGCGAGCAGCACCCTTCTGCAGAAGTAAACTTAGCACATTTAGTTCTGCAGAAGAAAGGTGCTGTGCTGCTCGCTCTTCTGGCCACCAGAGCACACGGAACAAAGGAGGAAAGGTTCCTGTGTCTTGTCCCACTGGCTGGAGTTGGACCGCACAATCTAAGCTGATCTCGATTGGCTATTTCAAATAGAACAGGGATGTGGGTTACAGTGGCTGGATGAGCGGTTTCGCCAGGAAGAATAGTTTCGGCGGGAAGGGCAGTTACAGAGCGGGTAACTAAGGGCAAGGAGGCGCAAAGAACAAGGAAGTTAGACTTTGAAGATGGAGAACAAAGAAGAAGGGAGTTGAACAAGCTGAACCTTTGAGGAGGAACTCACTCAACCTGGATATCTAATATCCGGGACACTGAGAGAGGGACGGAGTTGCTGGACGGCGGCTGAAGGGGAGAGTCTACCCGGGCGTGTGGTTTCCTTGGCAACGGAGAGTGTGGTGGACTCTGGGTGCCCAATGGGCAGGGCTTTGGTATCTGTAATTGCCAGGAACAGCCTTTTTCTCCCCAGGGGACAGAGGGGAAGGGACTGTGGGGGAGACCCCTAGGAGCTTTTTTTTTTTTTTTTTTGAGACGGAGTCTGGCTCCGTCGCCCAGGCTGGAGTGCAGTGGCGCGATCTCGGCTCACTGTAACCTCCGCCTCCCGGGTTCAAGCAGTTCTCCTGCCTCAGCCTCCTGAGTAGCTGGGATTATAGACACCCACCACCACGCCCGGCTAATTTTTGTTTTTTTTTTTTTAGTAGAGTTGGGGTTTCACCATGTTGGCCAGGCTGGTCTCGAACTCCTGACCTCAGGTGATCCACCCAGCTCGGCCTCCCAAAGTGCTGGGATTACAGGTGTGAGCCACTGCGCCCGGCTCCTAGGGGCTTTTTTTTCATTCCATCCACAAATGTGAGCCACAGCCTGGGCACTGGTGCCAGGAATGCAACTCTGCAGCCCCACAGGGTGTGTTGCACTGCCGTATCCTCATTACCCGGGGTAGAAAACTGAGGCACGGGGAGATGAAGCTCTGTTGACTTACCTGAGAGGGATAGACTGTTATGTTGTTAGGATTAGAGGTAGTGATGGTTGACATCTTATTCTCTGCCACGTACGGCTCTAGGTGCCTTACTTAGAGTCCGTCCTCTTTAGAACCCTACCAGGTAGGAACTGTCAGAGTCTGTATTTTACGGGGGAAGGAACTTGTTCGAGGTCACACAGCAAGTGGGGCAGCTGGAGGATGCTATGTGTAAGTTCTTTACATGTACCAGAACTTGAAGTGTCTCTTTAGAGAAGTTTTCCCTGATTGCCCTAACTAAAGTGGCCACTGGCAATTATCTGCCTCCTCATCCTGTTAATTCCAATCTGAAAATGTTTTAAAATGTTTATTCTGACAAAGGCTTATACATATAAAACATTTAAGAAAAAAGGAAAAAAAAATTTACTGTCTCTCGTCCTCTTGACCCTAAGACTGTCAACTCCATGAGAGTGGGGACTTCTTTTGTTCACTTCTGTACTTCTTTATTTTTATTTTTTTATTTTTTGAGACAGGGTTTCATTCTGTCACCAAGGCTGGAGTGCAGTAGAGCAATTATGGCTCACTGCAACCTCAACCTCCTAGGCTCGGGTGATCTTCTCACCTCACCCTGCCAGGTAGCTGGGACTATAGGCATGCACCACCACGCCCAGCTAGTTTTTGGTATTTTTTGTAGAGACGTGGTCTCCCTAAGTTGTCCAGGATGGTCTCGAACTCCTGGGCTCAAGCGATCCGCCTGCCTTGGCTTCCCAAAGGGCTGGAATACATGCATATGAATCTGCCGGGATCTTGCTAAATGAGCCACCATGCCTGGCCCAGTTCTCTGTTCCTAACATCCATAACAGTGCCTAGTTCTGTAAATACTTGTCAAATGCACGATTGAGTCTTCACAGCAATCTAGTGAGTTAGATGCCATTTTTATTCACATTTTTCAGATAAAGACACAAGAAAGTTTAGGTCAGACATCTACATGGTACAAGGGGATTTGAACTCATGCTTTGCTCTAGAGTCTGAACTTTTACCTGCTGCTTCCTCATCCTTTATGAATATGGAAAAGCCCTGAATTCATTAAGCACGGGCTGCCAGTAGAGCCCCAGTTAATCACGTTTTCTTCTTTTATATTATTCTCTTGATTTATGGCTTTGACAGAATCCTTACTCTCGCTAACCTCAGGGATTATTACAGTGTGAGCACTTTGGGAAGGGACCTTCCTTACTCATTCACTCTTCTCATGTTTCTTGAGCACCTCCCCTGTGCCAGGCCTACGTTTGGGTTCATTCCCGCCCCATCGGGACTCAGAGGTGTGTGTTTTATGAGGAGGAGATTCCTGAGAACCAAGTCTTCTTCATTCTCTCCCGAGATAGTTCCTGATCACTTCCTAAGGGACAGACCCTGTCCTGGGTGTTGGGAACCAGCTCACTAGCACGTAGGTGACCTTGTCCCAGTTCACGTTGTTGGTGCTTTCATATGCACACATCCAGTGCTCGTTGTGACCCAGCATTGGGCAAGTATTCATTCATATGTACGTGGCACATATTGAATGTCTACCATGAGTTAGGCACCAGGAGCTGTGCTTTATAGATATTTAATCATAACAGTCGTATGACATAGATGCTATTCTTGGGGTTTTTAAGGAGAGGGACCAAAAAGAGTGTTGGTATTCAGTTTCATGTGCTTGGAAAGCTAGAGGTAACAGCAAGTCAGAGCCCAAATGGTTGTTACTGATTGATTTAATCTCATTTGGACCTCGAAACATTTGCATATGAGACTAAATACCAAGACCCTTTATGGTGGGTAGTTGTTAGAGTAGGTAACCCTAGACAAGCCACTCCACCCCGCACCAAGCCTGAGTTACCTCCAAGATTGTGGGTGGCAAGCCACCCAGGTGCTGAGGCAAGAGACCGAGGGCATGAGCTGTTCCAGTATAATAAAATACATAAAACAACAAGTTATACTAGATCTAGATCATAGACATGATTATATATGAATATCATTAATCATTAGTTTGTAGGAATTACTCTTTATTCCAATATTATAATAATCCTCGCTCTATAATCATAACCTAAGAAAAACCAGGTCATACAGAGATAGGAGCTGAGGGGACATGGTGAGAAGTGACCAGAAGACAAGAGTGCGAGCCTTCTGTTATGCCCAGACTGGGCCACCAGAGGGCTCCTTGGTCTAGCAGTAACGCCAGTGTCTGGGAAGACGCCTCTTGCCAAGCGGACCATGGTCTAGCGGTAGCATCAGTGTCAAGGAAAAACACCCGCTACTTAGCAGACCTGCAAAGGGAGTCTCCCTTTCCCTGGGGGAGTTTGGAGAAGACTCTACTCCTCCACCTCTTGTGGAGGGCCTGACATCAGTCAGACCTGCCCGCAGTTATCCGGGGGACTGTCTCCCTGTGATGCTGTGCTTCAGTGGTCACGCTCCTAGTCCACCTTCATGTTCCGTCCTGTACGCCTGGCTCTGCCTTTTAGATAGCAGTAGTAAATTAGTGAAAGTACTAAAAGTCTCTGATATGCAGAAGTAATGGCATAAGCTGTCTCTCTCTCTCCCTCTCTGTCTGCCTCGGCTGCCAGGCAGGTAAGGGCCCCCTGTCCAGTGGACACATAACCCACGTGACCTTACCTATCATTGGAGATGACTCACACTCTTTACCCTGCCCCTTTTGCTTTGTATCCAGTAAATAACAGTGCAGCCAGACATTTGGGGCCACTACCGGTCCCCGCATTTTGGTGGTAGTGGTCCCCCGGGCCCAGCTGTCTTTTCTTTTATGTCTTTGTCTTGTGTCTTTATTTCTGCAGTCTCGTCTCCACACACAGGGAGAAAAACCCACCGACCCTGTGGGGCTGGTCCCTACAAAGATAAGGGTGATAGTATCTCCCCTCAAGTGTTGCCAGAAGGACCAACTAATGCCCCACACCGAGCAGGCACTTGATGGATGATGGCATTTACTTAGAAGGAAGGAGACGATTCTCATTTTTTCCACCAGATAAAAACTAAGATACATGGGTTTAAAAAATGGGCCTTTTGGGAATTAAGGGCCCAGAATGAAACATGAGCCTCCTGGCCTTTCCTGGATCACCGTCAGGCTTTTATTGAGAGAGGAGCAGCTCCCCACTGGCTGCTTGGCTTGTCATTGCTTCACTCTGTCTCCTTTGGCCTTGCCACAGATCTACGCAGACCCCACCAAGAGGCTGGAGCTGTACTTCCGGCCCAAGGACCCATACTGCCACCCAGTGTGCGCCAACCGCTTCAGTACCAGCAGCCTGCTGCTCCGCATCAGGAAGAGAACGAGGCGGCAGAAAGGGGTGCTGGGCACTGAGGCCCACTCCGAGGTCACATTTGACATGGAGATCCTTGGCATCATCTCCACCATTTACAAATTTCAGGGTAACTGAAATCTGCTCTTGCAATGTCTGGTTATTTCAGGGCTGGCCATCCTAGCTGCCTGCAGGAGCTGTGTGGGTCATCTGCACCAGTGGAGGGGGCCAGGATATGCCCAGGGGCTGTGGGGACACAGCAGGGCACAGGCCCCATCCAGGAGGCAGCCTTTCTTCCCTCCAGCCAACAGTTCCCCAGAGACTGCAGGTTCATTGCTGCCCAATCTTCAGCATTCTTAAGCTAGAAATCTCCTAATTTTTAATGAAACCATTGTGTGGGACCAAATAAAACTGGTCAGTAGACCTCCAGTCTTTCCCCCACCACAGTGTTTTGAACCTTCTCTTGTCTCGGCTGCTGTTGGTCTTGCCCTCCTAGCTCCCGAAGCCCCTTGGGACCTCCTCCTCCTCTGAACTCTCAGCAGGTTGAACGTCCCTCGTGGAGCCCTCAATCAGGTTTCCCACCTACCAGGAACCCCAGTGAGGAAGCAATAAAGCAAGGGAGGGAGACGGGTGAGAAAGACAGACTCTGGCATTGTGCCTGCCTGAGCCCTGCCAGTTTCTTTGGGAGGTGGCTTGGCTTCCCTGAGCCTCAGTGTCCTTGTCTGTGCAGTGCGGGCTACAGAGCCTGCGTTCCTTAGGCCCTCGTGAAGATTCCGGGAGGCAATGCTTGTGAATGGGCCAGCCTCTGGCCCACAGGAGGTGCCTGGCATATTACTAACAAGGCTTAGAGATGGCTAAGTTACATCTGCAGTTCTAGGCAGAATCTGAAGAGTATAAAGATTGAGAAGGGCAAAGAGGACTAGAAAGAAAAGAGGGGAAGAAGAAAGTGAAATGAAGGAGAAGCAGGACCTGGGGTCCCATGGGTTGGGCATTTTTAATGGCAGTCATTCTGGTGGGTCATGGCATTCACCAAAGAGGGCTGTTCTTTTGGGACAAGGTTTCCCAAGTGATTCATAAAACATAACACCTCATATTTTTCATCGAATTGAACCAGCATCTTGCTGCTCTGTGTGTGTCTCTGGACTGGCAGCATCAGCCTCACCTGGGAGCTTGGTAGAAATGCACCAGGTCAGAACCTGCATTTAGCAAGATCCCAGCAGATTCATATGCATGTTACTAGGTTGGTGCAAAGGTAATTGCAGGTTTTACAGTTAAAAGTAACATTCATCTAAGAAGCACTGACCTGGACTCCATCCTCACCTATCATGTAGCTCCCCACCTCCCCAAAATAATTTTCATGTAAGTGACTTAGACTGCATGGAGCCAACTTTGCAGAGGCATTTGGGAAGGGTGTGTTTTCCTGCCACCCTCACCCTGCAGCCTCCACCACATGGCCCACTCAGCACCTCCCTAAGCAGATGTGGGTGTCGGTGTGTGGCAGCTGCCCATTCCTGGACTCAATGTCTGCCATCTGCCCACCTCTCTTTCTAGGGATGTCTGACTTCCAGTACTTGGCTGTGCATACGGAAGCAGGCGGCAAGCATACGTCAATGTATGACAAGGTGCTCATGCTCCGGCCCGAGAAGGAGGCCTTTTTCCACCAGGAGCTGCCGCTCTACATCCCCCCACCCATCTTCTCCCGGCTGGACGCCCCGGTGGACTACTTCTACCGACCAGAGACCCAGCACCGGTAAGGCCCCCCTCCATGCAGCCTCGGTTCTCTATCCTGAAAATGGGATGGTCCGGGCACGGAGGCTCACACACTGGGCGTGGTGGTGCACACCTGTAATTCCAGCTACTCGGGAGGCTGAGGCTGGAGAATCACTTGAACCCAGGAGGCGGAGGTTGCAGTGAGCCAAGATCGCGTCACTGCACTCCAGCCCGGGTGACAGAGTGAGACTTTGTCTCCCAAAAAAAAAAAAAAAAAAAAAAAGAAAATGGGATGACAGTAGTACTACCCAACAGACGTATTGGGATTGAATTTAAAAAGTGTGTGCAGTTCTCAGCACAGGGCTGAGTACAGAACAGGGCCTTAGTAAGCGGTGGCCTGTGTGATCGCCAGGTTGGCCTCAGTCCTGAGGACAGTGCAAAGAACGTGACTGTGGGACATGTGGGTTCCTGCTGAGAAATGTCCTTTGGCTTAATCCCCTGGTCATTGCTGACCAGCCAGTCTCTGGACCTTGCTGTCACTAGTAATGACACTACCTAAGCAAGCCTCGTGGGAATGTCCCACTCTCTGACCCCAGCTCTTTCCTACTTCCTTTGCTCCCCATGGCCTCACCGTCCCTGTCCGTGGCGGAGATTTTGCAGCCTCTTTATCATCTGTCCCTGCCCTGCCCTCCTCTCTTTGCCACACTCACCTGCCAAGCCTTGGTCCTACTTCACCCCAGCTGTTTACCCTTTCCTGGTCTGCCCTGTGCGGCTGGAGGTCGCTTCAGAGAACCCCTGACCCTGCCCATCGCCCAGTGCCATCCTTCTCAAGGCATCTGTGACTCTACACAGCTCTCGCCTGCTCTGTACTTGGTTATGGACTGCGTCCCCTCCAGAACACGGTGCCTCTCCTGAGGACAGGCGCTCACTCTCTCTCATCAGTAGTGGGTTTCTCCTACACCGAGAGCTATGAAAAGCCACATGGACGTGACTCATAGTGCACCCACCGCCACCCCCTGCCACCCACACACAGGCTCCGTGCACAGCCTGCCCAAGCCCACATGCAATTCAGATGAAATGAATTCTGTAACTCAGAGGTTCTTGACATAATTAGAGACCTCAGCGGCTGTTGGAAAGGCAGGCCTGGGCATTGTCAAATGTAGTCAAATTGTCAAATGCCATACATTGACATAAAAGAATAGGATTTCCTTTATATAAAATCCAAGATTGAATACTGTGAAAACAAAATGAAGAAAACAAGTTTGACAGTATCCAACTGGGGATGAATAACATTGACCAGCCACACTGCCAGTTATTTCACGTCCCTGTGCAGCAGCGCTGTGAGTGCATCTCACCCAAGCCTGGGAGCAATTCCCCAGGGTTCCTGACACCCCCATCGTACACATGAGGAAGCCGAGACATGGGGTCAGCGCCACGTCCCGCCGGCAGCACCGCCCTGGTCTCTCCCACTCTGCAGGCTTTGCTCGTGGCCCAGTGCCAACGGTGTCCTGATTTTTGTATGCTCTACTTTCTAAAATGACGCACAAAAAGACAACATGGAAAAAAACTTTGCATTGTAATGGATGCTCCCCAGAAGTAGCGACTTGGCCTGCTTCGGTCTCTGTCATAGCCCCGGTGCCCAGAACAGAGCCTGGCCTGTGAGAGGTACTCAGCAAGTGTCCATGGGCCCCACACAGATTTAGGGGAGCAAGATTACTGCCAACAGATGAGCAAAATGAAAGGGCCTTTTTTTCTTTTTCTTTTTGAAAGGCGGAGTCTTGCTCTGTCCACCCAGGCTGGAGTGCAGTGGCGCGATCTTGGCTCACTGCAACCTCTGCTTCCTGGGTTAAAACAATTCTCCTACCTCAGCCTCCTGAGTAGTTGGGACTGCAGGCGCCCACCAGTACGCCCAGCTTATTTTTGTATTTTTAGCAGAAATGAGGTTTCACCATATTGGCCAGGCTGGTCTCGAACTCCTGGCCTCCAGTGATCCGCCCACCTCAGCCTCCCAAGGTGCTGGGATTACAGGTGTGAGCCACAGTGTCCAGCCCGAAAAGGACTTTGAAAACTGGGCCAGAGGTGATGGTGTTTGTTGAATAATTGTTCCATAGCATGTTTTAAGCTTCCAAAAATGCAGCCCTCAAGAGAATGGGCTTGGGCCTAGTGTAGTGGCTCACACCTGTAATTCCAGTGATTTGAGAGGCTAAAGTAGGAGGATCACTTGAGGCCAAAAGTTTGAGACCAGCCTGGGCAATATAGCAAGACTCTGTCTCTACAAAAAAAACTAAAAAAGTTAGCTGGGCATGGTGGCGTGCACCTGTATAGCCCTAGCTACTCGGGAGGCTGAGGTGGAAAGATTGGTTGAGCCCAGGATTTTGAGGCTGCAGTGAATATGATCACACCACTGCACTCCAGCCTGGGTGACAGAACAAAACCCTGTCTCAATAAACAAAACAAAAAACAAACAGAAAAAAGAGCGGACTCTGTGGACTGATGGGACCCATGCCCAGGTGCCTCCCTTGCTCTGTGAGAAAGGCAGGTGCAAGACCAGATTCTGTGGAATAGAAATAAATGGTGGTGTGATAACAGAAGCCTAGAAAAGTCTGGAAGATTTGGGGCTCAGAGCAGTTTTCTTTGAAGGGGTGGGAGGGCTTTCTCATTCCTCATTATGTGTTTCCTTTATGTCCTGACTGAGCACCTGTGGTGGCCCAGGGCACTCCCTGGAGCCTGGTGTCCACGGACAGCACAGCAGCTGGGGTGCAGTGCAGGGGCGGGGAGCTAGACGGAGCATGAGTACATGGCTGGGAGCCTTAAAGGAGATCATGGGGAGTGGGCCACACTGGTGGAAGGCAGTGGGCCGGGGCTACAGGTAGCAGCGAGGGCCCTCAGAGGAGCTGACATCTGGAGCTGAGACAGAGCCAGCCAGGTGAAGATCCAGGGAGAACTTTCCAGACCAGGGGATTGGCGCATGCAAAGGAAGGCTGGGGAGGCTGCTGTGCCCCAGAGCAGGTGAGCCAGAGAATGGGGGTGGGGAGTGAAGACCAGTGCCTAGGCTTCATCCTCAAGAGAGAGTGTGTTATTCTCTGCCTCCGGAAAAGCATTGCAGAAAGGTGGAGAGAATTGGATTGTCTAGTAGCCCCCACGTGCCCATCAGGAGCGTCCAGTGAGCAACATTCTGCTCCTCTCCACCCCCAGTGGCACAGTGCTGCCTTCAGAAACAAGCAGTGCGGATCTCTGACAGGGAAGACTCATGTTTCAGACAGACTCGCAATACCAGTCTCCTACGCAACAGAATTAATAGCACTCCCCAACATCACCCACAACCAGTCCTTGTTCACTTTTTCCCGATTGTCTCAAAAGCCACTCAGGAGCCAAACAAGGGCCACACATGTTGCTTTTGGTTGCTGTCCCCTAGTCTGTAACATCCTCTACCACCACCACCCCCTACTTTTTTCTGATTGTAAGAATAAATTGTACCTGTTAGAAAAAAACAAAACATTGTGGAAATGTATTAACTAAAAAGAATCAAGTCACTTTGCCTCCCTGCAGAAAACTGTTGCACATAGAATGATACCATTTTCTGTAAGTGTATTGTACTCACTATAAGAGTTTGAAGCAGGGGGTGACATGATCCTTCCTTTTTTTTTTTTTGGAGACGGAATTTCCCTCTTGTCACCCAGGCTGGAATGCAGTGGCGCGATCTCGGCTCACTGCAACCTCTGCCTCCCAGGTTCAAGTGATTCTCCTGCCTCAGCCTCCCGAGTAGCTGGGATTACAGGTGCGCGCCATCACGCCCAGCTAACTTTTGTATTTTTAGTAAAGACGGGGTTTCACCATGTTGACCAAGATGGTCTCAAACTCCTGACCTCAGATGATCCGCCTGCCTCAGCCTCCCAAAGTGCTGGGATTACAGGCGTAAGCCACCGCACCCAGCCTATTTTTTAAAGTTACTTATTGGCCAGGCATAGTGGCTCATGCCTGTAATTCCAGCACTTTGAGAGGCTGAGGTGGGAGGATCGCTTGAGCCCAGAAGTTTGAGAACAGCCTGAGCGACATAGTGAGACCCTGTGTCTACAAAAATTTTTTTTAAATCACCCAAGTGTGGTGGCACGTGTGCCTGTGGTCTCAGCTACTTGGGAAGTTGAGATGGGAGGATGGCCTGAGCCTGGGAGGTCAAAGCTGCAGTGAGCTGTCATTGTGCCACTGCACTCCAGCCTGGGTGACAGAGTGGGACCGTGTTTTAAAAAAAAAAAGTGGTTTTTTGGTTTGTTTTTTCTTCACCACAAGCAGCATACTCTTGTCAGAAACAAAAATACATAAAAGAAAACAGACTGGGCACGGTGGCTCACACCTATAATCCCAGCACTTTGGGAGGCCGAGGCGGGTGGATCACCTGAGGTCAGATCAAGACCATCCTGGCTAACACAGTGAAACCCTGTCTCTACTAAAAATACAAAAAAATTAGCCAGGTGTGGTGGTGGGCGCCTGTAGTCCCAGCTATTTGGGAGGCTGAGGCAGGAGAATGGCGTGAACCCGCGAGGCGGAGCTTGCAGTGAGCCGAGATCGCGCCACCGCACTCCAGCCTGGGCGACCGAGTGACACCCCATCTCAAAAAATAATAATATACAAAAAATTAGCCGGGCGTGGTGGCGCATGCTTGTAATCCCAGCTACTTGGGGGGCTGAGGCAGGAGAATCGCTTGAACCCAGGATGTGGAGGTTGAGGTGAGCTGAGATCGTGCCATTGCACTCCAGCCTGGGCAACAAGAGTGAAACTCCATCTCAAAAAAAAGAAAACAGCACTTGTCAGCACTGCCGCCCCTGGCACTAGATGGCAGCAGCATCTGAGTTACTGCTCTGCCCTGTGGGCCAGTGGGAAGCTGTTTCCAGCCCCTGGGGTAAAATGAGGGAGGAGGGCCAGCTGCCCTCGGGCCCCAAGGCCCCCCTCCCTCCCCATGTGGTTTATCAGTTTCCAGCACCTGGAAAGAACCTGCATTTTCTCCCAGGGCTGCTGTCGATTCTCCTGCCCTGCTCACGTTGCTGGGTGCATGAGGACTGGCAGGGAGGAGACCTAGCCACTGCCTCCTTGGCCCCTTCCTGGGGAGATTGAGCTTCCCACAAACCAGGTGGGCAAGCAGAGGCTGCTGGGTGGCCTGACGGGGTCGTCCTAACTGGAGGATGGTGGGTCCCTCCTGTTCCTCAGGGACTCTCCAAGGTGGTCCTGTTGACTTTGCCATCAGCACCCTTCGACCCCTGCCAGCAGTTCCCCACCTACTTAGAATCATGGTGACACAGACCACAGCCTGAGGCCACCATGGGGAGCGGTCTGGGGATGCAGCCAAGGCTGCCGCAGCCTCTCCCTACAGGGTTGGGCACAGGTGGGCTGCTCTTGCAGGTGACCACCCGGTTTTCCTGGGGAACATCTTTGAAAACGCGATAGTGCTGACCTGTCCCGTGCGGTTTCTAACGCAGGCACTTTAAAAAGAAGGCCCAGGCTCGATCCCGTCTTTCTAGTTTTGTTTCACAATGTGAAAATTACTGCTATTCTTTGTAAGTGTGCAGATGCTATGTACTCATGTAGAAAACTAAGGTAAAATGGAAACACATTTTAAAAGGTAATGATCACCCGAGTGAATTTGATGATGTCCGAGACCTACTTTAAGATGCACTTCGATGAAATGCAGTTAACCATGTGCTGATCATTGCTGAAGCTGGTGACGGGCTTGTGGGGGTTCTTTACACTGGCCTGCCTGCTTTTGTGTCAGTTTGGTGTCCAACCTTAAAGACGTAACTACTACAAATATTTTGAGAAATACCTACCTAAGGGTGTTCTGTGCCAACATACAGAGGTAGTTCTAGAATCTCTGCTTTGTATGTGTGTGTATGTGTTTTAAGACTTTATTTTTTTAGAGCAATTTTAGAATCACAGCAAAATAAGGCGCAGCGATTTCTCCTATGCCCCCCAGCCACCCCCACTCAGCCTCCCCCGTGATCAGCATCTCAGTAGAGTGGGGCGCTTGTTACCAGTGGATGAACCTATGCTGAGACGTCGTCACCCAGTGTCCGTAGTTGACATTGGGGTTCCCTCTTGGTGTTGGACATTCTATGTGTTTGGACAAATGGAACCCTTGGCTTTAACCCCTGTGTTTCATGACAATGCCATTTGGTGAGGTTCTTTGTTCATTCATCTACATGTGGTCGAGATGCTTGTGAGCCAAAGAGTCATGCTCTGTTGGGTGGCAGGACAGGTGTGTGATGGGACCTTTGCAGCCAGCCTTCTCGATGGGAGTCCCAGCTCCTTCCCAGGAGCTCCGTCTCTGGGCAAATTTCCCAGTCCCTGTGGTTTCAGCTGCTTTATTAGAAAATGGTCCCTTCTCTGTAGGATTAGTTTGAGCGTTAAATAAGTGAATCGCATGTAAGCAGATGTGAGTGAGTGCAGCTCTTGTCCCTGTTTTGACAACGGATTGCGTTCTCTCATGCAGCTGTGCTGGGTGATTTCACCATTGCCAGCTGCTGGACATTAGACTCTGTCCAGTTTTTCACTGGCTGGACAGTGCTGTGCCTGACTCAGTGCACTTTTGGGGCCACCAGCCCCATGACAGGTGCCCTTTCCTGCACTCCAGCCTCTAGGACCTTTTGGCCTTTCCCCAGTTTGAGAGCTGCAGGCCCCAGGGTTTCTCTGAGTTGTCATAGGCAGTTGTGGCTGCGTCTCTTCCTCTGTGAATACAGGTTCCTTTAGCAGCCAACTCTGGGGTCCTTTCCCAGCACAGATGTCCAGAGAGAGGCACACGGTGGCTGTGGGCCTTGGGGGGTTCTGGGCTCCCTGCCTGGTCTGGCCCAGCGGGTGCCTGGGATGGCCTTGGTGCTCCTGTTCTCACCTGTACTCTCTGCCCCCAGGGAAGGCTACAACAATCCCCCCATCTCAGGTGAGAATCTGATTGGCCTGAGCAGAGCCCGGCGCCCCCACAATGCCATCTTTGTCAACTTTGAGGATGAGGAGGTGCCCAAGCAGCCACTGGAGGCTGCAGCCCAGACGTGGAGGAGAGTCTGCACTAACCCCGTGGACCGGAAGGTGGAGGAGGAGCTGAGGAAGGCAAGTCCTGCGCTGCGCCTGGCCCCGGTGGCTCCAGCCTCTCTGTTGGCTTCCCGTGTTTACCCAGCTGCTCCCTGTTCCTGGCTGTGGGGTTGGCTGCACTGACCTTTACCCATTCCTTAGTGCATGGGAACTTCTCACCTTCAGATGCCATGTCTAAAGGCTGTGTCGGTATAAGTTCTACATTCCCAAGGTTGAAAATGCTTCTTAGAGTTCTTAAGAAAAATATGCGTGCGTTGTTCAGATGTGACATAAACGTGGAGCTCTGGGATCCACTGAGCTCTTATTCTTCCATTCACTCATTGCAGCCAAGCCAGTGGGGCACCTAGTGTGCCAGGCCCAGCACTTTCTTACCGTTAGAACTGGAACCGTGCTGCCAGGCAGCCCTCCTTCCCCGGGCTTGCGGGTGCCGTGGAGTCCTGCGTCCCCACTGGCATGAGCATCAGGTTCACAGGCCACTGCCACCTGGAGCCCGGCGCTTCCCTTACGCAGTGTGCCTGTGGGAGACCACGTGGATGTCTTGTTGATTTCCAGCAGTCACTGGGGCACACTGTCAGTGGCTCCTTATTGCCCACCAGGCACAGCCCACATTCCTGACCTGAATTGGCTCGTGAGGCCCGCTGCCCCAGCCCCCTGGCCCTCTACACTCCGGCCACACTGACCTTTGCAGTCCTCCCCGGGCCAGGCTGTCCCCTTCAGCCCTGACGATGTCCCACCTCAGGCACCTGTTCTGTAGATTGGGGCAGCATGGGGACCCTGGGACTCTAGCATGTGCCCCCTGAGCCGTACTCCCCACCGCGCTGTGGGCTCTATGAGGACAGCGACCATGTCTCTTATCGTTTGAGAGACCCAGCCCCACAACTGCACTTGGCACAGGCTGGGCATGCAGCCCAGGCTTCTGAGGGAAGGGATGAATTAGTGAGAGCAGGAGGTCCTAGGGCCACGCCCTGTGTGTCCAGCCCCTGTCCTCTACCAGCTCCTCTCTGGAGGGGCCGCTGGGGCCCAGAACATGTTGGGAGTTCAGGGCCGAAGGGTGGAAGCTGCTGGTGCTCATCTCAGCCTCTGCCCTTGGCCTCCCCAGCTGTTTGACATCCGTCCCATCTGGTCCCGAAATGCTGTCAAGGCCAACATCAGCGTCCACCCAGACAAGCTCAAGGTCTTGCTTCCCTTCATAGCCTATTACATGGTAAGTGTCAGCTGCCCACCCACCTGCCTTGGTTTCCACCCATGTGGTCCCTGGTCCCTGCTGTGATGTCTTAGAGCCACAGTAAGAGCAGCCAACCCCCTATCCTGGCTCCCCATCCTTCCTGCCCCACCCCCATCCTGGCCCATCCTTCCTACCCACCCCTGGCCTGGCCCTCATCCTTCCTGCCCTGCCCCCAACCTAGCACCTCCCCCGTCCTGGCACCCCCATCCTTCCTTCCCCCCTGTCCTGGCCCCCCGATCCTAGCATCCCTAAGACAGCTTATTAAAGCCAGCTAGAAAAGTTTCAGCTCCCTGAGTCCAGGGCGCCCTCCACAGCCTGTTGGGCTGCAGAACCCAGCCCCTGACCACAGCGGCCCCATGTCGTCCTCTACCTGTGTTGAGTGGGGTTCAGTGGGAGGCAGATCCACCTTTGATCCACAAGCATGTAAAGACACATGTCATTACTGAGGTTCCAAAGGTGCTGGTTGGAAAGGGATCCTCCCCGCTGCCAGGCCTCACAGAGCATTAGGGGAGGCCAGCGTAAGACATGACTGTGAGGGTCTGCAACAGGCAGTAGGACACAAGAAAGACTCATTTCTTCTGCCTTGTTGGACTTCCGGCTCAGGAGAGCGACCTGTGCTGCTTGGCGTTGGCATTTTATTTTATTTTATTTATTTTATTTATTTTGAGATGGAGTCTCACTCTGTCTCCCAGGCTGGAGTGCAGTGGTGTGATCTCTGCTCACTGCAACCTCCGCCTCTGGGATTCAAGTGATTCTCCTGCCTCAGCCTCCTAAGTAGCTGGGAGTACAGGCGCACGCCACCATGCCCAGCTAATTTTCTTTTTTTGCATTTTTAGTAGAGATGGGGTTTCGCCATGTTGGTCAGGCTGGTCTCGAACTCCTAACCTCAAGTGATCTGCCTGTCTCGGTCTCCCAAAATGCTGGGATTATAGGCGAGAGCCACTGCGGCTGGCTGGCATTGGCTTTTTAGACATAAGCCATTCAAAAGCTCCGTTTAGGGACAGAAGATGTCTCATCGATTAGGCCAGTAGTAACATTGGGCACTTAATATGTGCCAGGAACCATGGTAAAGGCTCCACGGGCGCTATCTCATTTAATCCTCTGAAAAACCATGGGAGGCCAGGCATGATGGCTCACTCCTAGAATCCCGGTACTTCGGGAGGCTGAAGCGGGAGAATCGCTTGCATCCAGGAGTTTGAGACGAGCCTAGGCAACATAATGAGACCCCATCTCTACAAAAAAATTAAAAATTAGCTGGGTGTGGTGGCTCGTGCCTGTAGTTCCAGCTACTTGGGAGGCTGAGGTAGGAGGATCACTTGAGCCCAGGAGGTTGAGGCTGCAGTGAACCGTGATTTTGCCACTGCACTCAGCCTGGGCAACAGAGTGAGACCCTCTCCCCCAAAAAACAAAAACCCACAGGAAAGGGTGCTCCTTTTCCCTCCATCTGACAGGAAGACCAAGGTTTGGAAAGGCCACGTGCCCTCACCAAGGTGACAGGGCCTGCATGTGGCAGAGCAGGGCTGGGCATCCAGAGCCCTGTCCCCAGCTCCTGAGCTCTTCTGCTGCCTCACTGTAGGCTCTGGCCCGTCCAGGGACCTGGGCCTTCACCTCACCTCACATTTTCCCCACTTTTCTGTCCCAGATAACAGGCCCCTGGCGCAGCCTATGGATTCGATTTGGGTATGACCCCCGAAAAAACCCAGATGCCAAGATTTATCAAGTCCTCGATTTCCGAATCCGTTGTGGAATGAAACACGGTAAAAATTCCTGAAAGCTTTGCTTCCTGCCTTTCTCTCTCTTTATCTTTCAGTTTCTAGCATTCTCTTTTGTAGTAAGAATCTTTTCATTTGGAAAGAATAAAAAAACCTTTTGCCCCCGTTGCTGAGACTCTTTTGAATGCAGAATGGCGTGGAAACGAAAGTCCTAGTTCTGTGCTGGCCCCACCACTGACCGCCCGTTTCTGAACCACAGTCCCTCATTAAGTGACTCCACGTGCCCTATGGTCCTGTGATGCAGGCCAGGCACTTGTGAGAGCATCAGTGCCCGCCCTGCCTGGGAAGTGCTGAGATGTGTTGGTGACCGCAGTGGCGTGCTTGGCAGTCTGGGGTTGCCCTCTCAGGAGCTGGCCCCATGGACCCAACTCCCATCTCCAGTGTGAAGCCAGTGTTGTGTGCCGACGGGCCCTGTGCCCGCCCACCTGACTTGCCCGCCCTCGCCTACAGGTTACGCCCCCAGTGACTTGCCGGTCAAAGCAAAGCGCAGCACCTACAACTACAGCCTCCCCATCACCGTCAAGAAGACATGTAAGCGTGCCAGGCGCCTTTTGTGGGTCATGAGTGATTTGCCAAGGAAGGCGGGGCACCTGGACCCAGACGGGGAGGTGGTTCCTGGGGGTCACTCCAGGGCTCTGCCGGTCATTCCTCCCCTAGGAGGGGGTGGGCTGGCAGGAGGGCAGGGCATGGTGGTTGGGAGAGACACCTCCTCCCCACCCTGCACATTCCAAGCACTGCTGTTGTCCCCACGCAGCCAGCCAGCTTGTCACCATGCATGACCTGAAGCAGGGCCTGGGCCCGTCGGGGACGAGTGGTGCTCGGAAACCAGCTTCCAGCAAGTACAAGCTCAAGGTGGGCGCCCCTGGAGGCCAGGAATGGAGGGGAGGACTTCCCTCTTGGGGCCGGGCACCTTGTGGGTGACACCTGGGGGGCTGTGATTAGGGCAGCTCTGCCCACCGGGGCCTCGGCACCTTGCTTCCTTTTAGGTCAGCCTTCAGACACTGAGGGTGAGAACTCGGGTGCAAAGCCCCAGGGCTGTGTGTGTTGGGGACATCTGGCGAAGAGGTGGTGACAAGTCTCAGGGAAGTCTGGCACCAGCAGCTGCATGTGGTTGTCCTTCTCGAGCCCTTTGGGAGCCTGGGCCCCCACTGAGCCACGTGACCACTCCGGGAATGATCGGAATTGGGCACACACAGGAGGACAGAGCCAGAGCAGGCCATGTGGGCTGCAGCTGTGGCAGGAGCCTCACTGGCTCACGTTTCCGTCAGTGCGGTTGCCCAGCGGGGGTTGGCGGTTTCCAGAGCTGTTCCCACATTCAGGCTCCCGCAAGCCGCTCCACAGCCCTGGGGGAGGCCGAGAAGGGGGCATCCCGCACGGTGGAATCACCTGCTGAGGGAGTGGGTGGCAGAGATGAGTGCAGCAGAGACGGGTGATGCGAGGGACTTGCTGTCCCCCAGTGTCTGGGGCCCTGCCTATTTTCTAGGTTTTTTAGACCTTTGCTGCCTTCCCAGTGAGGGGCGATCATGCCACAGCCTGTGCGGCCTTCCTTCTCGAGGCCTCTCCTAGGAGGCCGTTATCCTTACTCTAGAACTACATGGCTGGGTACGGAAAGGAGAGAGCAAACACTCACTAAGCCCTGCTTTTCCCAGAAAAGATGTCAGGGCAGCCCATAGGGGGACATAGGGTGACAAATTAGCAGCAGTGGGTGAGGGATAAGGTCAGAGTGCAGGAGGGCACAGAGAGCAGAGCCCGGCACAAGGCTAGTGCCAGCCCCATGCCATGGGCGCCATGGCCTGCTGCACGGGCGGGCTCACCGTTTCCAGTGGCCCCAGGAGGGCCTGGGTGCTCCTCTGCCTCTCCCAGAGCCTCCTGGGGAGTTGGACATTGTTTTTTCCCCAACTCCTCCGTGGCCTTCCAGCCTGTCTGCCCAACCTGCTCCTGGTGACCAGCCAGCTCCCTGGAGAGACCCCATGGGAGCCTACATGGAGTCTGCAACACTGGCAGCCCCAGGGCTCTGGCTCACCTTCCCTGTCTCTCTCCCCCTTTGTCACCAGGACTCTGTCTACATCTTCCGGGAAGGGGCCTTGCCACCCTATCGGCAGATGTTCTACCAGTTATGCGACTTGAATGTGGAAGAGTACGTATGGGAGGGGCCCTGAGACACTGAGGGGGGCCCGTGGGACCCAGGGACCAAAGCGGTCTCTGAACTCTTCCACTTCACGTCGGCCTTCATCTCCGGCAAGAGCACTCGCCTGTCTGGGAGTTTGGTGCTGCCGAGAGCCCTGGCATGCTGGTGGCCCTCGTAGAGGCGGTGCCCTATAGAAAGCCGTGGCTCCAAGCTGCGCAGAGACAGTTCTTACTGTTATGTCCTTGCTCCTCTTCCACTGTCCACATAAAGGCCCCATGAGGTGGTTCTCAATCCCAGGACCCATCAGATCCCAGAAACCTTTTATCGACTTGTTCTCAGTGATGTTTAAAGAATTGCAGGGAAAGGGCACTCACTGGGATGAGAGGAGATGGGAACACATCAAATACATCTTGAACTCTGCTGAAAGCCATGGTTCACCAGAAGCATGTGCAGTGGTAACACGGCCAGCTTCATGTGTGTGAGGCGGTCCAGGGAGCACACAGGTTTAGGGCCCCAGCTGGGAACACACAGCTTGTGTTTCCAGTTCCTCTCTGTAGACTTCGCTCACGGGGCTGCCTTTGATCTCAGTACAGCTCTGCCTCTGGCAAAAACCAACACTGGCATCTCTTAGCAGAGACCCGCCCTGGGACTTTATGTCCCAACCCTCTCCCCACCCCCAGGTTGCAGAAGATCATTCACCGCAATGACGGGGCAGAGAATTCCTGCACAGAACGGGATGGGTGGTGCCTCCCCAAGACCAGCGACGAGCTCAGGGACACCATGTCCCTCATGATCCGGCAGACCATCCGCTCCAAGAGGCCTGGTAAGAGCCGCTTGGGGTAAAGGGGGTCCAGGATGCCTGGTGATCTCCTTTGAGACAGAGGTGTCCCTAAGGGGACCCATTCCTGGGAAATGGCACCCAGGTGGCATCATCTTGCCCCTGGCCCTGGTGGGAGGAGGACATTGTGAGCCAGAGCCCAGCCCAGGTGCTGGCATCACCCCAGCTGCCCAGAGGCTGCCTCAGCCGAGGCCCTCAGCCCTGCGGTCCGGGGCAGGAGACAAGCCCAGAGGGGCTGGGTGCAGCAGCCTGGCACTGCCATCGGGGCCTCCACCTGACGCCCTCACACCAGCCCATGTCTTTCAGCTGTGCATGCGCAGGCTCTGCCTCTGTCTTCTTCCTGTTCTGTGTGGCCCAGCCCCTTCCTGGAACCAGGCAGCCCTGGCAGGAGTGAGGGCCAGCTGCAGGGAAAGTGAAGGGGGCAACACCTGCCAGGCTGTGGGTCTCACGAGGCTCGGGGGAGTTATAAGAGGCCCCCTCTCTCAGGGAACTCCTCCCAGGCTTGGGGAGGAGGCATCCTGGACCCAGCCACGCCCCACAGATCTGACCGAAGCAGGGGTTCTTGGTCTTGCTTGGAACCCAGATTCAGCCCCCTTTGGGAATCTAATCAAGGGTGTGGACCCTTTCCCAGAGAAAATGGTGTGTTCACTCCTGAGGGTCCATGGGCCCTTGAAGCTGCTCATGGCTCCCCTGCTGCAGGATTCCCCTGGGTGCCCGTCAAACTACAGCTTCCCTGGGGGGCCTCCACCCCATACTTACCCACCAGCTTCTTAAGAGCTCGAGCTCGGACCCTTATAGTAGTAAACAGGCTCCCCAGAGCCTGGTGGCCTTTCTGGGGCCACCCGGCAGCCTGCATGGGACACCCATGGCCTTGTCTCCTCCGGCCCCAGCTCTCTTTTCCAGCTCAGCCAAGGCTGATGGCGGAAAAGAGCAGCTGACGTACGAGTCTGGGGAAGACGAGGAGGATGAGGAGGAGGAGGAAGAGGAGGAGGAGGACTTCAAGCCATCCGACGGCAGTGAAAACGAAATGGAGACAGAGATTCTGGACTACGTGTGACAGGGCCCAAGGCTGGGCCTCCCTGACCCGGCCAGACTGGTGTCTGGCCTAATGAGGGAGCCGGGGCTCCCCATTGCCACCCACAGTGCCCGGAATGGCCCTAGGAGGCCCTCTGAGGAGAGCTAGAGTCCCAGCAAAGGGTGCAGCTGACCCTAGCACTGGCTGTGACATGCTGCTTGGTGCTGCCTCTGGTCCTGAGGGGTTAGGGACATCCCCAAAGGGTATACCCTGGCTCTGCCACCCATGAACCAGCCCAGCATCCAGCCAGTGAGTGGGCACCCAATGCCTCTCAGGATGAGACCAGTAAATGCCGGAGGTGGAGCTGGGCAGCTGTGGAGCCCCAGGCCACAGGCCAGTCTCGCTTGGCTCTCATGACTGTGGTGGTGGAGATAGCGTGGGGAGCCTCGCCCATGGTCTCACGTGGCAAGAAGTGCCTTTAGCTCTGGATCCCAACCGTTTGGCACAGCTTTGGCCACAGCCAGGCCCCTCTGGAATTGTCCTTATTAAACCAGTTTCCCGAGAAGTCTTGGTTTCTTGGTGTGAATGTTGGCGCTGCAGGGGAGTCTTCTTATTGCCTTGGGGCTTGGGCCCCCTTTGTCCCTTCATATATTCCTTCATTCATTCCTTCATTCATTCAGTGACATGCTGGCAGTGCTGGCCTGTGCCCCCCTCACATGTGGTCGGGTTGGGTGAGGGCAGCTAGGAGGACTCCAGGCCTGGGGTCAGTTCTTCTCTAAATGAATACCTTCTTGACAAAGTCATGGGAAACGGGCCCTGCTGTCCTGTGGCTGCCCAGTGTGAAACTAGTGGGTCCTGAGCCCACCGAGCCTGCCTGCCTGGCCCCGCTCCCCATGTTGCCCTTGGCTGAGGCACCTCTTGTGTCTCCCCAAGTCGGCAGCAGCACTCCCTCCCAACCTGTGTGCGTGCCGAGTATTTGTTGAAGAAACAGTCAGTTGTCAGAGAATGGCCCTGTTCTGGATTGGCTGGTTGCTTCTGTGTGGTGCTGAACCTGCTCCTCTCTCCCCTGTATTTCCTGGGGACAGGTGGAGGCTCAGCCAGATTCGGGTTCAAGGTCTCTTCCTAGGCTGCGTCAGTCTGCATGCACGGGAGGTCTGCTTACTAGGATTGACCAGCAGGTTTAGGTGTTGTCAGCCTGATGTGTTGGTCTTTTATCTAACGGTTTTTGGGTTTCTGTGGTTTTTTGTTTCATTTGTGGGTCTTTTTTTTTTTTTTGAGATGGTCTTGCTTTGTCACCCAGGTTGGAGTGCAGTGATGCAATCAGGGCTCACTGCAGCCTCAACCTCCTGGGCTCGGGTGATCCTTCCACCTCAGCCTCCTGAGTAGCTGGAACTACAGGTTGTGTACCGCCATGCCCAGATAATTTTTGAATTTTTGTAGAGATGAGGTCTCACTAATGTTGTCCAGGCTGGGCTCAAGGGATCCTCCCGCCTCAGCCTTCCAAAGTACTGGGATTACAGGTGTGAGCCACTGCGTCCAGCCTATTTAATGGCTTTTGAATAGCCGTTGATAATTGCCTGGACCTACTACTTCCTTAAGGGTGCAAAATGGTGATTTTTTTGAATTATATCGTTCCCTCTGCATTTAGTAGCTGGAATCCTATAAAGGAATCTTCCTCATCGTCTGTTTGATTACCCTGAAATACTATTTTCACAGAAAAGAAGGGAAAATGCCTGTTATCACCTCTAACAGTTTTCAGAACAATGAGTTAGTGCCCTGGCAAGGGCCAGTGACAGGGCAGGAGGGGGTGGAGAGCGTGTTTCCTGGGCTGCCTGGTGAACTCTCACGTCTGTCAATTGCAGGCTTGCTTTTTCATGCCCAACTTGTCTATCTTTGCCCAGAGGCGGCCTCAGGTTGACCTCTGTAGTCCTTTGACACAAGCCTTGGGTCTTGGGCACCTTCCTTACTTACAGCTACCACGATGCTGCAGGCTCCAGCCCCTCCCTGGCATTTCCTGTTGCGGACCCGGCCCAACCATCTCCCCAGGGTGCACTCAGTCGGTGTGAATATGGTGTTTAGAGACCCCAGTCTGGTCACCAGGGGTGGGGCTTGCTCCTGGGATTTCGTTACTGCTAGGGCTTTGGAAGAGACAGAGCCAGGAAATAAGTTTTTTTTTTTTTTTTTTGCCAATTTTAAAAAAATAAAGTATGAGGCTGGGCACGGTGGCTCATGCCTGTAATCCCAGCACTTTGGGAGGCTGAGGCGGGCAGATCACTTGAGCTCAGGAGTTTGAGACCAGCCTGGCCAACATGGTGAAACCCAGTCTCTACTAAAAATACAAAAATCGGCTGGGTGTGATGGCGCACGCCTGTAATCCCAGCTACTTCAGAGGCTAAAGCAGGAGGATCCCTCGAACCCAGGAGTTCAAGACTGCAGTGAGCTATGATTGTGCCACTGCACTCTAGCCTGGGTGACAGAGACCCTGTCTCAAAAAAACAAACAAACAAAAAACCTCTGTGGACTCCGGGTGATAATGACATGTCAATGTGGATTCATCAGGTGTTAACAGCTGTACCCCCTGGTGGGGGATGTTGATAACGGGGGAGACTGGAGTGGGGCGAGGACATACGGGAAATCTCTGTAATCTTCCTCTAATTTTGCTGTGAACCTAAAGCTGCTCTAAAAATGTACATAGATATAAACTGGGGCCTTCCTTTCCCTCTGCCCTGCCCCAGCCCTCCCCCACCTCCTTCCTCTCCCTGCTGCCTCCCCTCTGCCCTCCCCTTTCCTCCTTAGCCACTGTAAATGACACTGCAGCAAAGGTCTGAGGCAAATGCCTTTGCCCTGGGGCGCCCCAGCCACCTGCAGGCCCCTTATTTCCTGTGGCCGAGCTCCTCCTCCCACCCTCCAGTCCTTTCCCCAGCCTCCCTCGCCCACTAGGCCTCCTGAATTGCTGGCACCGGCTGTGGTCGACAGACAGAGGGACAGACGTGGCTCTGCAGGTCCACTCGGTCCCTGGCACCGGCCGCAGGGGTGGCAGAACGGGAGTGTGGTTGGTGTGGGAAGCACAGGCCCCAGTGTCTCCTGGGGGACTGTTGGGTGGGAAGGCTCTGGCTGCCCTCACCCTGTTCCCATCACTGCAGAGGGCTGTGCGGTGGCTGGAGCTGCCACTGAGTGTCTCGGTGAGGGTGACCTCACACTGGCTGAGCTTAAAGGCCCCATCTGAAGACTTTGTTCGTGGTGTTCTTTCACTTCTCAGAGCCTTTCCTGGCTCCAGGATTAATACCTGTTCACAGAAAATACGAGTCGCCTCCTCCTCCACAACCTCACACGACCTTCTCCCTTCCCTCCCACTGGCCTCTTTCCCTCCCCTTCTGTCACTCTGCCTGGGCATGCCCCAGGGCCTCGGCTGGGCCCTTTGTTTCCACAGGGAAACCTACATGGTTGGGCTAGATGCCTCCGCACCCCCCCACCCACACCCCCTGAGCCTCTAGTCCTCCCTCCCAGGACACATCAGGCTGGATGGTGACACTTCCACACCCTTGAGTGGGACTGCCTTGTGCTGCTCTGGGATTCGCACCCAGCTTGGACTACCCGCTCCACGGGCCCCAGGAAAAGCTCGTACAGATAAGGTCAGCCACATGAGTGGAGGGCCTGCAGCATGCTGCCCTTTCTGTCCCAGAAGTCACGTGCTCGGTCCCCTCTGAAGCCCCTTTGGGGACCTAGGGGACAAGCAGGGCATGGAGACATGGAGACAAAGTATGCCCTTTTCTCTGACAGTGACACCAAGCCCTGTGAACAAACCAGAAGGCAGGGCACTGTGCACCCTGCCCGGCCCCACCATCCCCCTTACCACCCGCCACCTTGCCACCTGCCTCTGCTCCCAGGTAAGTGGTAACCTGCACAGGTGCACTGTGGGTTTGGGGAAAACTGGATCTCCCTGCACCTGAGGGGGTAGAGGGGAGGGAGTGCCTGAGAGCTCATGAACAAGCATGTGACCTTGGATCCAGCTCCATAAATACCCGAGGCCCAGGGGGAGGGCCACCCAGAGGCTGATGCTCACCATGGGGCGCCTGCAACTGGTTGTGTTGGGCCTCACCTGCTGCTGGGCAGTGGCGAGTGCCGCGAAGGTAAGAGCCCAGCAGAGGGGCAGGTCCTGCTGCTCTCTCGCTCAATCAGATCTGGAAACTTCGGGCCAGGCTGAGAAAGAGCCCAGCACAGCCCCGCAGCAGATCCCGGGCACTCACGCTCATTTCTATGGGGACAGGTGCCAGGTAGAACACAGGATGCCCAATTCCATTTGAATTTCAGATAAACTGCCAAGAACTGCTGTGTAAGTATGTCCCATGCAATATTTGAAACAAATTTCTATGGGCCGGGCGCAGTGGCTCACACCTGCAATCCCACCAGTTTGGGAGGCCGAGGTGGGTGGATCACTTGAGGTCAGGAGTTGGAGACCAGCCTGGCCAACATGGTGAAACCCCGTCTCTACTAAAAATACAAATATTAATCGGGCGTGGTGGTGGGTGCCTGTAATCCCAGCTACTCGGGAGGCTGAGGCAGGAGAACCGCTTGAAGCTGGGAGGTGGAGATTGCGGTGAGCTGAGATCACGCTACTGCACTCCAGCCTGGGTGACAGGGCGAGACTCTGTCTCAAAAAATAGAAAAAGAAAAAAATGAAACATACTAAAAAACAATTCACTGTTTACCTGAAATTCAAATGTAACTGGGCCTCTTGAATTTACATTTGCTAATCCTGGTGATTCCACCTCTCTGTTGTTCCCATTTTACAGAAGGGGAAACGGGCCCAGGGGCAGGGAGTGTGGAGAGCAGGCAGACGGGTGGAGAGAAGCAGGCAGGCAGTTTGCCCAGCATGGCACAGCTGCTGCCTCCTATTCCTGTGCAGGAAGCTGAAAGCCGAGCTACTCCACACCCGGGTCCGGGTCCCTCCAGAAAGAGAGCCGGCAGGCAGGAGCTCTCTCGAGGCATCCATAAATTCTACCCTCTCTGCCTGTGAAGGAGAAGCCACAGAAACCCCAAGCCCCACAGGAAGCCGGTGTCGGTGCCCGGCCCAGTCCCTGCCCCCAGCAGGAGTCACACAGGGGACCCCAGATCCCAACCACGCTGTTCTGCCGCCTGCGGTGTCTCAGGCCCTGGGGACTCCTGTCTCCACCTCTGCTGCCTGCTCTCCACACTCCCTGGCCCTGGGACCGGGAGGTTTGGGCAGTGGTCCTGGGCTCCTGACTCAAAGGAGAGGTCACCTTCTTCTTGGGCGAGCTCTTCTTGGGGTGCTGAGAGGCCTTCGGCAGGTCATCACGACCCCTCCCCATTTCCCCACCCTGAGGCCCTCTGGCCAGTCTCAATTGCACAGGGATCACGCCACTGGCACAAGGAGACACAGATGCCTCGCAGGGGATGCCCACGATGCCTGCATGTGTTGCTTCTGGTTCCTTTCCTCCAGTTCCAACCGCCGCACTCTCCCACACCAGTGTGACAGGGGGCCCATCACCCTAGACTTCAGAGGGCTGCTGGGACCCTGGCTGGGCCTGGGGGTGTAGGGCCACCCTGCCCTTCCCCACCTGGAACCTGGCACAGGTGACAGCCAGCAAGCAATGACCTGGTCCCACCATGCACCACGGGAAGAGGGAGCTGCTGCCCAAGATGGACAGGAGGTGGCACTGGGGCAGACAGCTGCTTCTCAACAGGGTGACTTCAAGCCCAAAAGCTGCCCAGCCTCAGTTCCGTCAGGGACAGAGGGTGGATGAGCACCAACCTCCAGGCCCCTCGTGGGGGTGGACAGCTTGGTGCACAGAGGCCATTTTCATGGCACAGGGAAGCGTGGCGGGGGTGGGAGGTGTGGTCCCTAGGGGGTTCTTTACCAGCAGGGGGCTCAGGAACTGTGGGGACTTGGGCATGGGGCCATCGACTTTGTGCCCAGCCAGCTAGGCCCTGTGCAGGGAGATGGGAGGAGGGAAAAGCAGGCCCCACCCCTCAGAAAGGAGGAAGGTTGGTGTGAAACATCCCGGGTACACTGAGCATTGGGTACACTCCTCCCGGGAGCTGGACAGGCCTCCCATGTGATGGCAAACAGGCCGACAGGAGACACGGCTGTTGCTCGTCTTCCACATGGGGAAACTGAGGATCGGAGTCAAAGCTGGGCGGCCATAGCCAGAACCCAAACCTCCATCCCACCTCTTGGCCGGCTTCCCTAGTGGGAACACTGGTTGAACCAGTTTCCTCTAAGATTCTGGGAGCAGGACACCCCCAGGGATAAGGAGAGGAACAGGAATCCTAAAGCCCTGAGCATTGCAGGGCAGGGGGTGCTGCCTGGGTCTCCTGTGCAGAGCTGTCCTGCTTTGAAGCTGTCTTTGCCTCTGGGCACGCGGAGTCGGCTTGCCTTGCCCCCTCCGGATTCAGGCCGATGGGGCTTGAGCCCCCCTGACCCTGCCCGTGTCTCCCTCGCAGCTGGGCGCCGTGTACACAGAAGGTGGGTTCGTGGAAGGCGTCAATAAGAAGCTCGGCCTCCTGGGTGACTCTGTGGACATCTTCAAGGGCATCCCCTTCGCAGCTCCCACCAAGGCCCTGGAAAATCCTCAGCCACATCCTGGCTGGCAAGGTGGGAGTGGGTGGTGCCGGACTGGCCCTGCGGCGGGGCGGGTGAGGGCGGCTGCCTTCCTCATGCCAACTCCTGCCACCTGCAGGGACCCTGAAGGCCAAGAACTTCAAGAAGAGATGCCTGCAGGCCACCATCACCCAGGACAGCACCTACGGGGATGAAGACTGCCTGTACCTCAACATTTGGGTGCCCCAGGGCAGGAAGCAAGGTCTGCCTCCCCTCTACTCCCCAAGGGACCCTCCCATGCAGCCACTGCCCCGGGTCTACTCCTGGCTTGAGTCTGGGGGCTGCAAAGCTGAACTTCCATGAAATCCCACAGAGGCGGGGAGGGGAGCGCCCACTGCCGTTGCCCAGCCTGGGGCAGGGCAGCGCCTTGGAGCACCTCCCTGTCTTGGCCCCAGGCACCTGCTGCACAGGGACAGGGGACCGGCTGGAGACAGGGCCAGGCGGGGCGTCTGGGGTCACCAGCCGCTCCCCCATCTCAGTCTCCCGGGACCTGCCCGTTATGATCTGGATCTATGGAGGCGCCTTCCTCATGGGGTCCGGCCATGGGGCCAACTTCCTCAACAACTACCTGTATGACGGCGAGGAGATCGCCACACGCGGAAACGTCATCGTGGTCACCTTCAACTACCGTGTCGGCCCCCTTGGGTTCCTCAGCACTGGGGACGCCAATCTGCCAGGTGCGTGGGTGCCTTCGGCCCTGAGGTGGGGCGACCAGCATGCTGAGCCCAGCAGGGAGATTTTCCTCAGCACCCCTCACCCCAAACAACCAGTGGCGGTTCACAGAAAGACCCGGAAGCTGGAGTAGAATCATGAGATGCAGGAGGCCCTTGGTAGCTGTAGTAAAATAAAAGATGCTGCAGAGGCCGGGAGAGATGGCTCACGCCTGTAATCCCAGCACTTTAGGAGGCCCACACAGGTGGGTCACTTGAGCGCAGAAGTTCAAGACCAGCCTGAAAATCACTGGGAGACCCCCATCTCTACACAAAAATTAAAAATTAGCTGGGGA
Source organism: Homo sapiens (assembly GCF_000001405.40). Taxonomy (NCBI): domain Eukaryota; kingdom Metazoa; phylum Chordata; class Mammalia; order Primates; family Hominidae; genus Homo; species Homo sapiens. The sequence goes on from NC_000009.12 coordinate 133,065,567, forward strand.
CTGGGCGCGGCGGCTCACCCCTGTAATCCCAGCACGTTGGGAGCCCAAGGTGGGTAGATCACCTGAGGTCAGGAGTTTGAGACCAGCCTGACTAAAATGGAGAAACCTCTTCTCTACTAAAAATACAAAATTAGCCAGGCGTGGTGGCGCTTGCCTGTAATCCCAGCTACTCGGGAGGCTGAGGCAGGAGAATCGCTTGAACTCAGGAGGCGGAGGTTGCGGTGAGCCGAGATCATGCCACTGCACTCCAGCCTGGAGAACAAGAGTAAAACTCTGTCTCAAAAAAAAAAAAAAAAAAAAAAATAGCCAGGCGTGGTATCTCATGCCTCTGTCCTCAGCTACCTGGGAGGCAGAGGTGGAAGGATCGCTTGAGCCCAGGGGTTCAAAGCTGCAGTGAGCCGTGGTCGTGCCACTGCACTCCAGCCTGGGCGACAGAGTGAGGCCCCATCTCAAAAATAAGAGGCTGTGGGACAGACAGACAGGCAGACAGGCTGAGGCTCAGAGAGAAACCAGGAGAGCAGAGCTGAGTGAGAGACAGAGAACAATACCTTGAGGCAGAGACAGCTGTGGACACAGAAGTGGCAGGACACAGACAGGAGGGACTGGGGCAGGGGCAGGAGAGGTGCATGGGCCTGACCATCCTGCCCCCGACAAACACCACCCCCTCCAGCACCACACCAACCCAACCTCCTGGGGACCCACCCCATACAGCACCGCACCCGACTCAGCCTCCTGGGGACCCACCCACTCCAGCAACCAACGTGACCTAGTCTCCTGGGGACCCACCCCCTCCAGCACCCTACCCGACCCAGCTTCTTAGGGACCCACCATTTGCCAACTGGGGCTCTGCCATGGCCCCAACTCTGTTGAGGGCATTTCCACCCCACCTATGCTGATCTCCCCTCCTGGAGGCCAGGCCTGGGCCACTGGTCTCTAGCACCCCCTCCCCTGCCCTGCCCCCAGGTAACTATGGCCTTCGGGATCAGCACATGGCCATTGCTTGGGTGAAGAGGAATATCGCGGCCTTCGGGGGGGACCCCAACAACATCACGCTCTTCGGGGAGTCTGCTGGAGGTGCCAGCGTCTCTCTGCAGGTCTCGGGATCCCTGTGGGGAGGGCCTGCCCCACAGGTTGAGAGGAAGCTCAAACGGGAAGGGGAGGGTGGGAGGAGGAGCGTGGAGCTGGGGCTGTGGTGCTGGGGTGTCCTTGTCCCAGCGTGGGGTGGGCAGAGTGGGGAGCGGCCTTGGTGACGGGATTTCTGGGTCCCGTAGACCCTCTCCCCCTACAACAAGGGCCTCATCCGGCGAGCCATCAGCCAGAGCGGCGTGGCCCTGAGTCCCTGGGTCATCCAGAAAAACCCACTCTTCTGGGCCAAAAAGGTAAACGGAGGAGGGCAGGGCTGGGCGGGGTGGGGGCTGTCCACATTTCCGTTCTTTATCCTGGACCCCATCCTTGCCTTCAAATGGTTCTGAGCCCTGAGCTCCGGCCTCACCTACCTGCTGGCCTTGGTTCTGCCCCCAGGTGGCTGAGAAGGTGGGTTGCCCTGTGGGTGATGCCGCCAGGATGGCCCAGTGTCTGAAGGTTACTGATCCCCGAGCCCTGACGCTGGCCTATAAGGTGCCGCTGGCAGGCCTGGAGTGTGAGTAGCTGCTCGGGTTGGCCCATGGGGTCTCGAGGTGGGGGTTGAGGGGGGTACTGCCAGGGAGTACTCCGGAGGAGAGAGGAAGGTGCCAGAGCTGCGGTCTTGTCCTGTCACCAACTAGCTGGTGTCTCCCCTCGAAGGCCCCAGCTGTAAGGGAGAGGGGGTGCCGTTTCTTCTTTTTTTTTGAGATGGAGTCTCACTGTTGCCCAGGCTGGAGTGCAGTGTCACGATCTCAGCTCACTGCAACCTCCACCTCCTGGGTTCAAGTGATTCTCTGACTCAACCTCCCATGTAGCTGGGACTACAGGCACATGCCACCATGCCCAGATAATTTTTCTGTGTGTTTAGTAGGGATGGAGTTTCATCGTGTTAGCTAGGATGATCTCGGTCTTGGGACCTCATGATCTGCCCACCTCGGCCTCCCAAAGTGCTGGAATTACAGGCGTGAGCCACTGTGCCCGGCCCCTTCTTTATTCTTATCTCCCATGAGTTACAGACTCCCCTTTGAGAAGCTGATGAACATTTGGGGCCCCCTCCCCCACCTCATGCATTCATATGCAGTCATTTGCATATAATTTTAGGGAGACTCATAGACCTCAGACCAAGAGCCTTTGTGCTAGATGACCGTTCATTCATTCGTTCATTCATTCAGCAAACATTTACTGAACCGTAGCACTGGGGCCCAGCCTCCAGCTCCACTATTCTGTACCCCGGGAAGGCCTGGGGACCCATTCCACAAACACCTCTGCATGTCAGCCTTACCAGCTTGCTACGCTAAGGCTGTCCCTCACTCATTCTTCTATGGCAACATGCCATGAAGCCAAGTCATCTGCACGTTTACCTGACATGAGCTCAACTGCACGGGCTGGACAAGCCCAAACAAAGCAACCCCCACGGCCCCGCTAGAAGCAAAACCTGCTGTGCTGGGCCCAGTGACAGCCAGGCCCCGCCTGCCTCAGCAGCCACTGGGTCCTCTAGGGGCCCGTCCAGGGGTCTGGAGTACAATGCAGACCTCCCACCATTTTTGGCTGATGGACTGGAACCCAGCCCTGAGAGAGGGAGCTCCTTCTCCATCAGTTCCCTCAGTGGCTTCTAAGTTTCCTCCTTCCTGCTTCAGGCCCAGCAAAGAGAGAGAGGAGAGGGAGGGGCTGCCGCTGAAGAGGACAGATCTGGCCCTAGACAGTGACTCTCAGCCTGGGGACGTGTGGCAGGGCCTGGAGACATCTGTGATTGTCACAGCTGGGGAGGGGGTGCTCCTGGCACCTCGTGGGTCGAGGCCGGGGATGCTCTAAACATCCTACAGGGCACAGGATGCCCCTGATGGTGCAGAATCAACCCTGCCCCAAGTGTCCATAGATCAGAGAAGGGAGGACATAGCCAATTCCAGCCCTGAGAGGCAAGGGGCGGCTCAGGGGAAACTGGGAGGTACAAGAACCTGCTAACCTGCTGGCTCTCCCACCCAGACCCCATGCTGCACTATGTGGGCTTCGTCCCTGTCATTGATGGAGACTTCATCCCCGCTGACCCGATCAACCTGTACGCCAACGCCGCCGACATCGACTATATAGCAGGCACCAACAACATGGACGGCCACATCTTCGCCAGCATCGACATGCCTGCCATCAACAAGGGCAACAAGAAAGTCACGGAGTAAGCAGGGGGCACAGGACTCAGGGGCGACCCGTGCGGGAGGGCCGCCGGGAAAGCACTGGCGAGGGGGCCAGCCTGGAGGAGGAAGGCATTGAGTGGAGGACTGGGAGTGAGGAAGTTAGCACCGGTCGGGGTGAGTATGCACACACCTTCCTGTTGGCACAGGCTGAGTGTCAGTGCCTACTTGATTCCCCCAGGGAGGACTTCTACAAGCTGGTCAGTGAGTTCACAATCACCAAGGGGCTCAGAGGCGCCAAGACGACCTTTGATGTCTACACCGAGTCCTGGGCCCAGGACCCATCCCAGGAGAATAAGAAGAAGACTGTGGTGGACTTTGAGACCGATGTCCTCTTCCTGGTGCCCACCGAGATTGCCCTAGCCCAGCACAGAGCCAATGCCAAGTGAGGATCTGGGCAGCGGGTGGCTCCTGGGGGCCTTCCTGGGGTGCTGCACCTTCCAGCCGAGGCCTCGCTGTGGGTGGCTCTCAGGTGTCTGGGTTGTCTGGGAAAGTGGTGCTTGAGTCCCCACCTGTGCCTGCCTGATCCACTTTGCTGAGGCCTGGCAAGACTTGAGGGCCTCTTTTTACCTCCCAGCCTACAGGGCTTTACAAACCCTATGATCCTCTGCCCTGCTCAGCCCTGCACCCCATGGTCCTTCCCACTGGAGAGTTCTTGAGCTACCTTCCATCCCCCATGCTGTGTGCACTGAGAGAACACTGGACAATAGTTTCTATCCACTGACTCTTATGGGCCTCAACTTTGCCCATAATTTCAGCCCACCACCACATTAAAAATCTTCATGTAATAATAGCCAATTATAATAAAAAATAAGGCCAGACACAGTAGCTCATGCCTGTAATCCCAGCACATTGGGAGGTCAAGGTGGGAGGATCACTTGAGGTCAGGAGTCTGAGACTAGTCTGGCCAACATGGCAAAACCCCATCTCTACTAAAAATACAAAAATTATCCAGGCATGGTGGTGCATGCCTATAATCCTAGCTACTCAGGAGGCTGAGGTAGCAGAATTGATTGACCCAGGGAGGTGGAGGTTGCAGTGAGCCGAGATTACGCCACTGCACTCCAGCAGGGGCAACAGAGTGAGACTGTGTCTCGAATAAATAAGTAAATAAATAATAAAAATAAAAAATAAGTTAGGAATACGAAAAAGATAGGAAGATAAAAGTATACCTAGAAGTCTAGGATGAAAGCTTTGCAGCAACTAAGCAGTACATTTAGCTGTGAGCCTCCTTTCAGTCAAGGCAAAAAGGGAAACAGTTGAGGGCCTATACCTTGTCCAATCTAATTGAAGAATGCACATTCACTTGGAGAGCAAAATATTTCTTGATACTGAATTCTAGAAGGAAGGTGCCTCACAATGTTTTGTGGAGGTGAAGTATAAATTCAGCTGAAATTGTGGAACCCATGAATCCATGAATTTGGTTCTCAGCTTTCCCTTCCCTGGGTGTAAGAAGCCCCATCTCTTCATGTGAATTCCCCAGACACTTCCCTGCCCACTGCCCGGGACCTCCCTCCAAGTCCGGTCTCTGGGCTGATCGGTCCCCAGTGAGCACCCTGCCTACTTGGGTGGTCTCTCCCCTCCAGGAGTGCCAAGACCTACGCCTACCTGTTTTCCCATCCCTCTCGGATGCCCGTCTACCCCAAATGGGTGGGGGCCGACCATGCAGATGACATTCAGTACGTTTTCGGGAAGCCCTTCGCCACCCCCACGGGCTACCGGCCCCAAGACAGGACAGTCTCTAAGGCCATGATCGCCTACTGGACCAACTTTGCCAAAACAGGGTAAGACGTGGGTTGAGTGCAGGGCGGAGGGCCACAGCCGAGAAGGGCCTCCCACCACGAGGCCTTGTTCCCTCATTTGCCAGTGGAGGGACTTTGGGCAAGTCACTTAACCTCCCCCTGCATCGGAATCCATGTGTGTTTGAGGATGAGAGTTACTGGCAGAGCCCCAAGCCCATGCACGTGCACAGCCAGTGCCCAGTATGCAGTGAGGGGCATGGTGCCCAGGGCCAGCTCAGAGGGCGGGGATGGCTCAGGCGTGCAGGTGGAGAGCAGGGCTTCAGCCCCCTGGGAGTCCCCAGCCCCTGCACAGCCTCTTCTCACTCTGCAGGGACCCCAACATGGGCGACTCGGCTGTGCCCACACACTGGGAACCCTACACTACGGAAAACAGCGGCTACCTGGAGATCACCAAGAAGATGGGCAGCAGCTCCATGAAGCGGAGCCTGAGAACCAACTTCCTGCGCTACTGGACCCTCACCTATCTGGCGCTGCCCACAGTGACCGACCAGGAGGCCACCCCTGTGCCCCCCACAGGGGACTCCGAGGCCACTCCCGTGCCCCCCACGGGTGACTCCGAGACCGCCCCCGTGCCGCCCACGGGTGACTCCGGGGCCCCCCCCGTGCCGCCCACGGGTGACTCCGGGGCCCCCCCCGTGCCGCCCACGGGTGACTCCGGGGCCCCCCCCGTGCCGCCCACGGGTGACTCCGGGGCCCCCCCCGTGCCGCCCACGGGTGACTCCGGGGCCCCCCCCGTGCCGCCCACGGGTGACTCCGGGGCCCCCCCCGTGCCGCCCACGGGTGACTCCGGGGCCCCCCCCGTGCCGCCCACGGGTGACTCCGGCGCCCCCCCCGTGCCGCCCACGGGTGACGCCGGGCCCCCCCCCGTGCCGCCCACGGGTGACTCCGGCGCCCCCCCCGTGCCGCCCACGGGTGACTCCGGGGCCCCCCCCGTGACCCCCACGGGTGACTCCGAGACCGCCCCCGTGCCGCCCACGGGTGACTCCGGGGCCCCCCCTGTGCCCCCCACGGGTGACTCTGAGGCTGCCCCTGTGCCCCCCACAGATGACTCCAAGGAAGCTCAGATGCCTGCAGTCATTAGGTTTTAGCGTCCCATGAGCCTTGGTATCAAGAGGCCACAAGAGTGGGACCCCAGGGGCTCCCCTCCCATCTTGAGCTCTTCCTGAATAAAGCCTCATACCCCTGTCGGTGTCTTTCTTTGCTCCCAAGGCTAAGCTGCAGGATCTGCCTGGCAATTGCAGGCTTGCTTTTTCATGCCCAGCTCATCTTATCTTTGGCCAGAGGCGGCCTCAGGTTGACCTCTGTAGTCCTTTGACTCAACCCTTGGGTCTTGGGCACCTTCCTTACTTGCAGCCACCATGATGGTGCAGGCTCCAGCCCCTCCCTGGCATTTCCTGCCATGGACCCGGCCCAACCATCTCCGCAGGGTGCACTCCTTCGTCGGTGTGAATATGGTGTTTAGAGACCCCAATCTGGTCACCAGGGGTGGTGCTTGCTCCTGGGATTTCGTTACTGCTAGGGCTTTGGAAGAGACAGAGCCAGGAAATAAGTATTTTTTTTTAACCAGTAAAAAAAAAAAAAAGTATGAGGCCGGGCACAGTGGCTCACACCTGTAGTCCCAGCACTTTGGGAGGCTGAGGCAGGAGGATCACTTGAGGTCAGGAGTTGGAGACTAGCCTGGCCAACATGGTGAAACCCCATCTGTACTAAAAATACAAAAAATTAGCCAGGTGTGGTAGTGCGCACCTGAGGTCCCAGCTGAGGCAGGAGAATCACTTGAGCTCGGGAGGTAGAGGCTGCAGTGAGCCGAGATCGCACCACTGCACTTGAGCCTGGGCAACAGAGCAAGGCACCATCTCAAATAATAATAAAAGTATGAATTCATACAGGTATTTCCCAGTTGTAAGACTGTCAGGTTTTACTTCTCTCATTTTACACTTGTTTCTTTCTCCGCCTATGCTGAAAGTCTGGGTTCGACAGCACCAACATAATTGTTTATGTTCTTTTTCCTATAACATACATATGCTAGTTTTGAAATATAAGATATAGGCCGGGTGCAGTGGCTCACGCCTGTAATCCCAGCGCTTTGGGAGGCCAAGGCAGGCGGATCACGAGGTCAGGAGATCGAGACCATCCTGGCTAACACGATGAAACCCCGTCTCTACTAAAAAAATACAAAAAAAGTTAGCCAGGCACGGTGGCGGGCACCTGTAGTCCCAGCTACTCGGGAGGCTGAGGCAGGAGAATGGTGGGAACCTGGGAGGCAGAGCTTGCAGTGAGCTGAGATCACGCCACTGCACTCCAGGCTGGGCGACAGAGCGAGACTCCGTCTCAAAAAAAAAAAAAGAAATATAAGATATTGCAATAAATCATATGAGTTACATTTAAAGTACATGAATTTAAATAAATTATAAATTATATAAAGTAATATATGATAAAATATTAAGACTACTAAGGATCATTTAAGATCGTTTTGCTCATTCTCCTTAAATTATCCCACAGAATAAACAATTGTGCCTCTAGGTCCCTTAAGTAACTCTGTGGTTACTTAATTGGTAGATTAAGCCATCTACCGATACACAGTTAGAAGTTTGGGGTTTTTTTAATCATGCAGATGTAGACACTGACCAAAGACTTCTTGTTTTTTCCTTTGAGACTGAGTTTCGCTCTTATCACCCAGGCTAGGGTGCAATGGCATGATCTTAGCTCACTGCAACCTCTGCCTCCTGGGTTCAAGCTATTCTCCTGCCTCAGGTTCCTGAGTAGCTGGGCCTACAGGCGTGCGCCACTACGTTCGGCTGATTTTTTTTGACTTTTAGTAGAGACAGAGTTTCACCATTTTGGCCAGGCTGATCTTGAACTCTTGACCTCAGGTGATCTGCCCGCCTCAGCCTCCCAATGTGCTGGGATTACAGGCATGAGCCACTGTGCTCAGCCCCTACCTAGGACTTTTAAGCGGATGTTTCTCTGCCTGAAAACAAAGTTTAAGTGTTCCTTTTAGAGCAACCTGTAAACAGTAACTGTAGACCCTGATATTTATTGTGCCATGAACTTCTCATCCATAGTTTTGCTGAGTGAAGGTATTGATGGGAAATGTGAAATTCAGAGAGGCAGGCACGGGCCCAGGCCACACAGCTGGGGAGCGGCAGCATTGGTTGGGACCTGTGTTGGATTTGCAATTCTGCCTTGTGTGATGTAACCTGGACTTCATTAAAATTAAAAATTTCTGCTCTGCAAAGACACTGTTAGGAAAACAAAGACAAGCCACAGACTGGGAAAACATTAGCAAAAGACATCCGATAAAGCACTGTTATCCAAAAATATACAAAGAGCTTTTAACACTCAATAAATAAAAAAAAAACCTGATTCCACAATGGGTCAAAGGCAGACACCTCACCAGAGAAGCTATACAGGTGGCAAATAAGCATCTGAAAAGTTAACCTAGGTTGGGTGCAGTGGCTCACACCTGGAATCCCATCACATGCGGCGGCCAAGGCAGGAGGATCTCTTGAGGCTAGTTAATTCAAGACCAGCCTGGACAGCAGAGTAAGACCCCATCTGTATTTTTTTCAAAAAGATATCCACATCATATGTTGTCAGGAAAACGCAAATTTAAACAGTGAGCTACCACTGCATACCTGTAAGAATGGCCAAAATCCAGAAAATTGGCCAAACACCAAATGCTGATGAGGACGTGGAGCAACCAGAACTCTCATTCAGTGCTGTTGGGAATAACAAACGGTACAGCCACTTTGGAAGACAGTTTGGCAGTTTCCCAAAACATAATGCCTATTTCTTCCATGTGATCCAGCACTCTGATTCCTTAAGATTTACTCAACCTGCAAACAGATGTTTATAGCTGTAAACCAAAGATAAAACTCCAAGCCCGGCAGCTGACTGAATGGAACGCCCTCTTGGCCAGGGAAACCCAAAGGGACCTGAAGGTTCAGGCCATGATGGGCAGTAGGGGTCGGACATGCCTCATCATACTCTCTTCCCTTTGGAATTCAGGCACAGCTGACCAGCTTTAAAACAGAGATCTTAAGACTGACAGAACAGACTCTGTAGAAATAAGATATAAAATTCCAACCTGACTGAAGTATAGCATCACATGACAGATAGCAGGTCATGAAACAAATTGAAATATTTTACCCCAAAATGTATTTCTTTGACGTATTTTGGAATGGCCCTGCACAGCTGTCTCTTGTGGAGGAAATTTGCATTCTGTAGAGAATCTCCTTCCCTTACCAGGTCATTTCTGAAGAGTCCAGCACCCTTTAGAGGTCTGAGAGGAAACATTTGCCATCTATTGTCTCTAAGGGAAGCCATCTATGAGATTTCATCTACATAACAAAAATCTTGGACCAGGCACGGTGGCTCATGCCTGCAATCCCAGCACTTTGGGAGGCCGAGGTGGGCAGATCACCTGAGGTCGGGAGTTTGAGACCAGCCTGACGAACATGGAGAAACCCAAACTCTACTAAAAATACAAAAATTTAGCTGGGCGTGGTGGCGCATGCCTGTAATCCCAGCTATTCAGAGGGTGGAGGTAGGAGAATTGCTTGAACCTGGGAGGTGGAGATTGCAGTGAGCAGAGATCATGCCATTGCACTCCAGCCTGAGCAACAAGAGTGAAACTCTGTCTCAAAAAAAAAAAAAAAAAAAAGAAAGAGAAAGAGAGAAAGAAAAGAAAAGAAAGAAAGAAAGAGAACCTTGGTCTTCACAACTTTTTAACTTAACCAAGATCCTCCTTTGTATTGATTCCAGGGTTTTTGATAATAACTCTTTCAACCAATTGCTAATTAGAAAATCTTTGAATTCACCTGTGATTTTTAAGCCATCCCAAACCCTCTCACATTACTGATTTATGTCTTATGTCCCCCTGAAATGTATAAAACCAAGCTGTAACTCAACTGCCTGGGGCACATGTTCTCAGGAACTCTTGACACCATGCCTCTGGTTACAGTCAATCATATTTGGCTCAGGATAAATCTCGTCAAATATTTTACAGTTTGGGTTTTTTGGTCAACATAGCAGATGTTTATAGTAGCTTTATCCATCATTGCCACAACCTGGAGGTAACCAAGAAGTCCTTCAGCAGGTGAATGGATACAATACATCCAGACAATGGAATCTTTTTCAGGTCTAATGTTGCGGGACGCAGAGGACTAGAGAGACCAGTACAGGTGAATACAGGAGGATATTTATTTTAAGGTATGCACCAGCTCAGTGGATTCACATCCAAAAAGGTGAGCCTTGAACAAAGACAGAGTGGGGTTTTTATAAGCAGGCTTACAAAAGAAAAACAAAGGCAGTCAATCATAGAGTGTATAACTTGTGGTCTTGCCTAGCTGGTGGCCTTGTAGCTGTGTCAAAAGAAAAACAAGAACTGGCTAAATACAAATATTTGCAAGACATAGTCATGCTTAAGAGGCCAGGGAAAGGAGTAACAGTAAAGGAATTTGTCTTTCTCTCTTTTTTTCCTCAGCCTTGCTCTGGAGGTGGGGGGCTGTCTGGAGCTCATTCCTTTGGCCTTGGCTTTTTGGACAGCGTTATCTTATAACTGTCCTCGAAGTGAGCTGCTAAGCAGAGGAAAACTTGTTTCTTTTTCTTTTTAACCCTCACTACATTTTTCCCCACTTCAAGTCCTTTTATAAAAGAAGTTTAATAGAAGGCCTCACTATTACTTAATTCTGCGTCAAGAGACAAGTTTTCTTCTTTGGGCAAAGGTTGATATTTATGCAGAGCCGTCAGCTGAGTGGTAGTTTGCCTAGCTACTATTGCCTCTATAGCTGATTGAATGCTTCTAGCAAGGAGAGGTAAGAGACAAAGGAGTATTAGGCAACTTCCTAGTACAGCCAGAACTACTGCTATTAAAGTCTTGAACCCTCTGAAAAATGAAAACCAGTCTCCAAAGAGAGAATCTGGAGACCACCCTTTCCAAGTTTGAACTGGAACATGGGCGAATTTTCTCATTCTTGCAGTTATTCCTATAATTGCCTTTCCATTGTCATCAATTTCCAGGCAGCAATTAGTTCGATTGAACTTTCCACATCCTCCTCCTTCCTGGGCGAGGAGGCAGTCTAAAGCTAATCTATTTTGATAGATAGCATTCCTCATTTTTGTAGATTGCTGGGCTAATAGATCTAAAGCCCTTGCTGTTTAATTAGTGATGATCTCAAGCACTATCTATAACCTCATGATGCAGTTAAGCATGTAAATAGGAGACCAGTAACCCCATGAGCCATCGTCCCCCACCAGGTAGCTGGCCCATAGTAGTGAATTATTCTCTCAGGGGGCCATTCATCATCTTTCCAGTCCCCTATGGCTGTGTCTTTCTTTACGCTCCTTCTATATCTTTCTCTCTTCTCATCATAGACAGGATACTCTAAGGCTTCTCCTTGTCTTAGAGGGATTAAGAAGAAAGACGGCCTAATTGTTCCAAGTACACAGGCCCCTGTCCATTTGGCTGGTAGCTGTCGGTAGGCCCGTGGCCCACAGATCCGATAGAGACCAGAGGGTGCTTGCCAGGTATTTGGAGCTTCAAGCTGATACCAGGTGTGGTTTAGAGCAGAGAAACGGGAGAATGGATTTGGATGAGGTGGTTTGGGACTATCTTTGCCGCGCCATAAAGTTTTTCCTAATTTTTTAACATGTTTCTGTTCCAAACATGTTAATTCCCCTACTGGGTCTGTAGAAGTTTTTCCCTAGCAAGCAATACAGTATTTCCCGATAATAGAAGTTTTTAAGAGCCAGACGCTTGAACTTGTGGGAGTCAGTTTGCAGGAAGGGTCAGTCAGAGTAAAGTTATTTTGAGGCATTAACTCTTTTGCTTCCCAAGGCCATTGGTCTCCCATGTTTGTCCCTCCACAAACATAACATGAGGAGATGCCTAGGCTGCCAGCAATGTTTTCAGCCATCTGAGCAAATAGGTTTTTGGCTAAAGGGGGAGGCTCGGCAACTTTTGATTTATGTGCTCATAGAATGACTTAAAGACTCGGAATTGCTGCTGGGATGACTTCTTGGTTTGAGTCCTCTTTATGATATATAAATTTACTTTAGCTTTTTGACTGCTGCTTTGTAATGCCATGGAGTAACCTGTAGTCCATATAGGTAGATCCGGCTCTAAGATAGTAAGATTTACAGGATTGCAAGTGCTTGTCTTACAGTCCGGTTTTGCTGGCGCTTTGATGAGCAAGATTGGCTTTAGCCTCAGTGATGATCGGTCAGTGAACTGTGTTGTGCGGTTCCAGCAAGCTATTGCTAGGGCCTTGGAGGGGCAAACAGGGTATGCACATACAATTTTGTACTGGCAGTTTGTACAGTACCCTGTAGGACCAGAGATTGTGAGATAGGTTGGGTTCACGGATGTTAACTGACAAATATCAAAGTATATGGCTATAGCCCCCCCTGGGGGGTAGAGGCTTGGCTTTGATTTATAAGACTTCCTTTCTTTGACTCAGTATGAACCTCAAACCAAGTCCTAGGTAAAGACTTAGAAGGTCATAGCATATATAAGGCTGGCCATTTCCTGGGTCACAAATTGAATAGGTGATCCGATTGTAAGTACAAGTTCCTAGGTGAGTCCCTGTACACTCCTAATAAGTATAGAATAATAGAGTCCTAGTTATACTGTTTCCTGACCCTGTAGTGTGTGTACAATGGGGACACTTTCTAAGGGTACTTATTTTAACATGGTCAAGGGGGGTGATAACAGCAAAACAATGTACAGCGTATTCATATCCAGCAAGGACAGAAGAGGGCCTTGCCTGGGGGAGGAGATTGAGCACAGCAACGGAACAATAGTAAAACAGTTAGTATTATAAGGAAGACTACTAGTCCTAAGATTTCTAACCACATTTACTTGCTTGACGAGTCCTCAAGCTTCGGCCGTGCGTAGACTAGTCAGCTTCGGGTGTGTGACTAGAGCGGGGCTTGTCTCCTTAAGCTTCAGCCGTGCGTTGACTGGTCAGCCTCACGAGTGACCAGAGCAGGGTGATCGTCCTCAGCAGCAGCTTGTTGTCTTCTCAGGATCAGCTGGGTTGGATGATCTGTGTCCTGCTGGCTGGTCCACTCGTCCTGAGCTGCCGGTTTCAGCCGACTGTGGTGGATCCAAGACATAACACCTGCAACTTTAACAGCAACGGGAGTGGACAAGATGACAGTACAGGGCCCACCCCATATGGGTCCTAGAGAAGTTGGATTCCACTTTTTAACCCAAACAGAGTCTCCAGATTTAAAGGGGCACACTGGTCTATCAGGCTTACAGGCATCCTTTCTTGTACCCAGCCATGGACCTCTTGCATGGCTATTCCTAAAGCCTGCATTTGCTTTCTTAAGGTTAATTCCTCTAGTTCCTGGAGATCACCTTTAATTTGACCTATGATTTGGGGTTGGCCAACTGAACAAAACCTCATAGGGTAAATACTCAGTTTGTTTGGTGGGGGTGCACCTGTCTCGGAGGAGGACCATAGGCAAAACCTGAACTTATCTCAGATGAGCTTCCTGGCAATATTTCTTCAGTAGCTGCTTGAGTGTCCACTTCATGCGTTCCACTTTTCCTCAACTATGCAGCCAATAGGCTGTGTGTAACTTCCATTTTATTTTTAACAGTCTTGTTAAATCTCGTACTATTTCAGCTACAAATGCCGGCCCATTGTCTGACTGTAAAGATAGAGGCAGTCCAAACCTGGGGATAATATCTTTTAACAGTACTTTAGTCATTTGTCGTGCTTTTTCTGTCCTGGTGGGGAAAGCTTCAACCTATCCTGAAAAAGATGCAAATAAACACTAGAATATACCGATAGCTTCTGGCACGGGGCATTTCGTTTAAGTCTATAAGGAAGTTTTCACAAGGCATGGCTCCTTCTCCTGTTCTGTTTCCCAGAGGAGGGGTTCCTTTTCTCCTCTTTTTGTAACTTCATATAATAGCTCAGCCATCAGCGAGAAATCTGGAATCCAGATACGGCAGAATCCTGCTGCCTTCAACTTCTAATGTGACCACAGACTCCTGGAGGCCCAGTGAGAAGGAGCCCGGTCTGTCCTAGTCCTCACATCCTTCAGCTCCTGCCAGCCCAATCAGATTAGTATCTGGTTCCTCTAAGGTATGGCAGCCCTTGGCCAATGGCCTCTTTGTCTCACGGCCTTGGCCATTTCCCTCATTGCCTTCTGGACATTCATCCTTCCAGTGCCCCCTTTTTTTTTTTTTTTTTTTTTTTTTTTTGCATCTCTCACATTGATCCCTCTCTAGCCTTGGTCAGCTCTTAAATCCTTGTCTAACTTGACCTCTTCCACGTCCACATCTGCGTCCACATCCTCTCACATGGCTAATTTCTCTTTCTATAAGGGCTGCTGCCAACAGATCCGCCTTTTTCTTAAGCCTTTCATCTGCTTCCTTTTCCCTTCCTTAGTTCTCCTGCTCCTGCAGTCGGCTGGCAGGGCTGGGCAAGGACAAACCTGAATATAAAATTCAGTGTGTCTGCTGCCCACCAGTCCTTTATGCTTGGAGAAGAGAGAGATGTTTCTCTTTTTCCTCTCTTCTATCTATTAAACCTCCGCTCCTAAAGTCCTCGTGTTTGTCCCTGTCCTAAATTTTCCTGGTGCATGACGACAAACCCCGGGTATGTAGACCAGACAATGTAGCCGCTTCAAGGGATTTGAGTGAGGAAGGAATGAATCAATGGAGCCCAGGGGGGTTTTAGAGCATTCAAACTATTCAGGATGATACTATGGGGACCAAGGGAGAGCTTTCCCCTTCTCCCTCTGAAGGACCACTGAAAAATCACTGACAGATTGTCTCATAGGAGAAAAGCATACATATTTGTTTAATGCGTATACACGGGAGCCTTTGAAATGGAGACCCAACTTCTCAACAGAGTACAGAGCTTAGATACCATCTTGAGGTTCCACAAAGAATGTGGGCTCAGAGCATGGCCAAAACTAGGTTAGGGGCTGGGCGCAGTGGCTCACAACTGTCATCCCAGCACTTTGGGAGGCTGAGGCGGGCAGATCACTTGAGCTCAGGAGTTCGAGACCAGCCTGGCCAACATGGCGAAACTCCCTCTCTACTAAAAATACAAAAATTAGCCGGGTGTGATGGCGGGCGCCTGTAATCCCAGCTACTTGAGAGGCTAAAGCAGGAGGATCCCTTGAGCCCAGGAGTTCAAGACTGCAGTGAGCTGTTATTGTGCCACTGCCCTCTAGCCTGGGTGATAGTGAGACCCTGTCTCAAAACAAACAAAAAAACCCCTAAATCTGTGGACTCTGGGTGATTATGACATGTCAATGTAGGTTCATAAAGTATAACAGCTGTACCCCCTGGTGGGGGATGTTGATAATGGGGGAGACTGGGTTGGGGCGAGGACATACGGGAAATCTCTGTAACCTTCTTCTAATTTTGCTGTGAACCTAAATCTGCTCTAAAAATGTATATATATAAAAAGTGGGGCCTTCCTTTCCCTCTCCCCTGCCCCAGCCCTCTCCCCCACCTCCTTCCTCTCCCTGCTGCCTCCCCTCTGCCCTCCCCTTTCCTCCTTAGCCACTGTAAATGACACTGCAGTGAATATCCTGGAGCACAAAGGGCATGTCTCCCAGTTCAGAATTACCTCCTTTATTTAGGGCAGGTTCTCAGAACTAGAGTAGCCGGGCAAAGGTCTGAGGCAAATGCCTTTGCCCTGGGGCGCCCCAGCCACCTGCAGGCCCCTTATTTCCTGTGGCCGAGCTCCTCCTCCCACCCTCCAGTCCTTTCCCCAGCCTCCCTCGCCCACTAGGCCTCCTGAATTGCTGGCACCGGCTGTGGTCGACAGACAGAGGGACAGACGTGGCTCTGCAGGTCCACTCGGTCCCTGGCACCGGCCGCAGGGGTGGCAGAACGGGAGTGTGGTTGGTGTGGGAAGCACAGGCCCCAGTGTCTCCTGGGGGACTGTTGGGTGGGAAGGCTCTGGCTGCCCTCACCCTGTTCCCATCACTGCAGAGGGCTGTGCGGTGGCTGGAGCTGCCACCGAGCGTCTCGGTGAGGGTGACCTCACACTGGCTGAGCTTACAGGCCCCATCTGAAGACTTTGTTCGTGGTGTTCTTTCACTTCTCAGAGCCTTTCCTGGCTCCAGGATTAATACCTGTTCACAGAAAATACGAGTGGCCTCCTCTTCCTCCACAACCTCACAGGACCTTCTCCCTTCCCTCCCGCTGGCCTCCTTTTCTCTCCTGTCACTCTGCCTGGGCATGCCCCAGGGCCTTGGCTGTGTCCTTTCTTTCCTCAGGGAAGACCACAAGTTTGGGCTAGATGCCTCCGCACCCCCCCACCCACACCCCCTGAGCCTCTAGTCCTCCCTCCCAGGATGCATCAGGCTGGATGGTGACATCTCCCCACCCTTGAATGAGACGGCTTTGTGCTGCTCTGGGACCCGCACCCAGCTTGGACTGCTTGCTCCATGGCCCCAGGAAAAGCTCGTACAGATAAGGTCAGCCACTTGGGTGGGGGGCCCACAGCATGTCACCCTCTCTGTCCCAGAAGTCACGTGCTTGGTCCCCTGTGAAGCCCCTCTGGGGACCTAGGGGACAGGCAGGGCATGGAGACAAAGTATGCCCTTTTCTCTGACAGTGACACCAAGCCCTGTGAACAAACCAGAAGGCAGGGCACTGTGCACCCTGCCCGGCCCCACCATCCCCCTTACCACCCGCCACCTTGCCACCTGCCTCTGCTCCCAGGTAAGTGGTAACCTGCACAGGTGCACTGTGGGTTTGGGGAAAACTGGATCTCCCTGCACCTGAGGGTGTAGAGGGGAGGGAGTGCCTGAGAGCTCATGAACAAGCATGTGACCTTGGATCCAGCTCCATAAATACCCGAGGCCCAGAGGGAGGGCCACCCAGAGGCTGATGCTCACCATGGGGCGCCTGCAACTGGTTGTGTTGGGCCTCACCTGCTGCTGGGCAGTGGCGAGTGCCGCGAAGGTAAGAGCCCAGCAGAGGGGCAGGTCCTGCTGCTCTCTCGCTCAATCAGATCTGGAAACTTCGGGCCAGGCTGAGAAAGAGCCCAGCACAGCCCCGCAGCAGATCCCGGGCACTCACGCTCATTTCTATGGGGACAGGTGCCAGGTAGAACGCAGGATGCCCAATTCCATTTGAATTTCAGATAAACTGCCAAGAACTGCTGTGTAAGTATGTCCCATGCAATATTTGAAACAAATTTCTATGGGCCGGGCGCAGTGGCTCACACCTGCAATCCCACCAGTTTGGGAGGCCGAGGTGGGTGGATCACTTGAGGTCAGGAGTTGGAGACCAGCCTGGCCAACATGGTGAAACCCCGTCTCTACTAAAAATACAAATATTAATCGGGCGTGGTGGTGGGTGCCTGTAATCCCAGCTACTCGGGAGGCTGAGGCAGGAGAACCGCTTGAAGCTGGGAGGTGGAGATTGCGGTGAGCTGAGATCACGCTACTGCACTCCAGCCTGGGTGACAGGGCGAGACTCTGTCTCAAAAAATAGAAAAAGAAAAAAATGAAACATACTAAAAAACAATTCACTGTTTACCTGAAATTCAAATGTAACTGGGCCTCTTGAATTTACATTTGCTAATCCTGGTGATTCCACCTACCAACCTCTCTGTTGTTCCCATTTTACAGAAGGGGAAACGGGCCCAGGGGCAGGGAGTGTGGAGAGCAGGCAGACGGCTGGAGAGAAGCAGGCAGGCAGTTTGCCCAGCATGGCACAGCTGCTGCCTCCTATTCCTGTGCAGGAAGCTGAAAGCCGAGCTACTCCACACCCGGGTCCGGGTCCCTCCAGAAAGAGAGCCGGCAGGCAGGAGCTCTCTCGAGGCATCCATAAATTCTACCCTCTCTGCCTGTGAAGGAGAAGCCACAGAAACCCCAAGCCCCACAGGAAGCCGGTGTCGGTGCCCGGCCCAGTCCCTGCCCCCAGCAGGAGTCACACAGGGGACCCCAGATCCCAACCACGCTGTTCTGCCGCCTGCGGTGTCTCAGGCCCTGGGGACTCCTGTCTCCACCTCTGCTGCCTGCTCTCCACACTCCCTGGCCCTGGGACCGGGAGGTTTGGGCAGTGGTCCTGGGCTCCTGACTCAAAGGACAGGTCACCTTCTTCTTGGGCGAGCTCTTCTTGGGGTGCTGAGAGGCCTTCGGCAGGTCATCACGACCCCTCCCCATTTCCCCACCCTGAGGCCCTCAGGATGGACAAGCCCAAACAAAGCAACCCCCACGGCCCCGCTAGAAGCAAAGCCTGCTGTGCTGGGCCCAGTGACAGCCAGGCCCCGCCTGCCTCAGCAGCCACTGGGTCCTCTAGGGGCCCGTCCAGGGGTCTGGAGTACAATGCAGACCTCGCACCATTTTTGGCTGATGGACTGGAACCCAGCCCTGAGAGAGGGAGCTCCTTCTCCATCAGTTCCCTCAGTGGCTTCTAAGTTTCCTCCTTCCTGCTTCAGGCCCAGCAAAGAGAGAGAGGAGAGGGAGGGGCTGCCGCTGAAGAGGACAGATCTGGCCCTAGACAGTGGCTCTCAGCCTGGGGACGTGTGGCAGGGCCTGGAGACATCTGTGATTGTCACAGCTGGGGAGGGGGTGCTCCTGGCACCTCGTGGGTCGAGGCCGGGGATGCTCTAAACATCCTACAGGGCACAGGATGCCCCTGATGGTGCAGAATCAACCCTGCCCCAAGTGTCCATAGATCAGAGAAGGGAGGACATAGCCAATTCCAGCCCTGAGAGGCAAGGGGCGGCTCAGGGAAAACTGGAAGGTACAAGAACCTGCTAACCTGCTGGCTCTCCCACCCAGACCCCATGCTGCACTATGTGGGCTTCGTCCCTGTCATTGATGGAGACTTCATCCCCGCTGACCCGATCAACCTGTACGCCAACGCCGCCGACATCGACTATATAGCAGGCACCAACAACATGGACGGCCACATCTTCGCCAGCATCGACATGCCTGCCATCAACAAGGGCAACAAGAAAGTCACGGAGTAAGCAGGGGGCACAGGACTCAGGGGCGACCCGTGCGGGAGGGCCGCCGGGAAAGCACTGGCGAGGGGGCCAGCCTGGAGGAGGAAGGCATTGAGTGGAGGACTGGGAGTGAGGAAGTTAGCACCGGTCGGGGTGAGTATGCACACACCCTCCTGTTGGCACAGGCTGAGTGTCAGTGCCTACTTGATTCCCCCAGGGAGGACTTCTACAAGCTGGTCAGTGAGTTCACAATCACCAAGGGGCTCAGAGGCGCCAAGACGACCTTTGATGTCTACACCGAGTCCTGGGCCCAGGACCCATCCCAGGAGAATAAGAAGAAGACTGTGGTGGACTTTGAGACCGATGTCCTCTTCCTGGTGCCCACCGAGATTGCCCTAGCCCAGCACAGAGCCAATGCCAAGTGAGGATCTGGGCAGCGGGTGGCTCCTGGGGGCCTTCCTGGGGTGCTGCACCTTCCAGCCGAGGCCTCGCTGTGGGTGGCTCTCAGGTGTCTGGGTTGTCTGGGAAAGTGGTGCTTGAGTCCCCACCTGTGCCTGCCTGATCCACTTTGCTGAGGCCTGGCAAGACTTGAGGGCCTCTTTTTACCTCCCAGCCTACAGGGCTTTACAAACCCTATGATCCTCTGCCCTGCTCAGCCCTGCACCCCATGGTCCTTCCCACTGGAGAGTTCTTGAGCTACCTTCCATCCCCCATGCTGTGTGCACTGAGAGAACACTGGACAATGGTTTCTATCCACTGACTCTCATGGGCCTCAACTTTGCCACCTTACAAAATAATTTCAGCCCAAGGCCTCATTAAAGACCTTCATGTAATAATAGCCAATTAGAAGGAAAAATAAGGCCGAGTGCAGTGGCTCGCCCTTGTAATCCCAGCACATTGGGAGGTCAAGGTGGGAGGATCACTTGAGGTCAGGAGTCTGAGACTAGTCTGGCCAACATGGCAAAACCCCATCTCTACTAAAAATACAAAAATTATCCAGGCATGGTGGTGCACACCTGTGATCCCAGCTACTCAGGAGGCTGAGGCAGCAGAATCAGTTGAACCCAGGAGGTGGAGGTTGCAGTGAGCAGAGATTACGCCACTGCACTCCAGCAGGGGCAACAGAGTGAGACTGTGTCTCGAATAAATAAGTAAATAAATAAATAATAAAAATTAAAAATAAATTAGCAATCTGAAAAAGATAGGAAGATAAAAGTATACCTAGAAGTCTAGGATGAAAGCTTTGCAGCAACTAAGCAGTACATTTAGCTGTGAGCCTCCTTTCAGTCAAGGCAAAAAGGGAAACAGTTGAGGGCCTATACCTTGTCCAATCTAATTGAAGAATGCACATTCACTTGGAGAGCAAAATATTTCTTGATACTGAATTCTAGAAGGAAGGTGCCTCACAATGTTTTGTGGAGGTGAAGTATAAATTCAGCTGAAATTGTGGAACCCATGAATCCATGAATTTGGTTCTCAGCTTTCCCTTCCCTGGGTGTAAGAAGCCCCATCTCTTCATGTGAATTCCCCAGACACTTCCCTGCCCACTGCCCGGGACCTCCCTCCAAGTCCGGTCTCTGGGCTGATCGGTCCCCAGTGAGCACCCTGCCTACTTGGGTGGTCTCTCCCCTCCAGGAGTGCCAAGACCTACGCCTACCTGTTTTCCCATCCCTCTCGGATGCCCGTCTACCCCAAATGGGTGGGGGCCGACCATAGAGATGAGATCCAGTACATCTTTGGGGAGCCCTTTGCCACCCCACTCCGGGCTACCGGCCCCAAGACAGGACAGTCTCTAAGGCTATGACCGCCTACTGGACCAACTTTGCCAAAACAGGGTAAGACGTGGGTTGAGTGCAGGGCGGAGGGCCACAGCCAAGAAGGGCCTCCCACCATGAGGCCTTGTTCCCTCACTTGCCAGTGGAGGGACTTTGGGCAAGTCACTTAACCTCCCCCTGCATCGGAATCCATGTGTGTTTGAGGATGAGAGTTACTGGCAGAGCCCCAATCCCGTGCACGTGCACAGCCAGTGCCCAGTATGCAGTGAGGGGCATGGTGCCCAGGGCCAGCTCAGAGGGCGGGGATGGCTCAGGCGTGCAGGTGCAGAGCAGGGCTTCAGCCCCCTGGGAGTCCCCAGCCCCTGCACAGCCTCTTCTCACTCTGCAGGGACCCCAACATGGGCCACTCGGCTGTGCCCACACACTGGGAACCCTACACTACGGAAAACAGCGGCTACCTGGAGATCACCAAGAAGATGGGCAGCAGCTCCATGAAGCGGAGCCTGAGAACCAACTTCCTGCGCTACTGGACCCTCACCTATCTGGCGCTGCCCACAGTGACCGACCAGGAGGCCAGTTCCATGCCCTCCACAGGGGACTCTGAGGCCACTCCCGTCTCCCCCGACAGGCAACTCCGAGTCTGCCCCCGTCCCTGCAACGGGTGACTCTCAGGATGCCCCTGTGCCCCTCACAAGTGACTCTGAGGCTGCCCCCGTGTCCCCCTCAGGTGACTCTGAGGCTCCCCCGTACCCCCTACGGGTGACTCTGAGGCCCGTGCCCACCTTGGGTGACACTGAGGCTGCCCCTGTGTCCCCCACAGATGACTCCGAGGAAGCTCAGATGCTGCAGTCATTAGTTTCTAGTGTCCCATCAGCCTTGGTCTCAAGAGGCCGAGAGGGTGCAACCCCAGGGGCTCCCCTCCCATCTTGAGCTCTTCCTGAATAAAACCTCATTCCCCTGTCTGGCGTCTTTCTTTGCTCTCAAGGCTAAGCTGCAGGAAGGAGTGGACCTCAGTTACCCTTACAGCACCAGGTGGGGGCCCAACCTGTGACCCCATCACCTGGCACAATCCCCAGGCTCTGGGGCGTTGATGGTGCCATCCTCACTTTCGAGTGGAGGAGGTGGGCCCAGGGAAGTTGATTGGCAGGCCCAGGAGTGGGAGTCAGGCACAGGTCACTCCAGAGCCTGCCCTTCCCTGAATGGAACCAGGCTGCTGGCTCCCAGGGACTAGATTCTGTCCCATATGGTGGGAGGGGCTGGTGGCAGCTGCAGTCAGAGAGGGAGCTGGGGTCTGGCAGGCTGTGGCTGCCTCTGGACTAGGGGATCCCAGCCACACCCACATCCTCTGGGTGCAGGGAGTGAAGTCTGTGTTCTAACTGGGGTCTGGGGAACCCGCCTGGGAAAAGAAAGGGATTCTGCTCCTCCAGCCGGATGCAAGTGGAAGAAAGAATAACACATCACACCAGAAGGTTGGAAGCAGAGGATGGGGAGGGTGCTGGGCAGTAGGCGCTGGGTGGTGGGCCTCTGGGGGGTGCCCAATGGCTCTGGCAGAGTTGACGGGGCAGGGGCAGAGGGCAGAAGGCAGAGTCAGGAGTACTCCTGCCTCTGCTGGGTCTAAGCCCAGGCACATCACTGAGCACTTGACCAGCCTGACCTCACCATGGCCTTGTGAGGTGGGTATGGTGTACACCCTCCTTTTAGACGTTTATAGATATTTAGAGGAAAATGAGGCCCTGACAGGGCATCACGTGCCCAAGGTCACTCAGAGCAAGGATTTGAACCCAGGTCCCTGACTCCAAAGCCAGTGCTTGGAACAACGTTGGGGGTCTTCTTCCCCACTCCTCACCTACCTTCTAAACAGGCACTGTGGGGCAGGGTGGGGCTTAGATGAGAGAAAATTCTGGAATCCTGAGCAACTTTGCCTGGGGGGCTCCGCGGTGGAGGGCAGCAGCACCCAAGGACCAGCTAGCCACTCTCTCTGCCCCTCCAGCCTACAGGTGGGAGGATAAGGCTCAGGGCCGACAAGTCCTGTGGCCTCATGCAGCAGAGCTGAGCCGGGACGAACCCTGTCCCCTGGAGAAGCAGGGGACACCCTGGCTGGCTGTGACCACTTTGGCCACCCTGGGCTTCCTGGGTTGGTCAAGGGGTCTCTGGTGTAAAAAGGGGACTCCCTGTCAAAGACTGAGTGAGATGGAGCTGCCCGGCAATGTGGGCCTCTCCCAGTGACTGTCCCTGTTCTCTTGGGCAACGGAAGCCCGAGGATACAATGATGTGTCCCTTCCTTGGCCACACTGGTACCCACAGGGATTATTGTGTTTCTACCTGTGGAGTCAGCTCTCAGGCGCCTCCAGCACTGTGGGAGAAACCCCTGGGACCCCAGTGCTTCTTCCCAACCCTTGGGACTGGCACCCGTCTCTTGTTGAGAGAAAGCACAGTCATGTCTGTCATTCAGAAAATCACATCCCTGGATGGCCAAGCCACGTCAGAAGGGATGGGCTGTGGGGATCCAAGCGTGTTCTACCTCTGGGCTGCACCCGCCATCCCTCTGCTTCGGTTTGAATGCTTGTCCCCGCCAAAACTCATGCTGAAATTTAATCCCCAATGTGGCAGTATTGAGAGGTGCTGCCTTTAAGAGGTGACTGGATCATGAGGCCCTGTCCCCGTAGATGGATTCATCCATTCATGGATTCATGGGTTAGTGGGTTATCATGGGAGGGTAACTGGTGGCTTTGTAAGAGGAAGAGAGACTTGAGCTAGCATGTGAGCAGGCTCAGCATCCTCACCACGTGATGCCCAGTACCGTCTCGGGACACCAGAGTCCCCACCAGCAAGAAGGCCTTCACCTGCTGCAGCCTCTCTGAGGCAGGAGGAGAGGGAATTAGGGAAGCCAAGGGTTGGGGCATAAGCAAAGGAACAGCAGGTACAGCCCGTTCACATAAGCCAGAGAACAGCAGGTGCAGCCCGTTCTCATAAGCCAGAGAACAGCAGGTGCAGCCAGTTCTAGGCAGGATTGGGGAGCACACAGGCCACATCCTCACTGCTGTGATAACAAGTCAGGAGCTTCCACTTCAACCTCTGATTGACCCTGGGCCAATCCTCCACTTCAGCCTCTGATTGGTCCCAGGCTAATCCTTCATAGGGTGTAACCAATTGGAGGCCTCTAAAGGGCATCTGGGGTGTTCTTTATAAAAACCCTGAGAAGCATTGCAATTGGGAGGTCCTTGAGCCGTTTGCTTGGGCCCGCTCCCACCCTGTGGGTTGCACGTTCGCTTCAATCAATCTGTGCCTTTGGTAAGCTGTTTTCTTGTTGCTTTGTCTTTTTTTTTTTTTTTTTTTTTGGTGGAGTTTCACTCTCATTGCCCAGGCTAGAGTGCAATGGCACAGTCTGGGCTCACTCCAAACTCTGCCTCCTGGGTTCAAGCGATTCTCCTGCCTCTGCCTCCCAAGTAGCTGGGATTACAGGTACCGGCCACCACGCCCAGCTAATTTTTTTGTATTTTTAGTAGAGACGGGGTTTCACCATGTTGGCAAGGCTGGTCTCAGGTACCTCGGCCTCCCAAAGTGCTGGGATTACGGGCGTGAGCCACTGCGACTGGCCTGTTTTGTCTGTCATTGTTTCATTCTTTTGTTACTTTGTGAGTTTTGTTCACTTCTTTGTTCAATACACCAAGAACCTGGACAACTCAGTCAGGACCTTCCATCCTATAACACCTCAACCTCGGACTTCTCAGCCTTCATAACTGTGAGAAATTCCTTTTCTTTATAAATTACCCGGTTTTAGGTATTCTGTTATAAGCAACAGAAAATCTACTTTAAAAGCCTCCATGGCACAGGTGAGCCCTGCAGTGTGTCTGGGTGATGCCTGCAGCTGTCGAGAGGGAGGAGACAGCTCAGAGTCACCTGCAATCTGGCTCTTGCCATTACAGACTCCAGATGATGAAGTTGAAAATACTGACAGGCTGGAGGCCATCTGGGGTCCTGCTGGCTCCCAGTTCCAGGAAGCCTGGAAGAGCACTGGGGTGAGCTCGGGCCAGCGCATGTTTACTGTCACAGGGGACATGTTTCAGCACTTTCATTGTAAGGCTGTGGCCTTCTGTGCTTGTGGATCCTCAGTCTCAGTGGCCTTCCTCTTCCCCCCACCCCAACTCCTGTGTTGCGTGTTTAACACACCTACGCCCAACCGGGACATAACTAAATCCTAGACTGTGGACAAAGAATACAGTCACCTCAGGGGGCTGCGAGCTCTAAAGGCTCAGGGCCCAGCTACCCCTTTAGGATGGGTCAGTAACAACACGACTGACTCTGTAAATTGGTGATCACCTGAGACTGGACCTCAGCACCACACGGACCTGTGCTTCACCTTGGCCATCGGGGGAGAGTATGGAGGTCTTTTGCTGGCAGGAATCAGCACCCTTATCCTGGCAATCAGCACTCACTGGCCATTCATGAGGCTCCAGCAGGACGAGTGGCCACAGTGTGCAGGGCACAGGGGATGGGGCTTTCCAAGGTGTTTCTGGATGACATCAATCACACAAGGAGTTGTAGGAATGCTGGCATCCTGGTTCACGGGTAGACGCCAGAGGATGCCAAGGGTGCTGGGTAGAAAGCAGAGGATGCCAAGGGTGCTGGGTGGTGGGCCCCTTGGGGGTGCCCAATGGCTCTGGCAGAGTTGTTGGGGCAGAGTCGGGACCACCCCCACCTCTTCCGGGTCCAAGCCCAGGCACTGCACTGAGCACTTGATGAGCCTGACCTCACCATGGCCTTGTGACGTGGGCACTGTGGGCAGGAATGCTTATGGAATGAGGCCCACTGTAACCCTAACACAGCATCACAAGTCTTTCCCCAGAGAGAAAACGCACAGGCAATGGAAATCTATGGTTAGGAACAAAGATTCCCGTCTAAGAAAAAGGGTGGACCACGGGCCTCTAGAAGGGACTGAGGGGGCAAAGTCCTGCCCGTGCACTGGCTAACACTCTTCCTTTAGCTTTTCCCCCCCACTTTCCATATTGTACATTTTATCTGTTTATAATTTTTCTTAGTGCTGACTAAATTCCAGAGTTAGACCTTGAAATCCACAAGTTCCTAATTGGTGGTCAACAGAAACCTCAGCAAGACAAGCAGAAAATGCTCCTCTTCCCCTAAAGCTGTAGAAAGGCAGCCACCAACCTGGGCTAGGAAATGGTCCTTACAGATACTATTTTTTTTTTAACTGTGGTAAAACCTATATAACAAAACTGATGCTAATTTAACTGTTTTTAAGAGTAGAATTGAGTGACATTAGTTCGATTCACTGTTGGGCAACCATCACCACTCTCTATTTCCATAATTTTTTCATCACCCCAAATAGAAGCTCTATATCCATTAGCTAACTCCTCATTTCCCCTCCCTCTAACCCCTGGTAGCCTCTATCCTTTCTGTCTCCATGAATTTGCCTTTTGGAGATATTTCTCATAAGTGGAATTGTAATGTTTTCAAAGTTCATCCATGTTGTAGCATGTGTGGGCATACCATACCTTTTTTTTTTTTTTTTAAGAAGCGGAGTTTCCCTCTTGTTGCCCAGGCTGGAGTGTAGTGGCACAATCCCGGCTCAATGCAACCTCTGCCTCCCGGGTTTAAGCAATACTCCTGCCTCGGCCTCCCAAGTAGCTGGGATTACAGGTGCTCATCACCATACCCGGCTAATTTTGTATTTTTAGTAGAGATGGGGTTTTACCATGTTGGTCAGACTGGTCTTGAACTTCTGACCTCAAGTGATCCACCCACCTTGGCCTCCCAAAGTGCTGGGATTACAGGCATGAGCCATTGCACCTGGCCTTTTTATGACTGAATAATATTCCACTGTATGTTGCTGGCATGCAATGGTGCATTCTCTTATAAAGCATTATCTTCTCATCCTTTTTATTTGTGTAAAGTTGGTAGGAATGTTCCCACTTTCATTCCAAATTTTAGTAATTTGAGTCTTGTCTCTTCTTTGTTCATCTAAAGTATTGTCAATTTTGTTCTTTAGAAATAACCAGTTTTTGGTTTTGCTGATTTTCTCTATTTTTCTATTCTCTATTTTGTTTATCTCTGCTGTAATCTTTATTATTTCCTTCATTCTGCTAGCTTTGGGTTTAGTTCGCTCTTTTTCTAATTCCTAAATGTGTGCGGATAAATTATTGATTTGAGATCTTTCTGCTTTTTTAATGTAGTCGTTTACAGCTATAAATTTCCCCCAAGCACTGCTTTCAATTTCACCGCATGCTGTAAGTTTTGGTATGTTGTGTTTTTGTTTTGTCTCAAGGTGTCTTCTAATTTCCCTTGTGACTTCCTTTTAGACCCATTGGTTGTTTAAGAGTGTGTTAAGCCTGGGCGCGGTGGCTCACGCCTGTAATCCCAGCACTTTGGGAGGCTGAGGCAGGTGGATCATGAGGTCAGGAGTTCAAGACCAGGCTGGCCAACATGGTGAAACCCCATCTCTATTAAAAAATATATAAAAATTAACCAGCTGTGGTGGTGCACACCTGTAATCCTAGCTACTCAGGAGGCTGAGACAGGAGAATTGCTTGAACCTTGGAGGTGGAGGTTGCAGTGAGCTGAGATCGTGCCACGGCACCCCAGCCTGGGCGATGGAGCAAGACTCCGTCTGGAGTCGGGGAGGGGAAGAGTGTTAAGATCCTTTTGTAGTTGATGAACAATGATGATTGGGTGTTCATGCACATGCGTGAGATGTGTCACCCTCAAACCCTTACGTCGGCACGTTACCCATCTGACGTGAAAAAGAAGAGAGTGCGTTAACTTCCACATATTCATGAGTGTTCCAGTTTTTCTTCTGCTATGGATTTATAATTTTATCCTATTGTAATTGGAATGATACTTTGTATAATTTCGTTTTAAAAATTTATTGCTGGGTGCAGTGGCTCATGCCTGTAATCCCAGCACTTTGGGAAGCCGAGGCAGGGAGATCACCTGAGGTCAGGAGTTCAAGACCAACCTGCTTAACATGGTAAAACTCCATCTCTACTAAAAATACAAAAATTAGCCGGGTGTGGTGGCGGGTGCTGTAATCCCACCTACTCGGGAGGCTGAGGCAGGAGAAGCACTTGAACCTGGGAGGTGGAAGTTGCAGTGAGCCAAGACTGCACCATTGCACTCCAGCCTGGGCAACAAGAGCAAAACTCCGTCTTAAAAAAAAAAATTAAGACTTACTTTATGGCCTAACATATGGTCTATCCTGGAAAATGTTCCATGTACACTTGACAATAATGTGTAGTCTGTTGTTGCTGGTTTGTGTGTTGTGTATATGTCTGCTCAGTCTAATTGGTTTATAGAGTTGCTCAAATCCTCTTTCCTTATAGATCTTCTGTTTGGTTGTTCTTATCCATTATTGGAAATGAGGTATTGAAATCTCCAATTGTGTATTTCTCATTTAATTATATCAATTTTTGCTTCATACATTTTGGGTGTTTTAAGTGTGTGTATGGATACAATTGTTGTATCTTGAGAAGTTGCAGCTTTTGTCAGTGTATACTGACCTTGTCTTGTTACGGTTTTGACTTAAAATCTATTTTGTCTGATAATACTATAGCCATTGTTAAAATATACTATTTTCATGGAATAACTTTTTCCAACATTTTACTTTCAACTTTTTTGTATCTTTGTATTCAAAATTTGTCTCAGCCGGGTGCAGTAGCTCACGCCTGTAATCCTAGCACTTTGGGAGGCCAAAGTGGGTGGGTCACTTGAGGTCAGGAGTTCAAAACCAGCCTGGCCAATATGGTAAAACCCTGTCTCTACCAAAAACACACAAAAAAATTAGCCAGGTGTGGTGGTAGACACCTGTAATCCCAGCTACTCAGGAGGCTGAGGCAGGACAATTGCTTGAACCTGGGAGGTGGAGTTTGCAGTGAGCTGAGATTGCATCACTGCACTCCAGCCTAAGCGACAGAGTGAGATTCCACCTCAAAATAAAATAAAATTTGTCTCTACAGGCTGGGCATAGTGGCTCACACCTGTAATCCTAGCACTTTGGGAGGCCAAGGCGGACAGGTCACCTGAGGTCAGGAGTTTGAGACCAGCCTGGCCAACGTGGCAAAACCCTGTCTCTACTAAAAATACAAAATTAGCTGGGTGTGATAGTGGGTGCCTATAATCCCAGCTACTTGGGAGACTTGCCCAGGGGTCAAGTGGCAGTGAGCCAAGATCGTGCCACTTCACTCCAGCGTGGGTGAAGAGTGAAACACCATCTCAAAAAAAAAAAAGTCTATACAGCATATAGATAGACAAAGTTCTAAAAAAATCCATTCTGCCCATCTTTTTTTTTTTTTTTTTTTTTTTTTTTTTCCTGAGACAGGGTCTTGCTCTTGCTCTGTTGTCCAGGCTGGAGTGCATTGGCAGGATCACAGCTCACTACAGCCTTGACCTCCCGGGCTTAAGCGATCTTCCCACATCAGCCTCTTGAGAGCTGGGACCACAGATGCACATCACCATGCCTGGCTAATTTTAAAATTTTTCTGTAGAGATAGAATCTCACCGTGTTGCCCATGCTGGTCTCAAACTCCGGGGCTCAAGCCATCTCCAACCTCAGCCTCCCAAAGTGCTGGGATTACAGGTGTAAGCCACTGCATCTGGCCCAATCTCTGCTTTTTAATTGGAGAACTTAACCCATTTGTATTTATAGTAATTAATGAGAAAACCTTTACTTCTGCCATTTAGCTGTTTGTTTTCTGTATGTCTTATGATTTTCATTCCTCAATTCCTCCACTACTGCTTTTTACGGATTTACTTTTGTACAATTTTGATCCTTTCTTTGCTTTCCTATATACTTTTTAGTTATTTTCTTACTGGTTACTTTTGGTATTACAAGTAACATCTTAAACATATAACAATCTAGTTTCAATAATACCAATTGAATTTAAGTAGTATACACTGCTATTACACATCTTCCCTCTGTCAGTCACAGATTATATCTTTATACATTGTTTCCATTAATGTGGATTTATAGCTTTATGAATTTTACCTTTAAATCATAAGAAAAAAGGATGAGTTACACAAATCCAAAGTGAAATAACACTGGCTTTGCTAACTACCTGTTAGTTATCTCTACCAGTGTTCTTTAGTTTTTCATATGGCTTCAAGTTACTGTCTAGTGTTTATTTTAGCTGGAAGGACTCCCTTTACCATTTATTGTAGGGCAGGTCTACTAATAAAACTCCCTTAACTTTTATCTGAGAATGTCTTAATTTCTCCTTCATCCTTAAAGGATGTTTTGCTTCTTCTTTCAGCACTTTATTTTGAGAATATTTTTTGAGACGGAGTCTTGCTCTGTCGCTCAGGCTGGAGGGCAGTGGTGCGATCTTGGCTCACTGCAACCTCCGTCTCCCGGGTTCAAGCGATTCTCCTGGCTCAGCCTCCAAATAGTTGGGACTATAGGTATGTGCCACCATGCCTGGCTAATTTTTGTATTTTTAGTAGAGACAAGGTTTCACCATGTTGGCCAGTTTGGTCTCGAACTCCTGACTTCAGATGATCTGTCCACCACGGCCTCCCAAAGTGCTGGGATTACAGGTGTGAGCCACCATGCTCAGCCTTCTTTCAGCACTTTAAATATGTCATCCTATTACCTTCTAGACTCCATGGTTTCTGATGAGAAATCAGCTGTTAATCCTGAGGATCTCTTGTATATGATGAATCTCTTCTTGCTGCTTTCAAGATTTTCTGTCTTTTGACAATTTGACTAATAAATTTGGGTATGGATCTGAGTTTATCCTGTTTGAAACTCATTGAGCTTCTTGGATATGGAGATTTATGTCTTTCATCAAATTTGGGACGTTCTGGACCATTATTCAAATAATCTCTGCCTTTTCTGAACTCTCATTAAATGTATGTTGGTACATTTAATGGTGTCCTACAAGAACCTCTAGTTCTGTTCATTTTTCTTCCTTTTTCTTTCTGTTCCCTGGACAGAATAATCTCTATTGCCTTATCTTCCAGTACACTGATTCTTTCTTCTGCCTGCTTAAATCTGCTGTTGAATCTCTCTAGTACATTTTTCTTCTCAGTTATACTTTTCAGCTCCGGAGCTTCTGGTTGGTTTTTATAATTTCTATCCCTTTATTGCTAATCACCCATTTGCTCATACATTATTTTCCATGGTTTCCTTTAGCTCATCAAGCATATTTAGGACAAGTGATTTAATGTCTCTGACTAGTAATTTTAATGTCTGAGCTTCCTCAAGGATAGCTTCTGTTAAATCCTCTTTTCCCCTGTGAATGAGCCATATTTTTGTTTCTTTGTAATTTTTTGAGAACTGAACATTGAGTATTATAATGCAGTGACTCTGGAAATCAGATTGTCTCCCTCCTCAGGAATTGCTTTTTTGCTTATTGAAGGATGCAGTCTTCTGTGTCCATAGTGACTTTTCCAGGCTTATATTCGTATTTTTGCCAGGCTTATATTTGTATTCCTTGTTGTGTATAGTCACGAAGTTTCTGTTCTGTTGTCTCTTGGTCAGCCTGTGACTTGATGGAGATCCTGTTAACTGTTGGAGTTCAGCAGCATCTCCCTTCACCAAGTGTTCCCCTGGTGACTATGTCCGACCAGGTTCCAGAGTCCCAAAACAGTTTATTCTGATAGTTTTCTTTCTTCCAGCTTAATCGTTGTTTCTGTGCAAAAACTGAACCCTGGGGCCTCCTACTCTGCCATCTTTTGTCACAAATGTTACTTTATTATTATTATTTTTTGAGACAGAGTCTCACACTGTTGCCCGGGCTGGAGGACAGTGGCGTGATCTCAGCTCCCTGCAACCTCCGCCTCCCAGGTTCAAGCGATTCTCTTGCGTCAGCCTCCCGAATAGCTGGGATTAAAGGTGCCTGGCACCATGCCTGGCTAATTTTTTTTATTTTTAGTAGAGATGGGGTTTCACCATGTTAGCCAGGATGGTCTCGATCTCCTGACCTCATGATCCACCTGCCTTGGCCTCCCAAAGTGCTGGGATTACAGGCATGAGCCACCACGCCTGGCCACAAATGTTACTTTTAAAGACAGCTAAATTTCAGAAATTCTTGCTATGCCTTGTGAAAGTACCTCCAAACTCTAGTCCCAGGAGTTCTGAGGGCTGTCTCAGCACATTTCCCAGTTTAATGGTGCCAAAAGGAACATCTGCTGTATGAAAGGTAAACTTTTGTGTTTCCTTCAGTGTGCTGAGAAGAGTGGCTGGCTTTTCCTGTGCATAAAATAACTGGATAACCCTGCAAGGGTCCTTACTTAAACACGGAATGTGAGAGTCTCTATCTCATTTTAATTAAGACAGGTAATGAAAGAACAAAACTGTAATGACCAGGGTATAGTAGAAACAGGATTTTAATATAATATTCAAGTCTAGCATTTGCTATTTACAACAAATAAATATTGCCCCTCCCCAATCAGTAAACAAACATTTTTTTTTTCTTTTTGCTTTTTATACAAATATTCAATCACCCCACCCCCACCCCAAATCCTCCTTCCTCACTAACCCCCGTCTTGCATGGTCTCGTAAAGCCCAGGACGCAGTGGTGAATGGCACTTGCAGTGGCATGAGATTCAACATCGATGGGACTCAGCTGGGACTGTCCTCACTCACCGGGTGCAGAGTCTGGTCCATGAAGAGGGTTTCTCTCTCTGCTCCCAGGGGAGGGCTGGGGTAAGCGGTGGGTGAGACTCCCTCACTCTCAGTTGGCCCTGATGATGGAATCTTTGGTGCAGCCTGAGAAAGGCTAGAGTGGTGGGAGGGGCCGGGACCCCTGCGAAGGTCACAGGCCAGTGCCTGTGGGCATGAGAGAACTGCAGTGGTCACAGTGGGTGCTCTGGGGTGCCCATGGGCACAGGTGGCAGTGACCCACACCTGGGAAGGTGTCAGGGAAGTGTACAGAGGTGGCGCCCGGGGGCAGGCAGGGCACCATGCCATGCCCGTTGGCACTGCTCCTTGGCAAAAGTCAGCTAGTCCTCTGGTTCCAGAGAGCAGAAGGCACCTAAGGCAGCGAGTGGTCCACGGGAGGCCAGGTCAGCCTGACCAATGGCAGGCGTCAATCCCAGCAGCGGGAGAGGTTCAGGATGAAACTGGAGTCTGGGGTACCCTGGGCTGGCAGGTGGGAGGAAGGCGCCCAGCTGGCCTGGGCCACTCTGGTCCATAAGTGCTTGGCTACCAGCCAGCCAGACCCTGGGAGGATGCCCTCAGAAGATGCCCTTGGCAATCTTGAGTCCTTTCTGCTTCATGCGAGGGAGGGTGGAGCTGGCTCCGTGCTTGACCTTCACTCCCTTGGTGAAGGTCCGCTTCTTGAGGACAAAGTCATAGTTGGCGGTAGAGTTCATGGCATAGAAGACGTTGGCGTTTTCAGGGATCTTCAGCTCTGGTGGGGAGGGGCAGAGGGGTGATCAGGGATGCTCCTGGGGGCCCTGCAGGATACCCCTACCGCTTGAGAGCCCATACAAGGACTGTCTTGAGCCACAGACCTCAGATCCCCTCCAATACAGCTCCAGAACTCCAAGGACCCCTCTCAATGACTCCTGCCTGAGGACAGACTCTGCTGAGGTCCTCACAAAACCTGATGACTCTTGTTTAAACAGGGACTGACTCCAGAACCCCCCGGCTTGGCCTGAGCTGGCAGAGGGTCACCCCGTCCTGCCCATACTGCAGTGCTGGCTGCCCACCTGGAACAGGCTTTCTAGAATCCAGGTCACCTCCCAGAATCCTGCCCTACTCAGGACAAGGGATCCAAGGACCAGGAAAGGACAGGCCTGCCCCAGGGCTCTGGCGCCCGTTCCAGGGAGGCCTGTACTCCTTGAACCCTGGCACCCGGCAAGCACTTCCTTTTGGCTCCATTTCCCACCATCTCCTCTGGCCCACAGCCTGCTATAAACCAGAGCTGGGCTCGATTTGTGCTCCTGCCGACATCGTGTGGCTTTTCGTCATCTTTAACCTCTCTAGGCCTCAGTCTTCCTTTTCTGTAAGATGGGGGTCCCGCCTACCCTGCCCACCTAACCGAAATGGTGCAAGAAGCTGCCAGAGGATTTAGACTGTAACTTCTAGGGATCACAGGAGTCATTGCTTACTGTCTGGGCTAATGGTGGGAGGTGGTGTTCAGCTCACTGGAAAGAAAACAGCGATGATAGTATTTATAGTTAACTTTTATGGTGCACATAGATGCTTTATATATACATGCATATATATACACACACATATACATGCATATATATACACACACATATACATGCATATATATACACATATATACATACATATACACATATATACATACATATAGATTTTTACATATATGATGAACACACTGGCTACTTTCATTTCCATTTGGGGGATGAGAAGACAAGCACAGAGGGCTTAAGGAGCTTGCCCAGCGTCTCCAGGCCCAGGATACCCCACTCTGAGCCTGCACTGGTTCTTGACACTTTCCCAGTTTCTAGAATACTGAGTTGGCCTCCTAGTAGCCTGTTCTGCTTTTAGAATCACACACTCATGGATTTTAACACTTGACACTTTGGTCCACAGCTGTCACCATTCTTTGTAGAGCACATGTTTTCTTGTCTTAGCCAGAAAGAGTCCCTTCCAGTGGGCCACGTGGCTAACCTGTCCCAGTGAAAAATGCCTTTTCTCTTTGCTCCTCACTGATGTGAGCTTTGAACTGCCTGTTCACGCCTAGGGAAGGGCACACACTGGGGAGGTCCAGTGGTTGCTGGGGACAGCAAGCAGACAATGGGGGCAGCCAGGGCTGCCCTGTCCACAGTGTCTACCCACACTCTGCTGGTGAATTTTCTGGGGCCAAAGGCTTCCAACCTGGGGCTGGGGAGTGGTGTGGACCTGCCCCCTCTGCCATCGCCCTCTGGTCTTCTGAC
Source organism: Homo sapiens (assembly GCF_000001405.40). Classification (NCBI taxonomy): domain Eukaryota; kingdom Metazoa; phylum Chordata; class Mammalia; order Primates; family Hominidae; genus Homo; species Homo sapiens. The sequence goes on from NC_000009.12 coordinate 133,100,264, forward strand.
TTACTCCGGTCATCTGAGAGAATCTGCAGCAGCTCATAGTCCTCCGGCTCCTCCTCCTCCAGGTTGTGTTTGTCCATGGCCTTGCGGATTACAGCCGGAGCCTTATCTTGGCTGGTCACCTGCATCGCGGCGGGGGATGGACCATCAGGGAAAAGACCCTGGAGCGGCTCCCCCAGAGTGCAGTGGCCAAGGACCCTCTGGAGTCCCCTCAGCACCAAGCACAGGCACTCACAGCCTCTGGCCAGGTGCTGGGTCCGGAGAGGGCCTTGTCACATTCTCCTACTCCCCAAGTGAGGCCTCCGTCCTTCTGTTCCCCATGTGAGGCCTCCATGGAATGAGGAGGGGTCTGTCCCAGCAGTGCCTACCCTGCTTCTCCTGTAAGAGACTGTTCCCTCCTCCCACACTTCCTTGAGAAGCACTTGCCCCTCCAGGATAACAGCATCACTGAGCCTGGGGAACAGACAGTCCCTAGTCCAAGCCCTGGAGGTAAGAAAGGAGGGGCCGGCCAGGATGCTCAGTGTGGTCAGCATAGGCCAGGCCCCTGCTACCTTGACCCTGAGGGCCAGAGCACAGGCGGAACTCGGACATAGGGCCACAGGTGACTGCTTAATGACAACCATGCTAGCTCCTGGCAATGAGGGGTCAGGAGCGTGTGTGAATAATGGGGCACCTGACCCAGGGCTGGGGTACAGAGGGTGGGGGTTACAAATGGTTCATCTGTCGCAGGACACCTGGAGGATGAAGAAAGAGCCCCCAGGCAAACCCATTCTGTGAGCAATTCCCATCTGCTGTCTCCAAATCCTGTCTAGACTCTGACCCTGCTGGCCCCTTCCAGGGCTCCCAGCCTGGTTGCCACAGCGGCCTCCTAACCAACACCCCTGCGGCTCTGGTACCAGCCCACACCAGACAGAGAAGCCAGCCATCATTGCTCCTGTCTTCCTCCCCGAGAAAGTCGAGGTCCTGGCAGGGCTCAGGGCCTATGTGGCCAGGCCCTGGATACTTCCCTGACCTCACCTCCCCTACAGCACCGCCCCTTCAGCTCCTGGGGGCTTTGCACGGCTGCTCCTTTCCTCCCCCTCTGCCCTCAGGCCAGCCTTGTCCCTGATCACTACCTTCTTCATTTCTGTACCTGGCTGACATCTGTCCTTCCCCGCCAACTACAAGGTAGACCCCGGGAGGGCAGGGATGGTGCACTGTGTTCAGGGTGCATTTGCCGCCAGTGGAGGGAGGCACCCAGGCCACCCCCGCCGGCTTACCAGGATGCTCTTGTACATGTTGCCATTGTCCACGTCCAGGCTGACGCGGATGATACAGCAGTCGCCCACCTGCTGGTTGTAGAGCGGCAGCGCGGAGCTGGAGTTGCAGAGCCCTGAGACAGAGCGCTTGTGGGTGCGTGTGGCAGCCACGGGCGTGGTGGAGGCTGAGGAGGACGAGGTGCTGCTGGAGGCTGAGCTGATGCCGGAGGTCTCCGGGGATGACTGTGAGGCTGATTCCCAGAACTGAGGGAGACGGTAAGATCAGCAGATCCCACTGCCCTGTGGGGGCACCCCAGGCCAGCTGCCAGATGGGGAACCTTCTAGAAGCTGTGTTCAGGATCCAGGGCTTCCTGGCCCCATGCATGGATTTGGAGTGGGGAGATGGGAAAGGATATTGGGGAGAAGGGCAGGCAGTCACCTTCTTTTCCTGGCCATCAGGAGACTCCGGGACGAAGCTGATGTTGATCTCCTCCACGTCGGAGCTAGAGGAGCCGGCCGAGTGCACGCTGAGCGCGTCAGCGATGTCCCCGCTGCTGAGGTAGGGGCCACACCTGAGCTGGTCACAGGACTTGGAGTGGGAGCTGCCACTGGTACTGAGCTCAGTGCTGGGGGCCTGGCGGCTGGGTGAAGAGTTGGCTTAGTTAAGGGGGCTCCCCAAGGACACATCCCAACCCCACAGCCCCTGCACCCTGCGCCCAAGGACTGTGCAAAGTGCTGGGACAGTTGCCAGTACTCCATTCACCACAGCCATCTGGGAGAGCATTTAGTATCACCCCATTTCACAGAGGAGGAAACTGAGGCCCAAAAAGGTGAGGGGACTCATCCCAGTCTCAGGGCCAGTCAGCAGCAGGGTAGGATTCCAGGGCCAGCCTCCCTGACTCCCTGAGCCCAGGCTCAGCCCTGAAGCTTCTGAGCCCCAAGGCAGCTGCCCCTACCACCCTTGGCCAGGCCCTTACTCGCTCCAGCGCTTGACAATGGCTGTGTTCTTCTTGGTCCTGAGGGTGTTGCTGGCTGACTCGGATGGGGGCTCCAGCTCGCACGACAGGTTGTAGCTATGAGCAGAGGGGCAGTGGTGTGACAACCAGGGGCCATGCTCCGGCCTTCCCCCAGCACCTGCCCAGAAGCTGGAGTCGGGGTGCCCCGGCCATCCTCAGGCAACAGGGGCTGAGGCTGACCATGGGTCATAGCTGCTGGCCCTCTGGAGCTGGCCCCCTAGGACAGCCTGCCCCCACTGTCCCCATTTGCTGCCCCGGCCTCACCTCTCAGTCTCGCTGAGCCGCTCCACGGCCCGGAACCAGGCCCCAAATTGCTCATCTGGCGCGATGCTGTAGTTGTTGCAGGCCGACTGCAGCAGCTTGATCTGGGCGATCACCTCGAACTCCTGGGGCCAGAGGGAAGCACAGGGCGGTGACAAGGCCCCCCGGGCAGCACAGGGGCCAGTCTCTGGGTCTTTGTTCTTGGGGTCCCTTCCTCCCCTCTACTCCCATCCAGGCCTTCCTGTTCTCAAAGTTGGGCTCAGCCACTCCCCAGGAGGTGGTCCTGGATTATAACCTCCTACCCTCACCCTCCAGTGGGAGGGGACCCCCTTCTCTCTGTGTCCAAATGTCCCATGTCCCATGAATCTAAGGAGAGGGTAGGAGTTGAAATGTCCTACCCTGGTGGGTCTGTTTTCCACCCCTCCCCAAGTCAGGGCTGCCTGCAGCTGCTTACCTTCCTCCTCTTCTCAAAGTTGATGAGTCTGCCCTGGAAGGTGGACACCCAATGGCCGTCAGAAAGTGACCCCTTGACCATTACAGTCTCCCCACCTCATGCTGCACTATCAAGAGTGCCCACCAGGGGGCAGGGCACGCACACCCCTGGATTGAAGCCGGTGCTGGGCACCAGGGCAAGGGGACATGCGGGCAGAGGCTTGGGGACTTCTTGTCCAGCACTCTCGGAGGACAATGGACTGAGGCCTTGGGTGAGAAGGCCCTGCTCAGCCACCACGTGCCGCCTGACCGCTGAGGGCCTGGCTTCCCTCTGTGCTCAGGGTCACTGCCTGAGGGATGGGCTGTGTCCCACTCAGCCAAACCCTGCTGCAGCTCTGTGTTTGGGCAGCCCTGGGGTGTCACCAGCAGGGCACTGAGCTGTTTACTCATTGCTGGGACAGGTGTGGCAGCCCAGCCCCCAGGGCTCAGGGAAGGTCTCTCCTCCCGGGCCCTACTCCAGCCCCGCCCGGCACACTCACATACAGATAGTCCTTCATGGCAGTGTCCAGCATCACCAGGTCGGTGAGGAACGTGCCCAGGTAGGGAACGGTGCCCTGGATGATGCCCTGTGACATTGGGGTAGGAGGATGAGCAAGGCCCCTCCCCTGAAGGCTTTCTCAGCCCCCAGCCCCAACTGGTCTCACTTGGAACAGCTGGGGGACCTCTGGGGGCCTCCTGGGGCCCACTGTCTCCCTGGACCCCAGACTCCCTCTAGCCATCTCCCTGGCTGGCATCTGGGAAATGCCAGGTTCCCAAGTCGTGTGGCCCCTGGCCCTCCCCAGCCCCACACCCGCCTGAGCCGGCTCTGCCAGGCCTGTCCTTTCGTGGCTGCAGCTGGTCTTCCCAGATACCAGCTGATCCAGGTGTGGCTCTGCTAGGGTCCAGAGGAGGCTACCTCTAATGGGGCCCATAGGCACCGTGGCTAGAGAGGAAAGGGCCCTCCTCCCTACCCCCAGGCCAGCCCCCTGCCCCTCCGCGGCCTTGGGCACTCTCACCGTCTCCTTCGGCCGTTTCTGGGCTCTCTTGGGGTTCATCTCCAGGGTGGCAAACTTGGAGGTGCCCTCCTGCCAGGGTAGAGGACAGGGTCAGCAAGGCCCTATCCCCTCAGCCCTCAGGCACCCTGACCTGGGGTGCTGCCAGTGTGGTCGGGTTCCAGGGCTGACCCTGTATCAATACTCACTAGTGTGGGGTCCTGGGCCGGTGGCCTGGCCTTCCTGAGCCTGCCTCCCCCTCTGGAAAGTGCGGATGAGAACTCCGCCTGCTGCATGGTGCGGTGGCTCACGCCTGTAATCCCAGCATTTTGGAAGGCCAAGGCAGGTGGATCACTTGAGGTCAGGAGTTTAAGACCAGCCTGGCCAACACAGTGAAACCCCATCTCTACTAAAAAATACAAAAATTACCTGGGTTGGTGGTGCACACCTATAATCCCAGCTACTTGGGAAGCTGAGGCAGGAGAATCCCTTGAACCCAGGAGGTGGGGATTGCAGTGAGCCGAGATCACGCCATTGCACTCCAGCCTGGGAGACAGAGCGAGACTCCTTCTCTAAACAAATAAAAAAACTCCACCTGCCTCGCAGGGCCTCAGAGACTCTGCGCTACAGTCCTGTTATGGCTGCACACTCCTTTCTCCCTTGAACCTTCCATAAGGTCAGCACCCCAGGGCTGGCATTCCTCCATTTTCTAGATGAGGAAACTATGGCCCTGAGATGGGCAGTGACTTGCCCTGGGCCCCCCAGGGACTCAGAACAGGCTCTTCTGTCCTAGCCAGAGGCTCTGCCCCATCTGCCTTTACCCGTTTGGTCACTGATCAGGGTACCGTCCTCTGGGCTTCTCGTGCATGCCAGGGCCCCCAGTGGAGCTGTGCCACGGAGGGAGAGGGACAGGTGTCCCAGGAGCCCCCTGCGATGCTCCCCTGTAGGGAACTCTGTGTGTGTCCACGCAGGAGGGGGGCCCTAGATGCCATTTCACTGACCGGGTATGCCAGGGGCACCAGGCAGTGACACTTGACTCCCTCTGAGGCCTCGTGAATCCATTAGTCACTGAAAGTTCTCCTCAGTCATCTGGGGTATCCGCCACAGCTAATGGGGTGCCATGGGAAGAATTCTACAGGGTTCTCTGGTCAGTGTCTCTTCTCGGGGCAGGGTAGGGAAGCCACATGGGGCCTCCAAATCTGCCTCCCAGGTCTGGCCACCTGGCCCCTGGCATCCCCTGCAGCTCCTGTCCCTGGGGTAGGCAGGCTGCCCTCTCCTTGGGTGTGTAGAGCAGACAGAGGTAGCGTCAGGAGCCTGGCCTCCCGGGGACAGACTGGGCCGGTGTGGGGGCAGGAGCCGCATCCCCTTCCCACCCAGCAGGAGGGACCGGCGAGGAAGCCAGAGGCCTGCTGGTCCTGATGCCCATCTACTCCTCCTGGAACCTCCACTGCTACCCTTACTGTGTCCAATTAACTGGGGCCCTGTCCCTCAAACACCCAGGGGCCAAACAGATCCCTCTTCCCCCTTCACGCACACGGGAAAGGAACTTTCCCAGCAAGAAGCGAATGCCACCGCCCGCCGCCCCAGCCCCCGCCCCAGCCCCCGCCCCAGCCCCCGCCCCAGCCCCAGCCCCCGCCCCAGCCCCCGCCCCAGCCCCCGCCCCAGCCCCCGCCCCAGCCTGCCGCCACTCCACCTTGATGAGCAGCTCCCGGCTCAATGAGTAGTTGTTCTCATCTGAGAAGATCTCTGACAGCTTCTGAAAGATCCGGAAACTGTCCCTGTCAGAAGGGCAAAGAAGGAAAGAGAAAGCTGGGAATGGTAGGGAGGGGTGTGAGTGCAAATCCGTTTTATTTTAGAGCTGAAAGACCCCAGACTGCCTGAACGCAGCACACAGGGTACCCCAGAGCACTAACGCTCTGCAGGTCTGGGGAGGGGGCCTTCATGTTGGTGCAACAGGACCCCATTCCCGTTTCCACTGAGCAGCTATTTCCAAAGGGGTTTTTTTCTTTTTTTGGAGACAGTTTCAGTCACCCAGGCTGGAGTGCAGTGGCCAGATGTCGACTCATTGCAACCTCTACCTCCTGGGTCCAAGAAATTCTCCTGCCTCAGCCTCCCAAGTAGCTGGGATTACAGGCGTTAGCCATTGCGCCTGGCACAAAGGTTTTGATTTCAATTGGATGAGGGTTCTGTGGCTACAACACGAATACCTGAAAATCTCTGATGTGGCTCAACCCACCATCTGACAGCTTAGGAAGCCGAGCTCTGAGGCAGAGCTGCTGCCAACTCAGGTCAGTGAAGGGTCCCTGCCCTCAGGGTTTGTGGCCTCCCATGGGCTCACTAAGGGGGTGATGCCAGCCCTGTGGGAGGTCCCTGGTGCACCAGGAGCTCCTACAGAGGCATGCCCACCTGGAAACGTCTTCCCACGTCTTCTTCAGACGGTGGATGGAGTTGCTCTGCAGGGCAGAGAGGATGGCATACAGTGACGAGAAGTTCTTGAGGATCCGGCACTCCTGGGGCGGGAAGAGCAGGAGGCATGAGGTGGGGCTGGAGCTCCCAGCTTGCCTGGCCTCAGTCCCCCTTGGCCAAGCCTCCCCTCCTAATGAGACAGACACCCAGGGAGTCCCCAGAGGGCACGCCTGCGACCCGGGGGTGACAGGAGGATTTTAGCTCAACCCAAGGAAAGAGTGTAAGGAAGACGTGAGCATCCAGGCAGTGGGCTGGGAGAGTCAAGGCCAGCATGCCCCTGGGAAGGGTAGACTGGGGCCTGTACAGGGCCTTGGACTGCAGACCACAACCTGAGAACAGATGAAGCCAAAGTGGGGGCCCAGGCCCCTCCTCTGGCATACCCTGGCCACCTCGATCCAGTGCTCCACCACCCTGGCCCTGTCTGGGGCTTTCGTGCTTCGGTTCCCGAGGCAGGTGGTGATGACACAGTTGGCCACACTGTTGAACTGGGTGACAGTGGCGCGGATGGTGGGCGCCAGGTGCTCCTTGCCCTTCTTGTCCCGCTGGGACCAGATGGAGCCCAGGCAGTGGTAGGGCACCACCTTCTTGAACAGTTCCTGGGGAGGAGGCTAAATGTCACCTGGTCCTGCCCCAGCAGTCTGGGCTGGTGCTGGGGAAGCTGAGGATGCAGCTTGAGCCTTGTGGGGATCTCTGGGTTTTATCCCGTGTCCATGCAGGGTGCCCAGCACACAAGTGACCCGGGACAGAACGCTGGTGGGAAGAAGAGGAGCACCGCCTCGCGCAGCCTCACCAAGCCCCAGCTCCAACAGGCGGCTCACGCCTGCCCACCCCCCATCCCCCCGCCTCAGTCTGCTCCCCATCCAGACGCACATCTGCTGTGGGCGCTACAACTAAGGGCTTTGTCCAGTGTCTGCCATAGGCTCCAGGACACACCAAGTGCCTAATGAGTGCTGAGGCTGGTGAGCCTCCTGAACAGATGGGGGTGACCCATGGATGCACCTTGGTGAGCACCCTCCGCTCCCACAGGCCAGGCCTGCTGAGCTTCCTGTCTGTTCCATCTAGAATCTGCACAGTCACTCTGGAGGATAGGGGTGACCTCATCTCTACTGTCCAGAGGTAAACTGAGGACTTGGGGTTAAGGAACGACCTGGTTACTTGGTGTGTAGCAGCAGAGCTGGGATTTGACCAGAACATCAGCTCTGGATCAGCAAATGGTAGGTCTGGGACAGCAGATGCTGCCAGAAGGCAGGCCCACCCCTGCCCTGCCAAGCTGAGCTGCTCACCGCATCCATCAGTGTAAACTGCTCTGCCACCAGATCTGGAGGGAACACCAAGAGGTGAGGCTTCTCCTCACTCAGCCCGTTCTCTGCAACCACAGGTGAAGGCCAGGAAGGCTGTAATGATGGAACTGGTGCTGGAGCTGGCTCCAGCTCTAGAGTTTGTGAGGGAGCTGGATCCTGTTCTGGAGCTGGCTCTAGTTCCAGAGCTGGCGCTGGAGCCGATTCTAGTCCCACAGCTGGCTCTGGAGCCTGCTGGAGCTCCGGAGCTGGTGCTGGAGCTACTTCTAGCTCTGAACCTGGAGCTGGTGTTGGAGCTGGCTCTGGCTCCGGGGCTGGAGCCGGCACTGGGCTGGGTGCTCGAGCTGGTGTTAGAGCTAGCTCGAGCTCTGGAGTTGGTTTTAGAGCTGGCACTGGTGACAGAGCTGCAAGAGGAGAAAAGTTCAACAACATGCCAGCCTTTCCTGTGCCTTTCCAAAGACACAGAACAGCCCCGGCTTCCAGAGAAGCCTCTCTCCCCGAACCCACAAAACGTGTACCAGGCCACTCTCCTGCCTGTGGTCCCTGCCTGTGTGGTCTGAGGCTCATCTGGGCCCCTGACCCAGCACCAGACCCTGGAGCCTCCTCTTCGTGTGGCCCAGCACCGACCCCTCCTCATTCACCCTCTGGCACCCACCCCAGTCCTCCTCACCCTCAGGCTCTGCCTCAATGGGTTCCGAGTGCTCCAGCTGGGCCAGGAGAAGGTGGGCACGGCGCTCCAGGTCTGAGCCTGGCATGTTGAGCTGCACGTAGGCCACCAGCTGCTTGAGGCAGGGAAAGTCCGGAGGTTGACAGAAATCCTCCGAGTACTGGTCCAGCCAGGTGCCCAGGATGGAGGAGATGGCACTGGGGACAGGTGGGTGGCAGCAGAGTCAGAGGCCTGGGCTCCCCTGAGCCAGGCTGGGCTCCTGAGCCGGCCCCTGTCCATCTGAAGGCCACCTGCCCCGGCCCAAGCCCCCTTGGCTGTCCAGCTAAAAGAACCAAGGAGGCCCCTGGTCAGTGGCGAACACCTCTCCCCTCCTCCAAGGAAGCCCCGCCCACAGCTCTGCATGTCTCCCAGCACCCCCTCCTCGCTGGAATGTAAACTCCATGAGGGATCGGTCCTCCTGCCGGGCATCTGCAGGTCCCTGGCGGCTCCTCAACTTGTAGCTCAGTGCTGGTGAGCTGCCTTACTCTCTCAGAGCTGTGTGTGGGTCTCATCTTCCCACTAATCCTGTTCTCCCAGAGGGTGGGGTGCAGCCTGCCCACTGAGCACTCACTATTGAGGGGTGAGGCAATGTGAGAGCAGAGGCTCACCCCACCTCTTGCCAGGGGCCCCTAGATCAGGGCCCACTGAGCCAAGGCCAGCTGGGATGAGGCTATGGTGGGATGAGTTCCCGCCGGGGGCTGCCCCGAGCCCCAGCCACCCCAGGACCCCTCCACAGCTCTCGGTCGTCTTTCTTCCTGCAGGCGAAGCCCCCAGACCCCAGCCCTCTAGCAGGAACCACAAGAGGTGTGGGAGCCAGGGTTCTGCCCAGCCAGCCCCGGCTCCGGCCCCAGCCCCATGTACTCTCCCACTGTTCGGTGGGGACAGGGTCCCTTCCTCTTGGCTCAAAGCTCACTCACTTTTTAAGTTGGTCCTGGGGTCCACCATCCTCGTCGGAATAGGGGAGGATGCAGCCGTATCTAGAGGAGGCCGTGAGGGCGTCACATCTACCGTACCTGCTTATGACGTCTAGTGTTACTGTCTGACTCTCCGACTAGAACGGAGGCCCAGGAGGGCAGGGATTTTTTTTTTTGCTTTTTTTCATCAAATTATATTAAATGCCTAGAAAAGGGCCAGCACACAGTAGGTGCTTCATATATATTTGTTCAATGAATAAGTCCCAACCAGCTCCTTCCCAGCTATCTGAGCGCCCCTTGGGTCCCTCCAACAGCCCCCAGATAGAATCCGGAATCTCCTTGACAAGTGGGAAAACTGCTTCGCCCAAGGCCACATACAAGAGAGGCTTGGGGCAGAGAGCTTCCCCATGGGGGACAGGAAAATCATAAAAACGAGCACCACAGCCCCGCAGCCCATTCCCTACAGGGCCAGGCGTTGAGGGAGCACTTTCCACGCCTCATCCCGCCCAGGCATGGTGACAACCCCATGAGGTCCTCTTAGCACTCCAGTTTCTCTTTCATATGAGCAAAGCGAGGCTCAGAGAGGTGAATCAGCATTGCCAAGACCCGCAGCCAGGTGGGGGTGGGGGCGAGGGCCCCTGTGCACCCTGTGCAGTGGAGGGCTCATGCTCACCTTTTGAACAGCAGGTCCAGGACCTGTTGGGTGGTGGTGAAGGCTCTATAGGTACACAGGAAGATGGTGACGTAGGAGAGGTCGCTGCCCTGGAAGGCTGGCACCAGGTGCTCCACCAGCTTCTCCAGCGTGCCAGCCTTCACGGTCCGCACCTTGCAAGTCTCATAAAGGTTCAGGGCCGACTCATTCTCATACTGGGGTGGGACAGAGGAGGGACAGACAGTCAGTGGCAGCACACGAATCTCCTGGAGCTCAGATGGAACCCCGAGCCCTCAGCAGCTTGTGGCAAGAGGCAGGACTGAGTATCTCTAGCAGAAAAAGGTTATCAGCTTTAAAAGTAGAATTTCAGGCCAGGTGTGGTGGCTCACATCAGTCATCCCGGCACTTTGGGAGGCCAAGGTGGGAGCATCACTTGAAGCCAAGAGTTTGAGACCAGCCTGGGCAACAAAGTGAAATCCCCCAGCTCTACAAAAAAATTGTTTACAAAACTTAAAAATTAGCCAGGGCCAGGCATAGTAGCTTACGCCTGTCATCCCAGCATTTTGGGAGGCTGAGGTGGGCAAATTGCTTGAGCCCAGGAGTTTGAGACCAGCCTGGGCAACATGGCAAAACCCCATCTCTACAAAAAATACAAAATTAGCCAGGTGTGGTGGTCCCAGCTACCTGGGGAACTGAGGTGAGAAGATCGCTTGAGCCCAGGAGGTCAAGGCTGCTGTGAGCTATGATCATACCTCTGCATGGCAGCCTGGGTGACAGAGTGAGACCCTGTCTCTAAAAGAGTGAAAAAATTTTTAAAGTAGAATTTGAGGTGCGGGAATGATTTAAATACTGACACCTTCAGGTCCGTTGTTAGCTGAGTAATGGTAGCTGCCCTGTGGGAAGAGCGTCATCTGAGAGCTCTAACAAAATATCCCCATTCTAGAGATGAGGAAACAGAGGCTTATCCAGGGGCTGGGAGGGACTGGCCCGTTAGGACGCACAGCATCTTCCCCGTGGCACTGTTTTGTTTTGTTTTGAGACAGTCACCCAGGCTAGAGTGCAGTGGTGTGATCTCGGCTCACTGCAACCTCAGCCTCCTGGGCTGAAGCAATTCTCATGTCTCAGCCTCCCAAGTAGTTGGGATTACAGGCACACACCACCATGCTTGGCTAATTTTTGTATTTTTAGTAGAGATGGGGTTTCACCATGTGGGCCAGGCTGGTCTCAAACTCCTGACCTTAGGCAATCCTCCTGCCTTGGCCTCCCAAAATGCTGGGATTACAGGCATGAGCCACTGCGCCTGGCTCCTGCAGCACTGTTGAAGTGTCCTCAGAGGACTCACAGTGGCCCCACAGTCATGAGGAGCTGAACTGGGGCAGTGGCTCCAGCCTCCCTTCTGGAATATTATGCAGCTGAGTCAGGCCCCGGCTCTCAACCTGGAGGAACCCCAGGGATGTGTTCTGGGAGATGGCAACTTGCAGAGACCTAACAGCCTGAAGCCCTTTTGTCCTTGGGTGAAGACAGCCCCACTACTCCAGATGGTGTGCACATCTGGGAGAAGGCATGGAGGATGGTGAGGCTGATGGCTGCACACCCGGGGAAGGGAGGTCAAACATGAAAACCCGATTAAGCCTGGGCTGGACAGTGGGGGTCGGGAAGGGAGTGAAGGCCGTTTCCTTTGGGATCAGAACTGGGGGCCCTCAAGTGAAAAAGTCCTGGGAGGGATCCCCAGCTGCGTCTCCCAGTGGAGACCCCGAGCGCACTCACCCCGAGCCAGCGCTGCCCCTTGTTGCCTCCGTGGTGCAGCTGCACCTTGCGCAGGGAGATGGAGTAGATGACTCCGTTGATCAGCTCCTCACCGATCTCCTGCGTGGAGCTCTGTGAAGACAACGCCCGGCAGCCGGGCGCGGGGACGTCAAGGGCCTGCCTGGCCACCGTGCAGGGGATGCACCTGTGTAACCTGTTTCCCAGATAGGGCACAGACTGGCGGCTGCACAGACCTACAGCCTGGGGTGGAATGAGATCACAGCTCGAGAGCCACTGTCCCGGCACTCCACTTCCCCAACCCGGCCAGCCACGACCTGGGACGTGATTATGATGAGTCCACCAGGCTTCCAATCCCCTAGTAACTGGCTTCTGCTCCTGCCCAGGACAGACCCACCCTCAAGCCATCCCCTTCCACACAGGGGACTGTTATTCAGCCATTGCACAGATGGGTAAATGGAGGCTGAGAGAGGAACAACTGGTCCAAGGTCATGCTGCCTCGGGTAAGTGGTGAGGCAGGGACCCCAGGGCTCTGACACGGCTGACTGCATCCAGGCGGCTATGCCCCAAGAGAAGGTCCCCCTACCTCCCCAGGGCCAGAGGCCCATGGGCATCCTCACACTCACCCCTCCTCTACCCAGCCTGGGGGGCCCTGGCTGACCTAGCAGGAACGCACAGCTCCTCTGGGCCCAGCCCTGGTGCGTTGGCAGCCCAGGTCTGGGCAGGTGTGGGGCACCCCAGACAGCCACATCCCAGCCACTTCCTTCCCCTCTGCTCATTCATGCCCTCGTGCCTGCTTGGGCAATGGGAGTTCCCAGTTCCCTGACCATCATCACGTGAGGGGACGGGTGTGAGAGGTGACGGTGCTGGTATCCAGGCAGATGCTGGGGTTCCACAGAGCCCTAAACCACAGGCCTAGACTGGAACAGGAAGGGGGCATCTGGCCCCAGGCAGTAAGGAAAGGCCGTTGTCTTAGGAGACAGACTTCCCCCACCTGGCAGGCTGGCCTAGGTCACTTAGCCACAATTACCCCCGGCCTCACAGCCCCCTATGCCACCTGCTCTGTCCAGGGACGGAATGAGCTTGCAGCGGGTAGAGGAGCCGGGGGGTTAAGGACATCAACCTCAGAGGTTAGGAAGGAGCTAAGAGGTACTGGCCTGGCCCAGGGTCATTAACCGCCCAGTCAGTGCCCCAGCCCAGGTAGGCGTGGAGCTCAGAGAAGGCCTGGCAGACAGTGCTGACTCAGGCCCTTCCCTCAACCCCAGCAGGAGCCAGGTAGACTGTCCAGCATGCTGTGGACGGGACCCTGGCCTCCTGCCTCCTGCGCACCCTCAGAGGCCCAGGAGCCATCCTGGAAGTCCACTTCCTCCGACCTGAGGTCGCCTCCCACGCTGGGCTTTGTACAACAGGAAAGCTGCGGGCATTGTGCCGGGCTCCTGACCGCCACCGCCTCTGGACAGAGAGCCAGCCCCATTTCTTGGAAGTTAGCAGGGAACCCACAGGCACACTCACACCCACACCCCACAAACAGCCCCGCCAGGGGAGGTCTGGCCCTTCCACTGACAGGAAAAGAGACATACGCTCACCCCCCTTTTCCTGACTCACACATCTCTCCCCTGCCTAGAAAGTTGTTCCTTTGAAAAGAAAAGCATTAGAGGTTACAGCGACCAGGGCCCCCAACCACCCGGGCCTCCTCAGGGGTCCCAGACTGCCTCCTGTGAAGGCCGTTGGCTCAGCTGGGAGTCTCTCTCTCTCCCAGGGATTTTAGCCACATCTGGACCAGCTGGGAGGCAGACAGTATCCTGAGTGTCCAAGTCACCGGCAGTGGCTCTGAGATCTCGTGCAGGACAAGCCCGCCACAGGGGACTAAACATTAACCCTGGGGGAGCCCAGCACAGCACCCAGGTCCTGGCTGAGCACCATCAGTGCCTGCTGGACAGAGGTGTCCCCAGGCAGGCCAATCCCCAGGAGGGGCTGAAGCCAGGTGGCCTCGGCTGTCCCTGAGCAGGTCTAGAGAGCGGCTCCTCCGTGAGCTGGCAGGCCAGCAGCTGGCCCAGCCCTGCTTGGTGTCATGTGATCCCTGCACCCTTCCCCCACCCCCGGGGGGCCCTCTTCTGCCAGCCGGGTGGTGGGGAAGGATGCAGGCCCAACACTGAGAGCCATGCATGCTTGGGGTAAGGGAGTTGCCACCCTGTCACACAGTCGGGGAGACGCTCTAGCCCGCGTGGAGCTGGCCTGTCTTCTCTGGTCGCTTCCCGTCACAGCAGCAGCAGGCATGGAACCAGACCATAGAGCTACGTGGAGTACAGGGGCTGTTTAAACCATCTGCTCAGATGGTGGAGGTGCAGGCTCCAGAGAGAGCTGCCCTGGGGTCTGGGAACAAAGTGGCAGAGTAAGGCCTCTATCCCTTGCCCCCTCACAGGACAGAGAAAGAAAGCAGCCAACAGCCCTGGCAGCTGCCCCAGAACCCTCTGCAGCAAGAAAGGCAGGGTTCCAGCACCCACAGGCCACCCTAGGTCACTCTGTTAGCAGACAGCCCATCTGGGCAGCGCCTGGGCCCCAGGGCACTCTGGCCGGGCTGGGAGCTCAGAGCGGGAGGAGCAGGAACGGCCTAGTGAACAGCTGATGCAGAGAAAACGCTTTCCCCTGAGGGCAGGTGCCCAGGCAGCCGCTATGAGCTGACTGCTAGGAGGAGAAAAGAACACCACGTGCTTGGCTGTGTCCTCAAGGGACACTCCTGTCCCACCCCTAGCAGGCATGCTGATGTCCCTGGGCTCTGGGACCCAGTCGGCAGCTGTGCCTGTAAACACACTGTCTGGCCTTCTAACATTTGGGTCAGTGCAGTGAGGGTGGCATGGGGTCCCCGGTGAGCAGGGGCCCCCACACCCCAATGTCTCCAGGGACACAGCCCAGAGCCCTGAAGATGAGGATGGGAAACAGGGCCTGGTGGTGTCTGGTGAGTGTGTCACCTGATCAGCCTTCTCAGAGTGACAGGCCAGCAGGATGCCGTGTCCCTGGCTGACAGAAGGAGGAAGCCACAGGCCAAACCCAGACTCCCTCTGGGTAGAATAGTGAGGGTCTTGAGGAACCCTACGGGGCCTGCCCCAGCCCTGCCATCTCCCCGCTCAGGCCAACGGCACCTCCTCCCAGCATCAGCCTTCTGGTGCAGCTCCGGACTCAGACGCCTTTCCTTGGAAACCGTAGCTAGTGGCCCCCTGCCCCATGGATGGCTCCAGGAACTCACCGGCCCCTCCCAAGGAGACCTGGCTGAGGGCTGAAGCGGAGTGAGGAGAGGGCTCTAGCCTGCACCTCGGCCTGCTCCGCCCCTGGTCCTCCCCGGGCCTGTGTGTGGAAAGGCTCACGGCAGAGCCTCCGTGTGCGTGAGATTGTCCTGGGGGACCTCCCAAGCCCCTCTGAGCTGCTGCTCAGGTCCCAGTCACCAGAGGTCACCCCGGGGTGCTTGCCACCCCCCTGCCAGCACCTCACAGTTCTGGCCCACCAGACAGCAGCTCCCTGTCTCTCGCTGGCTCTGCCCAGCCCCTGGCCCTCGGCCTTGGTGTGTCATCTGGGGAGGGCAGCACTACCTGTCACAGGCAACAGTGGGGGTCAAGAGAGAATGCACACAGCTCGGTGACCGGCACTGGGACCTGATGGCGTGGTACCGGACAACACCTGACATCATATCCCCCTGGGGCCGGCGACGGATGCTGGGCTGTAAAAACCTGAGGGAAACTTGTCTGAGGCCTGCCTAAGGCTCAGGGACCTAGCCGAGGGACACTGTAAAGAGAGGCTGAGTCACCCTGAAACCCAGTGGGTGGGAGCAGCTTTCTGACTTCAGCTTTCCGCTCCAATACAGAAGCCAAACGTAAAACGCATCACAGAAGGCTGCTCGCTCTCTACAGAGCCCAGGCTCCTGCGACAGTGCGGGGCCCACGCTGCTGTGCCCTTCTCCGTCCTACAGAGGTGGGGACCCATGCCCGAGGACAGGAGCCGGTGGGGCGTGTGCTGGCTGAGCCAGAGGTGAGAGCCCAGGACTTCTCAAGTCATGAGCTCGGACCATGAGCCCCATCAAGGGAGGTGGAACGCAAGGGCCTCGTGTCCGTGTCCGTGACCCTCCTGCCCTCGGGCCTGCCCTCCAGCTCCAGGTGGGTGGACCCAACCCTGATCCCCAGCGCACAGACAAAGCATCAAGATGACAGGAGGCCAGCCCGGGGTGTGGGTGGGCCACACTCCTGATCCTGGGCATGGCAGCCCACAGAGGCGGCCTCAGACCGGGACGACACGCGGTGCCTGCCCACCAGGATGCTCCCTGGCCTCAGAAAGTGGAGGCTGGGAACCAACCAGTGCTGAGCCCCGCAAAGGCCGGCCCATCTCTCCAGAAACCCTCCCTGCCGGCCTGTGCCCTGCTACTCACTGATGGGAAAATCGTGCCTCAAGCAGGAGGAGGGAGAACCAGACCTCCAGGTCAGCCGCAAGCCTTGGGCATCCAGGGTCCCTGTCCACGCCCAGCCCCTGACAGTCAGGTGAACACAGGGCCAGGCCCGGGAGGGGCGTGGCTGGTGGCAGCTGAGGAGGAAGGTGGGCTGGTCCCAAGGGGGTGCAGGGCAGCCCCAACTTTAACCAGCTACAGTGCCCAGCACATGCGGGCACTTCCTGGGTGCAAGGCCCTTTGGACACCCATCACGTTTAATCCTCCTAACGCCCTGCCTGATGGACAAGGAAACAGCCTGAGAGGAACTCGCCCAGGTCAGGAGCCAGGACGTGGCAGCCAGAACAGGGATTTGAACCCTGGCCTGTTGGGACCCACCCAGGCCTGGCGCTGCCTCTGCCATGGTCTCAGGCTTGGAGCAGAGTCCAGCCCCTTGTGGCACAGATGTGGAGGAGGGGCCAGAGACAGGAAGGATTTCCTCAGGTCACACAGCAAATTCGCAGGGGAGGGTGGCAGGGCCAGCTTTCTAGCACCTGCATCTCCGAGAGGTTTGTGGACGTGCCCTGGGCAAAAGGCCTACAAGACACCAGGCCAGGGAAGTGCCATGCTGAAGGTGCCAGGTGACGCACCCGAGGAGCCCAGGGCACTTGGAAGGGTCAGGCCGCTCCCCTGGCACCTAATCAGAAAACCTCATTGTGGCAGCTGCTACCTGTCCACTGTGCCAAGTGCTGTGCAGGCTGCTCCTCAGGTCTCTTGTCTAACTCGAGGGTCCTCACCAGAACCCTAACAGGAGAGCTGGCATCATGTCCATTTTACAGATGAGGAAACTGAGGCTCAGGAGCACGTCTACATCTGCTAGGGGGCTGAGCTGGCATCCCAGCATAGCTCTCTTCTCTCCAGAGCCCAGGCTCCCTGCCCCTCGGTTGAGATGGACAAAAGTCTCCAGGAATGACTACAGGGGAGGCTGCCAAAGCATGCAAGCTTCCCCATGGAGGAAAACGCCAAAACCCTCCAACGCAGGTGTCCTGCCCCGCCCGCCAAGCCACTGTTGGGCTGCCATCCCACTGCCTCCCCCGCCCGTGGGCAGCCAAGGTGTGCGGAACTGGGAGAATTGGGTCTGCTCAAAGCTCAGCTTGTCCTGCATGAGGCTGCATGCATCAGTGTCTGCCCCTTAACAATCAAATGGGGAACACTGCTCTGCTGTTGCTGTATATCTGGGAACACAGTGATTCTGGGCCTGCAAGGCTGGAAGTCCAACCCTGGGACTGGGTGGCCACAGCATGGTGGCACCACGCCATGGGAGCCATCTGGGCGGCCAACCAGCAGCTCTTGGGAACCAGTCCTTGACTGCCTGGGTGCAGCTTCCTGAAACCGCTCCACTGGCTCGTTCAGAGCCTGCCTGCAGAGGGCCAGTGATAAATCTCCCCACTCTTTTCTCATTGGCAACGCAGACAGGTCCTGGAAATGCCCAATTTCCAGGTTAAGAATCAGACCCCAGCTCTGGCAACGAGCAGCTTGATATCTCCCAGGGCCATTCCTGAGCCTCCCGGGAAACAGGCCAGCATGCCTGAGCATCCCCCGCCTGGAGAAGGAACAAAGACCCAGGACCAGCCAGCCTGGTCCCCCTCTTCTGGGGGACCCTCCCGAGTAGAGCAAGAGGGGAACCTGAGGGTCCTGGGGGCTGCCCCTTCAGAGTCACCCAGGAAGCTCTCCTGGAAGACCACAGTCTGTACACATGCATGCAGGGACACACACCCACACAGGGACAGGCCCTTTGCCTTGGGGTCTTCAGTGTCAAAGTGCTCATGAGCCCTGGGGATTAAACCGAAGACCTGCACACAGTGTGATCAAGAGATCAAACAGTGGGAAGACGCGGGAGGCTGAAGGGAGATGCTCCCTGTGAATACAGAGAAGCCCTCTTCACTCCAGCCCACCTGCAACTGCCCTCAGGCCTTGGGTCAGAATCCTGGCCCTGCCACTGACCAGCTTGGTCACTCTGTGCAATCTAATTCACCTCTGTTGCCTCAGTGACTTTATCTGTCAAGTGAGCTCTTAACAGTCTTGACCCCAAAAGGAGATGATGCAAATTACTTAGCCAAGGACCTCCCCAAAACCTGCTGGCTCTTATTAGCTGTTATCTTAAACCTGTGGGGTCCAGTTCTGGGCTTGCTTCCTCCAGGTAGCTCTCCCCAGCGTCCTGTGGCCCAAAGCACTTTTGCCTTCCTCTGAGCCATAAGCTTCCCTACTGCTCACCTGACCTCAGGGCTTCTGGGCTGCCTGGGCTTCCTCTGACTCCTGGTGGCTCCTGCACACAGTAGGTGCCACAGAGAACACAGCCCATGCTTAAATCCTGGCTGCGGCCCTTGCTGGCTGCACGGGTGTTTAGGTCAGAGACTTCCCTTCTCTGACCCCCTAGCTTCCTAGAAGGTGGTGTTGGCACCTACTCTGTAGGGTTGGTCTAAGGCAGATGAAGTGAGGGGGTGGCCCACAACCTGCACTTTTTGTCTGGCCAAAGCAACAGCCTGTCCAGAGATGGGGGCACGGACCAGGTCACCTCCAGAAAGCAAGAACTGTGCAGGCCAAGCTGGGTCATTGGTGGCTTGGCTTAGAATCGGGAAGATAAGCGGAAGCCCAGATGTGAGGAGATCTGGCAGCCCAGAGGGAAGCACCGGGTGGAAGCTAGGTAGGGAAACAGGGATGCGGGGGAAGGCAGAAACTGTCTGGTGGTTTCCAGAGAGGACAGGGACCAAGTGCGCAGCGTCAGCTCTGGCAGGCCACATAGACACCAGGAAACCAGCCCCAGGACGGGGGGTGTTGGCAGGAGGGACAGGGACTTCCCCGCCCCCTCCCTTGGGCCCTTGGTAAATGGTCATTGTGTTCAGTTTCCGGCAGTGGCCTCCTCTCCTGCCAGGATCCTGGTTTTCCTGACCCAGCCAGAAGCTTCCCCTTTGATTTCTAAATAGCAGTCGAGGTCTGGATCTCAGTGCTGAGGCTGGGCAAGGAGCGCCAGGGCCAGAGAGAGGGAAGACAAGACCCCCAGGCAGGGGTGGGGCTCAGCTCTGCCTCTCCCTCAGTTCCTCAGGGACGGAGAGAGGGAACCTGCACGGCCACTGTGAGCGCTCCGCCGGACCCTCCCAGCACACAAAGCCCGAGCTGCTGCCAGAGGTAATGAAAGCCAGATGAGCGCTGGGCTGGTGTCAGCCTCCCACCCCCACCCTCCCAGGGGTCCCTCTCCAGCCGCCAATGAGGACCAGAGCCCTGGATAGATGAGGGTTGAGGGAACACGTCTGGTCCGGCCATCTGCCAAGCTCAGGAGGAAAGGGTCTCTCAGGCGTGTGGTGTTCCCCCACCAAGAGCTCTGCCCAACACTGGGCGGAGAAACAAGTCGCATCCAGGCCCTGTCTAGGTACCGGGACACCAAGAGGCACGAGACTCAGGCTAACAATCGCCAGCAATCACAACGCGCCACAGTCTAAAGCCATGAAGCGACTGGAGACGCAGCAAGGCAACACGATGCCGCACGGGGACTCAGGAGGTTCACTGTGAAGGCTGCAGCCCAGCCAAAGCTCTGATGGGCCCTGAGCCCCCGATCCAGGAATGGCCTCTGTGCAGGCCCTGTGCCCAGGCAGAGCAGGGCGAGGGGGGCATCTCTGGATTCCACTCCCTCTGCTGTGTAGTCAGCAGCAGTCAGGTGGGAGGCAGATGGCACCACCCAGAGACCCAGGGCACACGAGAAACAAGCCCCCGCCCTCACCTAGTCACCCTCCCCTCCATCCATCACAGGTACACCACTCCCTTCTCTGAATCCTACCCAGTCCTTACCGATTCAGGGTGTTGGCACTCTTTCCAGTTAAGCAGAAACAAGTCTTGCCCGCCCTGGGCCTGGGCCACCCTCCTCCCCTCACCACCAGGACATCTGGTCCCACGTGTTGGAGGCCTGCTGCTCCACCCCATCCCCCGACCCCCCCCCCACCCCGCTCTGAGCAGCCCCGATGTCCCTGGTCACCAGATCCACATCTGCCCCAAGTAGGGTCTGTCTGGAAGGCCCCTATGGTCTCATCACCTCTGAGGATTCTAGGATTTGGCCTTCCCGACCACTTGTTCCACACCTGCATCGTAAAGGCTAACGACGCGCTGCGGGCCCTGGGTGGGAACTGAGTGAAATAAGGCACAGGCCACCGATGTAAACAGGGACAGTGCCGCAGAAAAAGGTCCACCTGGGCTGCAGCGGCCTTGGTGACAGCAGGCCCTGGAACGGTATTGAGGGGCGCAAAACCCCAGCCGTGGTCCCTACTGTTGGACGGGGCGCGGCGGCAGCCCCCACTGCCCACCCTGCTGGCTGATTTCTGCAGAAGGCCCCGACCCCCACCTATGGAGGAGAGAGGAGGGAGGCGGCCCGCTGGGATCGCCCGGCCCCGTCCGGGGCTCGCCCCGACCTGCCCAGCTCTGCCGCGGGTGGGGAGGCTCCGACGCACCCCCCGCCCGACCGCCCCAGCTCACCCACCTCCGGGCGCGGCAGGTCGGGGTCTAGCTGCGTGAAGCTGTGCAGCACCACCGGGCAGCTGTCGGGGACGCCCACCTCCAGGCGCACGGCGTCCCACACGCTGCGGCTCCGCCGGGAGCCCGGAAACAGCGGCTCGGCGCCGCCAGCAGGCCCGGCCGCCTCGGCCCACATGCGCTGCACCATGGAAGGCTCGCAGCGCGGGCGCGGGGCCGGCCCGGCGCGCGGCGGGGGCGGCGGCGCGGCCCGCGCGGCTGGGCTTTGCCACCGCTGTGAGCCCGCGGCCCGGCCCTGCTGATGTCAGGCTGGGGGGCGGGGCCGGAGGGGAAGAGGGTGGGGCCGGGGAGGGGCGGAACCGGAGAGTCCGAGGGACGCGTGCGTGCGCGCGCCCGCGGCCCCGCCCTCGCCGAGGTCAGACCCGGGGCGGGACCGGGAGCCTGGAGGGGCGGGGTCTGAACAAAGAGGGCGGGGCCGGGGAGGTCGAGGGGTGCGCGTTGGCTGGGTCTCCCGGAGGACCGGCTGTCACGTGTGTCGTGGGGCCTTGGGTACCCCGGTTAGGCACCGTTTGCGTGTCACGCTGCTGCAGTGCGTGTGTTGCGTAGGGCTGAAATGTGTACGTGCTGATCATGTGTGGGGAAGCCGCCCTGGAGTCAGCTACCCCGAATTCCAGCAAAGCCTCTCCCCAACTCTGTGGCCTTCCACAAGTTGCTTAACCCCTCTGAGCCTCACTGTTTCTTCATCTGGAAAATCTGGGTAGTGAAAATGACTTCCTCAAACAGTTGCGGGGAGGATGACATTACGTAATGGACATGAAGCACTCAGCACTGAGCACCTGCACCTGACTACAGGCTCAGGCGGAGTTTGGAGAGGCTGACCATGTGTTCAGTGACCCTGTCAGTGCAATTGGAAATCCTGAGTGTGGGGCTGTGTGTGCAGTGGGGGAAAGGGTCAGAGAGTGGGGCCCTACCTTTTTGGGGCAAAGCCCCACACTATCCCCTTACAGACACCCTCAGAGGAGGGGAAGCCAGGGAGGTGGGGGAGAGCGGAAGGCACCAAGGTTGGGGCTGAGAGGCATCTGACAAGGAGGAAGGCATCAAGAGTGACAACGCTGGGCAGAGCACATGGCTGCGTGGCCTGTCAGCTGGGGCTGCTTGTGGCTTGGACATCCCTGGTCTCAGGGTGGAAGTGGGGCTGCTGGGGCTGAAGGGGAAGCAGGGACAGGGACATCCTCAACTACTCTTTCTGGAAGCCAGTGAGGAAGGAAGACAGCCTGGGGCTTAACAGCAGGGCCAGGAGAATGGATGAATGAATGGGACCCTTCCTCATGCCTCACTCATCACTGGGCCTGCCCTGGCCTCAGCCTTCAGTCTTCATGGAGGCCAGCAATTGCTGCCAGCAGCCCTGGCCATGCCAACCTCCCCAGGTCTGGTCCGTACTATTGGGCCTCAGTTTCTCCATCTGTAAACTGAGAGGGCGGGACCAGACAGCACATTCCACGAGCACATCTTGCCCCCTTCCCAAGTGCCAATCCTCAGACACCCACGAAACACTTCCACTGTGACTGGAGTGAGGCGGCAGTTCATCCGTTCAGAACAAGACCCCCATGTGCACACGACTAGAAGGGCCTACTTCACAAAAATTATGGTGGTAAGTTGCAGCTGGGTGGAAGCTCTACTGGTTTTCATTTTACTTCTCTGAATTTCTAATTTCTAAAATCAGTATTTTAATAATCAGCTCTATGTGATAAATGCTGTTTTTGAGACAGTCTCACTGTCACCCAGGCTGGAGTGCAGTGGTGTGATCTCGGCTCACTAAGGCCTCCGCCTCTTGGGGTCAAGTGATTTTCCTGCCTCAGCCTCTCGAGGAGCTGGGATTATAGGCACCTGCCACCATGCCCAGCTAGTTCTGTATTTTTCGTAGAGACAGGGTTTCACCATGTTGGCCAGGCTGATCTTGAACTCCTGACCTCAAGTGAACCGCTCGCCTCGGCCTCCCAAAGAGCTGGGATTACAGGCAGGAGCACTACGCCCAGCCTGTTTTTGTTTTTTTTTTAAGAAGCAAGATGGGTAGATTTGATTTGGGATGGAGATCCCTAGAGGCTGTTTAGGAAGCCTCCAAGCCGTTTGGCCAGGGAGGGTAATGTGGGTGAGGCGTATTTCGAGGCAGGAGGTCCCCACAGGGCCACAAAGAGGTGACCGAGACACTGCCCTCGGCCCTAAGCTCCTCCTCCCATCCCTTTCTTCTGGGGCCAAGCTCCCAATGCCTCCGGAAACTGAAAGTCCAGAAGCTGCCTGCCACTGACTTTATCTCCTCTGCTCTCTTTATCTCCTTCGCTGAGTGATGGGCCTGGGAACAAGCGCCCACCCGTTTTATAGCCCAGAAGGACAAGTGACTCATGAGGACATAGAGGAATCACCACTATTCTGGCCTTGAAGGTCCTGGGTGCTGGGGCGAGGGGTGGCCCCAAGGAGGCTGGAGTGGTGAAGAGTAAAGAATTCATCACACTAAACCCCCCAACGCGGCTGGCCTGGCTCCCTCCCATCTGACTATATCATCTACAGGAGCCAGGGCGGGGGAGGGCGTTACTTAGCCAGTCCCTCTGGCCGGTGTCTGTTTTTACAAAGTTCCTCTTCCTGCCTTGTTCCCCTACCTTTGGGACTCACCTCCCAACTTCTGGGAAGCCTGATCACTGCTCTGGCTGTACATGAGACACACACACACAGACAGACACAAAGATACACAGAGATGCACACACAGAGACACACACATAGAGACAGAGACACAGACACACACACACACACAGAGACACAAAGATACACAGAGATGCACACACAGAGACACACACAGAGAGACAGAGACACAGACACACACACACACACACAGACACACAAAGATACACAGAGATGCACACAGAGACACACACATAGAGACAGAGACACAGACACACACACACACACAGAGACACAAAGATACACAGAGATGCACACACAGAGACACACACATAGAGACAGAGACACAGACACACACACACACACAGAGACACAAAGATACACAGAGATGCACACACAGAGACACACAGAGAGACAGAGACACAGACACACACACACACAGACACAAAGATACACAGAGATGCACACACAGACACACACATAGAGACAGAGACACAGACACACACACACAGAGACACATACATAGAGACAGAGACACAGACACACACACAGACCCACAGAGACACATAGAGACAGAGACACAGGCACACACACACACACATAGAGACAGACACAGAGACACAGACGCACAGAGACAGACACAGGCACACACATTTAGAGACGGAGACACACACACAGAGACATTGGAACAGAGACACACACGCAGAGATAGAGACACACAGACAGAGACATACCTACTCAGAGACATAGAGACAGACACAGAGGCTGGGTGTGGTGGCTCATGCCTGTAACCCAGAGCTTAGGGAGGCAGAGGCAGGATTTCTTGAGCCCAGAAATTGGAGACCAGCCTGGGCAACATAGCAAGACCCCATTCTCCACAAAAAGGGAAAAAACAAGTTTGAGATAGACACAGACACACACACACAGATATAGAGACATAGACACAGATACACACACATAGAGACAGAAACACAGATACACATGCCCCCCTAATGAAGGCACAGATAAAGTTCCCTGCACAGGATGTGTTGCCCAATGCCCTCAGATCGGGCGGGCCTGACTCTGCCTCACACTGTTAGCAACTGGGGTTGGCATTCATGGGACGCCTCCTGCATGCAAGACCCTCTCCTGAGGCCTCCTGTAAGCTGTGGGGACACCCTAACCAAGGGCAAGGCCATCCTGGGACAGCGTGTGTCACCAGTGGAGGAACGCAGCACCACTCACAGTGTTCTCCTCAAAACCCAAACCTAAATCAAGGCAGGCCTCTGCATATAACTGCCATTTGTGGGATTACAGGGGACAGAGAAACATGTTCAACACACCACAAGGGTGCAATCCACAAATCCAGGCTGTGGGAACCTCTATGGGACAAACAACCCAGTTTCTTCAACAAATACATTTCAGAGGAAAAAGAAAGGGGAAACTAGACTAAAAGAAGGGTCAGAGACGTCTAACAAATGCAATGTGTGGATTTTGGATCATGATGTCAGCAAGACAACTGTTTAAAAAAAACAACTATAAGACATGTGGATTGTCTGAACACTGCTACATATTGGATGACATTAGACATCTTTTTAGGTGTGAGAATGGTGTTGCCGTCACTAGTAGAGTTACATCTTGGGCTATCTGTGGATGGCATCACATGCCTGGGATTCATGTAAACATCTCCAGGGGCGGGCAGGGAGTGGGGCAGTGAGAGGTGAACAAGAGTGGCCCTGCACCGATGGTCGTGAAAGCTGGGGGTCTTTATGCCATTTTCTCTATTTTTGTGTCTATTTGGAATTATCCATAATAAAAGTTATAAGAAGAAAAATGGCCAGACGCAGTGGCTCACGCCTGTAATTCCAGCACTTTGGGAGGTTGAGCTGGGTGGATCACTTGAGGTCAGGAGTTCAAGACCAGCCTGGCCAACGTGGTAAAACCTCATCTCTACTAAAAATACAAAAAAATTAGCCTGGCATGGTGACGCGTGCCTGTAATCCCAGCTACTTGGGAGGCTGAGGCAGGAGAATCGCTTGAACCTGGGAGGTGGAGGTTGCAGTGAGCCGAGATTGCACCACCGCACTCCAGCCTGGGCGACAAAGCAAGACTCCGTCTCAAAAAAAGAAGAAAAAGGACACAGCTTGAGACTCACCCTCTGATGCCTCTGAGGCTCCCAGCAGTCCTCCAGAGAGGGCTACAAACTTCTGACCCCGGGCAGTGACTCCTGCCAGGCTCACCGTTTCCTGTATTACTCTCTGTGGGCACAGGGGTCACTGATGGCATCTTCACTACAAAAGGGGTTGGGGGCTCTGCTGTGGGGACTGAGGCCGTGGGCAGCTAGAACCCGAGTCCGGATGCCCACATGGGGCTATCAGAGATGGCTGGGGGCAGTCCAGGTGAACTTGGGTGGGTTTGACACTCAAGGCCAATGACAACCCTGTGCTTGGCGGTTGGAGCCTCTGCTGGGAGGAACTAAGGACTCTCGAGATCACTAAGCACTGCCCGGAAGTGGGGGGTTCTTATGAATCGGCATTGATCCCTTCCTCCCTCCTGCCCCAGCTCACGCCCCCCCACACCCCCACCTAGCCTTCCCAGGTTCCCAACCTCCCCCCGGGACGTGCACCTGCCTTTCCTTGGGGGCTACAACCACAAGCCCCTGGAGAGCACGGCTGCACAGACCTTTCGGAAGTCGGGACGCTGCTCGCAGAGGAACTTTAAAAGGCAGGCTGTGAACTGACAGCTGGCAGCCAGATCCCACCCACACATGTGTTTTGTTTGGCTTGCGAAGTGTTTTTAAAATTTTAAGCCAACAGTAAAAGGTCAGGCGACTTCACATAAAAACCCACATTTCCCTCTTCTCCTGTAACTCTGGGTGACCTGACCACACCGGGTCTGTGTTCCCAAGTGCCGCCGGAAGCTGACTGCAGCTGCCCCCTGTAGCCAGGGCATGTGTGGGGACTGCTCTGACAACTGTCCCCCACTCCCGCAGTGCCCAGTGCCCGACACCCTGGGGAGTCACTGCCACCCCGGAGGGGCCACCAATTCAACATGTGACAACCCGAAGTGGAGGGAAGCAGAGGAGGAAGAGACGGAGGGGGACACACAGATGGAAACTGAGCCCAAGAACCAAGAGTGAGCCTGAGGACCACAGCGAGGGACAGCGGGAGAGGGAGGCAGCAGGCAGACGGAGGCGAGGAGCGATTCCTTGGGCATCTTAAGTCACTCTCTGGCCCCTGAGCAGCTGTCTCGTTTAGGGAAAAGGTGTGTTCAGGCTGAATCTCTGTGGTCCCTCTTCTCCCTGCTCCCATACCCAGACACCGCGGCCAGTGGGGTCTTGATCCCGCAAAGCCCCCCACTGCCCTCAGGCAGAAGACCACTGGCTTGGTGTGGCCCCAGCTCCCCACTCCAGGTTCCCTCTCAGCAGAACTGCTGCAGCTCCTTCTTCATGCCGCCCCTTCTGTCTGGCTGGTGCGTCCCTCCTTCCACCCATTCCTTGGCCAGTACATCCTTGGCCGGTACCTGAGAGGCAGATCATAAAAGCTGCCCCTGTGGACCTTCAAGTCGGGACCCAGGCCTGCCTTAACGCAGGGCCCCAGACAGTGGGCTTTGGGCCTGGGGTGCAGTTCTGGGGGCTGCCGGACACACAGCAGTTCAGAGCGGGAACTGGGCACAGGGCAGTGACTGGGTGACTGTGGCCTTTGGCCATCACCTTTTCCAACCTGGGCTTGGCCAAGGCCGGGAGGAATGGCAGCCAGGTACCCTGACTCAGGTCAGGCCCTGGTGGAAAACCTGTCACCTCCTGTTGGGCAGGTGGAGGTCACTGACCCCTTTCTGTCTCTTGTGATCTATATTTAGAGCCTGGGGAGGACATGAAAAGGGTGAGGCCTGGACACGCTCCTTGGTCATTTCCCAACACTGACGTCACCATTCCTAGCCTGCCTAGGTCCTGGGGTGGCCCTCTGTGGGCGGGTGAGCACACACCTTGGCAGGAGGTGACGCAGCTGGACCACGCGTGGGAACTCCCGGCACAGCGGGCGGGCCTGGCTCAGCCCCACCTCCCCTGCCACTGGGTTCCTGGCAACCTCTGGTGGCTTCTTCCTCCTCCTTCTGCCGCCAGGATGCAGGGGTCCCCACAGGCGAGAGGCTGAACTCAGAGCTGGCCAGGTGAGAAGCGAAGCACCGAACCACTGAAATCTCCAGGAGACCACACTGGGTGGCAGATGTGACAGCAACCCTCTGACCTCACGGGGCGCTGCCGTCCCAGCACAACCAGAACAAGGTGTGCCGATGCCGGGAGCAGTGCAAACGGCCCTGGACGGGGATGCAGAGGGCTCCGGATCAGCCTGGGGCTCGCTGTGGGGCCCTGCTGTCATCCCTTGGAAATGGGTACACCCCCGGCATATTGAGGGGGAGGCACGCAGAGGAACAAACGTGATAAATGCATCCATGGGCTGCAAATCGGGGGCCGCTCGGACAGCTGTCCCCCACTCCTGCAGTGCTCGCTGCCTGGCACTGTGAGGAGTCACTGCCACCCCCGAGGGGCCACCAATTCAACATGTGACAGGCCGAAGTGGAGGGAAGCAGAGGAGAGAGGAAGACATAGAGGGAAACTGAACCCAAGACCCAAAAGTGAGCCGGAGGACCACAGCGGGAGAGGGAGGCAGCAGGCAGACGGAAGCGAGGAGACAGGGCGCAGAGGGGCTGCGGGGGGTGCTGGGCACACCTGGCTGAGGAAGGGACCAAAGGCCCAGAGGGTCCCATAGTCTCAGCCTAGTACCTGTCCCCAAGCCCAGGGGCCCTGATCACAAGGCAGCAACGTCTATCCCACAGCTGTGATAGGTGGGGCACATCACACCCCGAGGGGCCCCGGCATCCATGATCTCCCCTCCTGGAGGGTGGTCAGCCGCCATCCTGGCCCCGGACTCCTTGGAAATGCTCCACAAAGTGCCAGCTGGAAATGTCACAGCACAGGGGGCCTTGGGATGAGCCAGCCCCAAGGGGCCATTCTTTCCTGTGGGTTTGGGGAACTCTTTTAAGATCTGGAGTGCAGATTCGGGTTCCAGTGCCTGCTCTGTGTCTTCCTAGCCTTAGTTTCACCTCCTGGGGCCTCAATTTCTCCATCAGTAAAATGGGGACAGTAACCGTCATAGCACCAGCTCTCAGGCTTCTCAGGGGAGCAGACAGTGAAGCAGTGCACAGAAGTCCTTGGTAATCCAAGAAGCACCCTCTGGACGGAGCTGCCAGGACAGCCCGCAGCCACCCTGGACTGACCCGTGGGGCTGGGGGCAGCTGGGGAGGCCAAGCGTGTGCACACGGGCACCAGCAGCAGAGCAGACCCCCAGTCTCCTCTCTCATACCCGAGATGGGAGATGAAGACTCCCCTGTGAGTTCCAAACTCCTCCAACCAGTTCTGGCAGGGAAGAAAGGGAGTCCTGGGAAAGCAACTCCCATGCCTGGGGCTCGGCGGTGACCCACCCAGCCCCTCCCCGGCAGAGGCACTGGTTGCCCTGGAAACTCACCTCGGTGGTGGCCGGTGCTGGCAGAGGTGCCAGCCAAGGTGTCGGGCTTTGGAGAGCGGCACGACGGGCGACGGCCCTTCTCCTGGCGGTCACCACAGAGACACAGGCAAAGAACACAGAGCCCTTCCTCCCCCTGGGCACGGCAGGCCTGGCACAAACCTGGCCTGCTTCCCGGGCCATGGTGGGGCGAGAGCCAGGTGGGGAGTGGGCCCTGCGGGAGGCCCTCTGCCAGTGTGCTCGTCGCCTGCGTGCCCTAGTGGAGTGGAGCACCCGAGTGCCTGGGCCTGGTGTCACCCGCGTGGCTGTCATACCTGCTGCTGTGACAGGCAGGACCAGGAATTCCCGCTTGTACCAGGCCATGGGCCAGCCGAGGACGAGTGGAGAGGCTGCCCCAAGCTAGCCTAGCTTTCTCCCTTAATTCTCCAAGTCCCCACTCCCATTCCCCCTGTGTCGGGGGCCTGGAAACCACCACACAGAGCCAGAAAGGTGACAGATACAAGTAACCAAATCAAAACAGGGTTCGGTCAGCAGAGCCACCAGGCGGATGTGAGTCTAGCCAGAGGCACTGGGAGGCAGGCAGGAGACCCCACTCACTTGTTCTGGAAGGCTTCCCTGCCCCCTAGACCTGAGCTCTTCCATCCCTGGCACCCAGGCACGAGATTTCCTTTCTTCTTTTTTTTTTTTTTTTTTTCCCTGAGATGGAATCTCGCTCTGTCGCCCAGGCTGGAGTGCAGTGGTGCGACCTCGGCTCACTATAACCTCTACCTCCCGGTTCAAGTGATTCTCCTGCCTCAGCCTCCCAGGTATCTGGGATTACAGGCACATGCCACCATGCTCGGCTAATTTTTTTTTGAGACATCGTCTCACTCTGTCACCCAGGCTGGAGTGCAGTGGCATGGTCTCGGCTCACTGCACCTCTGCCTCCCGGGTTCAAGCGATTCTCCTGCCTCAGCCTCCTGGGTAGCTGGGACTACAGGCGCATGCCACCACACCCAGCTAATTTTTGTATTTTTAGTAGAGATGGGGCTTCACTACATTGGCCAGGCTGGTCTCAAACTCCTGACCTCGTGATATGCCTGCCTCAGCCTCCCAAAGTGCTGGGATTACAGGCATGAGCCACCACACTCAGCCACTTGGCTAATTTTTTTGTATTTTTATTAGAGATGGGGTTTTGCCATGTTGGCCAGGCTGGTTCGAACTCCTGACCTCAGGTGATCCACCTGCCTTGGCCTCCCAAAGTGGTAAGATTACAGGTGTGAGCCACCGCACCCGGCCACAAGATTTCATTTTAACTGGGCGCAGGGGTGGGGGATGCCAATGGTTTGTTTCATTAAGTAGGGTGGTAAAAAATAATAATATTACCACCACTACTCCCACCATTCAGAAAAAACACCACCAAAGGTAACAAGAAAGGGCTGCCATCAGAAAGAAGGGCAGGCTTGAAATGAGTACATTTGGCTTTTAGAATAATTTACTAGAGTGACTACTGGAGTTGTAAACAACCACCACCACCACCACAACAATACAACAACTTACTACCTTGTCCCTGTTTTTCTCATTTTGCTGCAAACCAGACATTGGAAGCCATCAGACGCATCCAACACACCCGTCTGACAAGTGGAAAGACTGAGCCCCAGAGAGAGCAGGGACTTGCCCAAGATCTCACAGGAAAAGTGTCTGTCCAGCTGCTCTGCAAAGCTTGCAGACGCTCCTTCCATCCTGACCTGGGGGCCAGAACACTCAGAGCCCCAACCCCAAAGCCCAGAGATGCCAGGGCGAAGTCAGAGGCCAAGAGTCTCAGCTACTTCCTTACCTTCCTGGGAACCTGGCCGGGTGGATGCCCAGTCCCTGGCTGCAAGTGGAGGGCACAGGGCAGGGAGCAGAACAGCAGAGGCGGGGAGGAGAGGGTGTGGGCAGGGGCTGTGGAGTGCCCCCACAGGCACATCAGGCCCTGGGGCCCGGCTTCCCGCCCAGACACTGCCCCAGCAGCACCTCGCTCCCAGCCCTGCTCCTCTGAGCATCTCACATCCTCTTCCGGTGGCTTTGTGGGCCTTAGGGGACCCAGCTGAGCAGACAGTTCAGGGCCTGGGAGCTCTGCCACCCTCAGGGTGGAGACTCTCAGGGGATGTGGGTGGGCATGTGGGGGTGGGCTGGGCTGGGGTGGGGGAGCATCAGAGAAATGGAGCTAGAGGGTTTCAGGGGGGCCCTGAAACCTACCTCCCTGTACTCACCCTGTGGCCAGAACAAGTCACCTCCACTAAAATCCCTCCACCATTTCTGTCCCACCCAGAAGAGAATCCCAAGTCCTCACCTGCCCACAGCCCCCTCCTACTAACTCCAGCTGCCAGTGTCCTCTGCTGGGAACCATGTTCTTCCCCCTTGGTCTCAGGACTCGGCCCCCAGTCAGAGCAGCCTTCTCCAACACCCCTGTCTTAATGCAGCAACACCATCCCTGCCCCAGCCACCCATTCCCTGTTCTTTTTCATCTGGCACACTTCCTCCTCTGTGCCAGGCTCCAAGGCCCTGTCCCCTGGGAAAGTCAGGCATCACCACTGGCCTCTCTTGCGCACAGTGACTCAACCTTGACCTTCGAGGAACAGTAGAGCCAACCAGGCTGTGAATTGGTCAGCCCAGGACTGAAATTCTGATCCCCAGGGACTCTGGAACCCTGGGCCAATGATTTAGCATCTCTGGGCCTTAGTTTGCTCCTTATAAAATGGGCACAAGGGCGCTGGAGGATTCCACAAGAACTCAGCATGGGCTCGGCTCATGGCCGTGCTTGGCGGATGTGCAATGATCATTTCCAGTGGGGATTGAGGAGTTCAGGTGCCAAAGGGTTACATGCCTGCCCCGGTGCCAGGCACATAACAGACATTTGATCAATGTTGGTGGATGCTGCCCCTGTGCCAGGAGTGCCATAGCCTGACTCCATCCCTGGCAGCAAGGTCCAGATGGCAGTCCGGGGTCTGCCCAGTGCTCAGAGTGTGGCTTGTAACTGGATCCTAGCAGATAGCTTGGAAATGTTTGCTGATGTAGAAGCACACACAGATGGGTACTGCAAGGCAGGCCCGGTCCCGGGAGAGGGGACCAGCGAAGAGGTCACTGTCTGGGTACACACTATTAACGGGAGAGACGCCCTGTGCAGACAGGCAGGATCTGGGTGAGGCAGGCGGCAGGGGTTGGTATCCGAGCAGGGATCCGAGGCTGTCCCCAGCCTCGGCCTCTCACCCCGGTGTTGCTGACTGCCTGGCCATGTGACTGTGGGCATTGTGTGGTGTGGTTCGGCTGCCACTCCAGGTTTAACAGGGAGCTTACCACGTGGTTTGAGGGGGTGGGGAGGGCTTTCCCTGAGCCTCGGTTTCCTTGTCTGCAAAGTGTGACCTCGCAGCCTAGCCCCGTAGAAGGGCTCAGTGGCCGAGAAGGTGTTTCCTACAGTGTGCGCATGTTTGGTTGGGTGGGGGGCTTAAAGAGGCCCTGGAAAGAAGCGCTCAACTTTCTTTTTTTCTTTTTTTTTTGTTTGAGACGGAGTCTCGCTCTGTCACCCAGGCTGGAGTGCAGTGGCGCCATCTCGGCTCACTGCAACCTCCGACTCCCGGGTTCAAGCGAGTCTCCTGTCTCAGCCTCCCGAGTAGCTGGGATAACAGGCATGCGGCACCACGCCCAGCTAATTTTTGTATTTTTAGTAGAGATGGGGTTTTACATGTTGGCCAGGATGGTCTCAAACTCCTGACGTCGAGATCCGCCCGCCTTGGCCTCCCAAAATGCTGGGATTACAGGCGTGAGCCACCGTGCCTGGCCAGAAGCGCTCAACTTTCATAGTGGGGGTGGGGGACCAGTAGGGAAGTGGCAGGGAACCAGGCCACCCTGCTGGTGTGTTTGTGAGCTAATGCCTTTGCTTGGACAAGCAGCTCCCGGGTACCAGGCCCTCTGCAGGGCCTTGCATCTCTCACACAAGCTTTCTGTGCTATTCTTGAATAGCCCACTCCAGCCCAGCTTCCCAAGCCTGTTACCCCCATATCTCCCCTGCCCCCACCTCCAGCACAGGTCAGCCTGGCCTCAGGGCCTAATCCTGGGGCTCCTCCTTTCGGAGCCAGGGTGGGCAGGGCTACCCGGGGCAGTGGGCACTGAGCTTGCTGGAAAGGCCATCGAGGGACTGCTGACACAGTCAGGCTGCAGGAGGAGCAGCACCAGCTGCCACGCAGAAATGCAGGAGTCCCGAGGAGGTGGTGCTGGCAGGAGGGGAGCAGCAGGGCCATGCACCCCTCCTCCCACCCACGTGGTCCCTGGCCCTGCCTCTGCCGCCAGCCTGGGGGAGAGCAGGGTCTTTGTTCCCTGCTGGCCAGGCCGCCACGTGATGCGCCACATCACTGTCACTGCCTGGAACGAAGACTGCCATGGACAGCCGAGGCGCTGGGGCCTGGGGGTGAGGCCAGTTGGAGGAGCTCCACCTGCAGCCTCCCCACCGCAACTCTGGCTGCCTTCAGGAGCTGGGCCTAGTGAGGGCCATACATGGCACAAACATTTCCAGCTACTGTGCATGAAGCTTACGACGACCCTGACCCCAGGCTTCTCCCAGGACACACGACCTACCAGTGGTCCCACGATGCTCTGCCCAGCACGCCGGGTGGCCTGGGATAATGCACCTGGCCACACACACAAGCCCAGGCTAGCAAAACCCAACCCACAGGCACCTTTCTAGGTAGGGGCAGGCCCTGGCTGGGTGTGAGGCCCATTGTTTACAAACACTGTGCAGCTGTCGCTAGGAGCTGTGACTCAGAGCCAGAGCAGTGACTCCTCGCGAAGCTGTTTACTCGGCACCACATCCTGTCCAGGAAGCAGATAGCAGAGGCCGAGGCCTGGCTTTTGCTCCTCTTTCCTGCTGCTAACTTGACTCAGGGAGCTGCTGGCCAGACTCGGTGTCCAGCTGGGGGGACACTCCAGCTCCCCTCCCCCTGGCTTCTGGGAACCTGAGGCCCCGTCAAGTCGCTCAACACACATTCAGGCCCAGCCGGCTCTGCTAGGTAGTGATGCTGTGGTCGTGCAGGAGACAGATCCTGCCCCTGGAGGCTGCACCTATGCCTGGCATCCCCTCCCTCTTTGGCTCTGACTAGGAGACTCCCAGGGACGGGGGCATCACTGACACCTGTCACTGTGCAGCCCAGAGGCAAATTCTTGCCACGTTCAGAAGCCTGGCAGGCAGGATCAACTCCTGACACCCCTTCGTACCCTAGAGCCTAGTCTGGCGCCGCCTTTAGCACACCTCAATGGGGACAAAGCACTTTTCCAGACAGCCTCTGCCAGAAAGATGAGGCCACAGTCATCATCTCTGTTGTAAAACTGAGAAAACTGAGGCCCAGAGAGGGCGAACAACTTGCCTGATGTCACACAGCGTGTCAGTGCCAAGGCAGGGTGTAAGTCCGGCCCCCAAGGCTGCTTGCTTTCCTCTACTCTGTTCCAAATTAAGGATCACAAGTAGATTTGTTCCAGGCAGCACACAGACTTGACGCTGCTGGGACCCTGTCCCTGGGGTGGGTGGTCTGTCCCCTGTAGGAGGCCTAGGCTGGGGACTCTGACTTCCATTTCTGCTGATCACTGCTGCCTCCAACCTGGCGCCTAAACCAGAGTCAACAACCCTCTGATAATTTCTACTACGCACTGCCATGCCAATGCGGGTATCATTTCACCATCATGATATGTGACGCAGGTTTTGCAGGTGAGTTTGAGGATGAAGCTCAGAGATGGCACAAAGCTCATCCAAAGCCACACAGCAGAGCAGGGCTTCCAATCCTGTCTGACTCTCAGGTTTGCGCTCCCAGTCACTCCTTCCTGCAAACTCCTAGCAGGAAGACTCTTTATGACTTTTCATAAAGAGTCAAAGGTGATTTTATCCTCACGGTGCCCTTCTAAGTTCAGGGTGCAAGTATCTCAATGACCTCCAGTTCACAGGAGGGCCCCTGTGTGTGGTGGGGAGGCAGAGCCGCAGAATGACTTGTGGAAGGCTACACACCCCAGTGGGGAGGACCTTTCCCCTGCTCCAGGCTAGGGAGACCCGGGGACTCCCAGGAGCAGCAGAGCCACAGGACACACCTGCCAAGGCATGTGGAAGGTGGGCCACCCTGGAGTGGGGAGAGAAAGGCAAAGAGGGGCTGTGCTTATTTTGGCAGTTGGGGCTTGGCACCACCCCAGGCAGGACAGTAATTCAGCAACTGGCTGATTCACCCACCGCAGGGCTCCCCTGCACTGGCTGCCTGCCCGCCGGCCCCTATTACCAGCCCACTGAGTCACGCAGGTTGCCAAGAAGCTGAGGATCCAAGAATCCAGGCCCTGCCCCAGCCGCTCCCATTGGCTTTGAGCCCAGCAGGACCCAGCCCTGCCAAGGGCACCGCAGCTCCCCTCCCCAACCCTGCCTGCCCCCAGGTCCAGCTCCAGGAGGAACCCAACGTCTAACTGTAAGGATCCAAGCAGTGGCTGGGAGCTGGGGCCTACAGTGTCAGGAGTCTTGGGCCAAACCCTCATCCTGTCACTTCCTGGCTGGGTGGAGCTGGGTGAGCCAGGCAGGTTCCTTTCCCTTGCTGAGCCTTGGTTCTAGCCCATCAACAGGGAACATCTCTGCCTCAAAAAGACTGCATGCTGAAATGAAACACTGGATGGGAAGCACTCAAGATAGGGCCTGGCACATGCTCCGTGTCAAAAAAATGGCACCCCAAGGTGGCATCCTCTGCAGGGAAGAACCAGAGTTCTTATTTTGAATTCAAGGCCAGCTGATACTTCTGTAAAATGCAGGTGAAATGTTGCAGCAATGTCAACTGCCATAGAGTTTCTAAACAATGTCCATTTCTCTACTGAAGGAGATGAGGATCAGTAACAGAGTTTGTAGCCTGCACTGTCTGCAGACCACAGAGAGGGCCCGGGGCACAACTATATTCACACAGCCAGACCACGCGAATTTACTGAACACCTACTAGGTGCCGGGCACTATTCAAGTGCCAGCGATAGACCAGGGAAAAACACAACACATAAAAATCACCTTTGGCCTAGGTCATAATAAGTAAAATGCATTTTTGAAAATAAGAATGCTCCAGAAGGCAAAAACAGAACAGGGAAGGCTGATGGGGCCCATGGGGCAGGAGCAGGTGCTACAACTGCAGACAGGCCAGGAGGGCTGAGGGGGCAGCGCGGGTATGGATGGAAGGAGGGACATTAAAACATTTCACCTTGGCCGGGCGCGGTGGCTCACGCCTGTAATCCCAGCACTTTGGGAGGCCAAGGCAAGTGAATCACTTGAGCTCAGGAGTTCGAGACCAGCCTGGTCAATGTGGTGAAACCCTGCATCTACTAAAAATACAAAAAAACTAGCTCGGGTGCGGTGGCTCACGCCTGTAATCCCAGCACTTTGGGAGGCCGAGGCGGGTGGATCATGAGGTCAGGAGTTCAAGACCAGCCTGGCTAACATGGTGAAACCCTGTTTCTACTAAAAATACAAAAATTAGCCAGGCGTGGTGGCGGCGCCTGTAACCCCAGCTACTCGGGAGGCTGAGGCAGAGAACTGCTTGAACCTGGGAGGCAGAGGTTGCAGTGACCAAGATCGTGCCACTGCACTCCAGCCTGGGCGACAGAGCAAGACTCCATCTCAAAAACAAACAAAAAAACTAGCTGGGCATGGTGGTGCGTGCCTGTAATCCCAGCTACTCAGGAGGCTGAGGCAGGAGACTGGCTTAAATCCAGGAGGTGGAGGTTGCAGTGAGCTGAGATAGCACCACTGCATACTCCAGCCTAGGCGACAGAGCAAGACTTCGTCTCAAAAAACGAAACAAGGCTGGGCGTGGTGGCTTACGCCTGTAATCCCAGCACTTTGGGAGGCCGAGGCGGGCGGATCACTTGAGCTCAGGAGTTTGAGACCAGCCTGGCCAACACGGTAAAACCCCATCTCTACTAAAAATACAAAAAATAGACGGGTGTGGTGGTGCACCTGTAGTCCCAGCTACTCGGGAGGCTGAAGCGGGAGAACCACTTGAACCCGGGAGGTAAAGGTTGCAGTGAGCTGAGATCGTGCCACTGCACTCCAGCCTGGGCGACAGAGCAAGACTCCGTCTCAAAACAAAACAACACAATTCACCTACCACGGGGTCCTTTCATGCCCCCCATGGCGGGGAGTTTGTAAGCTCCTTGAGAGCAGGGACTCTGTTCCCCAGGGTCCTGATGCCTAGAACAGCATCTAGCACACAGCTGGCTCTCCATAAATGCCTAGATGAACAAGTGAGCTCGATGGGCCAGACTCTAAAATATTCGGAGGTTCTTGTGGGAAGATCACCAGGAGAGCTCCTTGGAAGAGGTGATGAGGCTGGAGAGGAGCCTGAGGGAGGGCAGGGGGCCGGAGGGCCAGGGAAGGGCGGGGCGCCTCTGCTCACCTGGCTCCCTCCCATTAAAGTGCTTTCCCCCCAGGAACCAGGCTGAGAAGAGAGGCAGAGGCAAGCCAGGCGGGGGAAGAGCGAGGAGGAAGGCAGCCAGGCTTTCTGGGAAGCAAGAGCCCTTTTTCTTAGAAGCAGGGCCCTGGAGTTTCCCAGAAGCCAGCCTGCCCTGGGACGGTGGAGGCGGTGGTAGGTGGTCAGGTTGGCCCTGGTTTAACCTAGGGGGTTTTCCCTTCCTAAATTCCTGGCCCAGGAACAATTCTTGGGGAATGGGTCTCTGTTCACAGGTAAGTAGAAGTTGCTCTGCTGTGGGCAGAGACCCCTCCCCAAGGCACAGCCGTGGCTGGTGAGGATGGGGGATGGGGGCTGAGCCCACAGTCAGGCCCCTGTGTCCAGCAGGCCCTGGTCGCCCAGTGCGCTCGGGCCAGGGGAACCAGGACAAACGGGCCCTTGTGGTTGGGAGGCTGCCTGCCGTGCCAGGGACACTGTGTGCCCGGTGCCGCCACCAGCCTGCTGCCTGCCTGAAGGGGCTGAGGGCCTGGGAAGTGGGGCTACTGTTTCCAAAGGGAACCTCCTAAGCTGCCCTGGCCTCTGGAGAGGGCACAGGGCCTTGGCTGGCTGCCAGGAGGTGGCAGGGCTGGTGCCCGCTGCCCTCTTTCTCACAGTCCTTTGCCTGCAAGAAGTTCCCCAGGGCTAGAGAAGCGCAATCCCTTGGGACTCTAGGGCCCTGGGTCTGAGGGACACTGCTGTGTCCCACCCTCCTGCCACCCACTGTCCCGTTAATCCCTGGGCTTGGCTCCTTCCTTGGCTTCTCCCCTGGAAGGCGAGGCTCAAGGGCCTCTCCTATCTGCCTCACCTGGGATGCCTGACAAAGGACAGCAAGGTACCAGCTGCCCTCCCCTGCCCAGGGACCCTCCAAGAGCTGTTCAGGTCTCCATGCCAGCATCATGGTGGGCAGCTGGGTGTGCCAGGCAGTGGCTGAGCAGTTCCCAGCCACCACAACCCTGTGAGCTGGGTCCGGCTGTCAACCCAGTGACACATGAGAAAACTGACACTCAGCCCTCCTCATGGTCACGGCTCCGGCCTGGGCCTGGTGCTTTGTTTGTTTGTTTATCTGAGACAGAGCCTTGTTCTGTCACCCAGGCTGGAGTGATCTCGGCTCGCTGCAACCTCTGCCTCCCAGGTTCAAGCAATTCTCCTGCCTCAGCCTCCCGAGTAGCTGGAATTACAGGTGTGCACCACCACGCCCGGCTAATTTTTGTATTTTTAGTAGAGATGGGGTTTCACCGTGTTAGCCAGGCTGGCCTCAAACTCCTGACCTCAGGTGATCCACCTGCCTCGACTTCCAAAATGCTGGGAGTACAGGCATGAGCCACCGCACCTGTCCAGGTCTAGTGCTTTAAAAAGGCAAAATGCAAACCCCCACTCCCTCCCACACTCACTGTGGCAACGTGCTGTCCCTCCCCAGGCACCAGCCATGTGTCCCCACACGCAGCCACACATACCCCTTCATATATGTGCTCCCTCAGCCACTGTCAAGCTTGTCACATCTGAGCACATGCATGCTGCAGACATACAGGGTCACCCAAAGGCAGAGAGATGCACCTGCCCCCAACACACGTGCTAGAATGCACATGTGCCCCACCGCATCCCACAGCACACAGCCGCTGCCCCTGCAGGCCCAGAGGCCCTGGATACACACCCTGCTCCCTGCATATCTGCCAGACAGCAATCTCCTCAGGGCTGCGGAGAGGGGAGGAGGCAGGGCTCCATGCAGGGACTCCCCGACCCCAGAAGCTGGGAAGGAAACACCTCATGGAGTCCTGAAGAACGGCAAGCGGCTATTTCGAGGGGGCAGGGGGACCAGGCAGGCGGTGCCGCCAGCTGAGACCTTCCACACTGGGCACTACCCACCTGCCCACTACCCCCAGCTGTCACCTCCCCAGCCACCCAGGGCCTGGGGCCAGGTGGACTGCTTCACCCTTGAACTCCAGTCCTGTCAACTGGGCAGCAGGGCCTGGAACTTGGCCTCAGGGAAGAAGGGGGTCGGGGGAGAGTGGGATGCGTGGCCTGGGCAACTTACTCGCCTCCTCGGGGCCGTAGTTCCCCTACCTGAAAAAAACCTGTGGATTCAACTTAGGGCCTGCAAGTGTCCCTGCCCTCCACCCACACCCTGGCTCCCCAAGGGCAGCGGGAGCTGGTGGGCCATCGGCCATCTCCCTTCTGCGAAGCGGAGCAGACATTGGCTGCCATCTGCGGAGGGCCTGCCCATGCGGTGCCAGGGGCCTCAGGAACATCTCATACTCCCCCACATCCGTAGGCCCACAGAGGAGGCAATGGGGGTACAGAGGAGTTAAGGAACCCACTTGTCTGGGTCCCCTGAGGCCAAGCCAGGGCTCCCATCCCACCTCCCAGGCTTCTCTCCCCTTGACCTCTAGACAGCCCGAACTTCCCTGCGGCTGCTGTTCCTGGTGAACATCGTGACAGATGACAGCACTAGTCAGGTGATTAATCAGCTGATCACTTGATCATCGGGACAGATAAGTGCTGCTGCAGCTATAGCCCAGCAGGGGTGGGGTGGGGTGGGGTGGGAGCGGGAATCCCTTTGGAATGGATTCAGGTCAGGTGGTGGCAGCCCCCAGGACTTAAATACCTTCTGCCACCCTCCCCATGGTCCCACCCTCCCCACGGTCCCACCCTCCCAGTTTTGAACTTACATTACAGGCAAAGGGCACCCCCCCACACACACATCTGGGATCAGGACAAAGTCCCAAGAGGGGCGGGTGCCAGAGGTGGGGGAAGTTCCTGGACTCAGGGCCTCTGGTTGGCCAAGGGTGCTTTCTTCTTTCTCTCCACTGGACAAGCCCACCCCTCCCTGCCTTCCTCCCTCGGAACACAAAGGTCAGATGGGCACACCTGACCTCTCGGGTGGTGTCCAGCAGAGAGGTCCTGCACCCTTCCCATGGGAGCCCTTTCTGGACCCTAACCTAGAAAGAGGGAAGGACTGGGGTGCCCTCCAGCAGGCAGTGGGTCCCGGCCCCCCTTATCCTTCCCAGAAGGACTGGGCAGCTCAATTCAGTTAATTATGTGCCCACCATGCAGTGCAGGGAGGGGAGGCCAACGTGGGGGAGGGGGTGGGGAAGGTCCTTAGTGCAGCACCCACGCAGGGTGGGTGGGGCTGTGTGCCTGAATCTTCCCTCCCACCAACTGGCTTCCTGCAGCCTGTTCCTTGGTGCTGGGCTGGGGGCTCGCCTCATCCGCCCGCCTTCTTGGCGTGGCATCCGGCAAGAACGTGGGCCGGGGCTGCACGCACCTTGGGCTGTGGGCCGGCAGCTCCCCGCCACTGTCTGTGCTGCCCTCTGCCCTGCCCCTCCTCCTGTGGCACTCCAGCTGGGGGTGGCTGGGCAGAGTCCCCATGGGATCACCCTGAGCCCAGCCGACGACCCCCAAGTGAACATACGAGCCCAGTACCCAACTCCGGAGGTGGGCACACCCCTTGCCCATTTGACAGATG
Organism: Homo sapiens; assembly: GCF_000001405.40. Taxonomy (NCBI): domain Eukaryota; kingdom Metazoa; phylum Chordata; class Mammalia; order Primates; family Hominidae; genus Homo; species Homo sapiens. Next base: position 133,141,061 of record NC_000009.12, read on the forward strand.
GGGCAAGGGAGGCTCAGAGGGGTGAAATCATGACCCAGGGTCACACAGTGAGCAAATGACCAGGGTCAGACTGGCATCCTGGCTCCATGAGAGCACCGGGAGTTCCTGCAGAGTTGTCACCAACAGTCCTACCCTCACTGCCATCCCCAGAGAGAACATCTGAGGCAACCAGGTCTCATAGCCTTCCCATCCCCAAAGTCCAACCCACTGGGCAGTGTGGCCCCACCTGCCTTTTCCCACCATTCTACTGCCCCACCCTCTCCCAGGGTCTGGGGCTCCACCTCGCTCCTTCCAGGCTGGACACCCCTCATCCATGTTCTCACCTCGGCTCCCGCAGTGCCCAAGTCTGGGTGCAGGGTGGGTGCCCACAAACTAAGGCAGCCCCTATGGGAGCCCAAGGGCAGGGCTTTCTTACACCCTCACAGCAACTGCGGGGACCTCAGGGCAGACAGGGAGGCTCAGAGGGGACCTGTGCTGCTTCTAGGATGCCCAGCAATAAGCGCTGAGCTGGAATTTGGACCCAGGTGTCCTGCTCCAAAGCCACCTGCCTCACCTGAGGACCAGGGGCCTGATGGCCGAGGTGGATGCCGACATGTGAGGAGGAAGGGCAGTGGCGGCCTGGTCCTGGTCCCCTCACTCTCCTGCCCCAAGGCCCCAGTAGGTGACATAATTCACAGGGCAATGTTTATGCACTGAACGGTAAACACACAGGCAGAGGGGTAGATGGGCCACCAATGGGGAAACTGAGGCCAGCGAGAAGGGACACACTAAGGTCACATAGTCAGTCGGTATCAAAGTTGGCCCAGAACCACAGTCCCCTGTTCCAAGGGCTGTACCCAGCCCAACCACAACCTGGCATGCCATCCAGCCCCAGGCCAGGGAGCCCACGGCTGCAGGGCGGCAAAGCACACGGTACCACACGTGGTACCCCATGGCCCCACACACTCTGGCTGGCACCGAGCCATCGCTGTGCTTTCTGACCTTGCGTTTTCTGACATTCTGCCACTGTCAACTCTCACTCAGGTATCCAGGAAGCGGCCTCTGTTGCTAGGGGACTGGCTTGATGCCGGGTGGCTGGCAGAGTGGGGAGATGGGGAGGGGGGAGTGGACTGGGGTGTCCCTCAGGAAGGATCCAGGGGCAGAGTCTACTGGGTCCTGTGTCAGGGTGGAGGGCCATGAGAAGTATCTGAGGAAACTCAGCAGGTCAGGCCCCTTCCTCCCCAGGCTCTAATGAAGGTCCTGGACCCTGGTCTCTGCATTTTCTCTTTCAGCCTCAGAGTCTTCTTTTTGGGCCAGGGGTGGGTGTGCGCTGGTGGGGGTTGGAAGTGAGCCATCGGAAAGCCCATCGGAAAGCCCCAGCCCGGAGCCTTCCTGCAGGCAAGTATTTTGGGGGCCAGCAGTTGCCAAGCAACTGCTCTGGGTTGCCACGGGAACACTCCCTTTTTTCTGGGGCTTGTCATTCTTAGGGGGATGCCACAATGCTTCCCGTTCCCTTTCCTCTCCACTTCCTCACCCTGGCTTGGCTGCCCTGGGAGGGGACACTGGGAGTCCATAAGCTCACACCCCACCCCTATGGGGGGGCCCACATACCCCTGGCCCTAAGACTCTTTGAGGCTCCAGAATCAAGAACCCCCAAAATGCAAAGCCCAGAGTCCAAGGCCTTCATTAGAGCAGGGAGACGATGAAAGGGGCTCATTAGCTCTGTTTATGTCTCCTTGCCGCCATTAACCACCACTTGGGGCCTAGGGCCTCCCAGCCCCGCCCTGCCCAGCAGCCGGGCCCAGCCCTGACCGTTGGAAGGCCACTGTAATTGGAAGGAATGTGGTCCTGGTGCCTGGCCCTTCCCAGGCTTGTGTGCACACGGGGAGGCGCCATTGCCAAGCTGCCACTACCTAGCTGTGGGAGTTCCTTCCCCTTCCAGTGCCTCAGTTTCCCCACCTGGAAGTGAGGATGGCAGTGGCACTTATCTTGCAGAGTGCTGAGCAGATACAAGGGACACTTTAGCACAAGGCCTACAGGCTGGCTGTCATCACCAGGCACCTCTGCAGCAGGGGACAGAGGGAAGGACTCTGTGGAGAATAGTCCTGTGGCTAGCGTGCAATGGTGACTGACCACGCCACTGATGGCAGAGTGGCCACTGAATCCAGGTCCCCAGGCTCGCAGCCCATGCCTTCTCCACAAGATCTGTCTGCCCCATACCCCTGAGCCTTCCACAGAAGCCAGGGTGCTTCCCACAGGCCAGGCACCCAGCGCCAGCCAGGTGTACAGAGGCCAGTATCTGCTGTGTGAATCAATCGCTGAACCAACTGTCAAGGACCAGCAGCCTCAGGGGCGGGCCTGGTAGCTCGGTGAGCGAGGAGGTGGTGGGAGGGCCTTGTGCGGGTAGGGAGGTGACAGTAAGAAATGGCCTCTTGCTGGATGCAGTGTCTCAAGCCTTTAATCCTAGCAGTTTGGGAGGCCGAGGCGGGGGGAATCCCTTGAGCCCAGGTGTTTGAGACCAGCCTGGGCAACATGGTGAAACTGTTTCTACAAAAAAAATCCAAAAATTAGCTGGGAGTGTTGGCGTGCACCTGCCGCCCCAGCTACTCTGGAGGTCTGAGCCCAGGAGGTCGAGGACGCAGTGAGCCGTGATCTGGCCCCTGCACTGCAGCCTGGGCCACAGAGCAAGACCCTGTCTCAATAATAATAATAATAATAATAATAATAATAATAACAACAACAACAACAATAATAATAATAATAATAATAATAATAATAATAAAATAAAGGAATGGCTTCCACTCATTCCACTCCTGGGCCAGCGGCCCGCTGTGCACTCCGCTCCCTTTCGCTGATGCCATGTGAGCAGCTCCATGGCGGGGACCTGACCCCTGCTCCTCAGCCCCACACTGCCTCGCCCCTTTGTATATCAAAGGCGCCTCTGAGGGGCTGTGCTGACCCCCACCAGGAGCAGCAGGACCACCTCAGGCATCCCAGCTCCCCTGAGGCAGGGTCTGGGGCTGGGGTTGGGGGGAAGGACCCCTCAAGTCTCTATCTGCACAGACAGCCCACCCGTGCCCAGGGCTGCCTTCCGAGCACCCGCAGACCTGGGCCTGCAGTAACAGGAGAGCTATCTGCAAACCGCAGTGTCATCAGCCGCACGGCCTCTGGAGAGGCCTGAGAAAGGCCGGCTCAGCTTGCAGGCGAGGAACCAAACGAAAGGCAAACTCCTGGCCCCTGCAGCCTCGCAGGTCCCCTATCCCTCCTCCCTGCCTTCCTTTCCGCCCCGCTGACACCACGGTCTGCAAACCATGGTCCTCCTCGCCACCCCTGTCACCTCCTCCTCCGCCCCCCGCCGGCCTCCGACGCAAAGTCGCCACCCAGTCACCCCGCCTCGGCCCCGCCTGGTTTGATTTCCTCCCGTGTGTGTCACCCATGAGGTGGCCGTGCCCCTGGCCTGTTTACAGCTGTGCGCAAGCTCCTCGCGACCCGAAAGCGAGACCTTTGTCTGCGGCAGCTCCGCGCCGGGCTGGGCGGCCGCACGGGAGGGCACAGCGCCACCTGCTGGTGCTGCCGCCAGAGCGCGCCAAGCTGAGGAGCAGGCGGGCTCCGCTCACGCCCCCACACCCCCTGGCTGGGGGCTGGGTTCCTGCGATGTCTTCCGACTCCCCGCTGCTCCCCTAGTCCCCGTAGGCACGCGGGTACCCGGCCTTTGGGAGGGGGATCATTCCCAATACTCCTGTTACGGGTTGAACTGTGTCCCTGAACAAAAAGATCTCTGGTACCCGTGAATGAGATCTTATTTGGAAATAGGGTCTGTGCGGATAGAATCCGGATGAGGTCATACTGGATTAGGGTGGGCCTTAATCCAATGACTGCTATCCTTATGATAACAGGGAAAATTGGACAGACACGCACAGGCGGACAGACACGAACTGATGAAGGCACAGTTTGCAGTCACACGTCTACAAAACCAGGAACGAATGCCAAGGAAACTGGCAGCCACCAGAGGTTGGAAGATGCAAGGAAGTATCCTCTCCTAGAACCTTCAGAGACAGCATGGCCTTGCTGACCCCTGGATTTTGGACTTCTGGCCTTTAGAACTGTGAGAGAATACATTTCTGTTGTGTTGAGCCACCCAGCACTTTGTGACAGCAGCCCAGGAAGCTGACCCGATAGACACTGGTCCCAGTCATCACCCTCTGTGCCATCACCACACCTCCCCTCCACGAATCAACCACGACCACAGGACACCTCCTTCTGGAATCTCTCTGTGCCCACGCACTCCCCAGATGAGCACTTCCCCTTCCCCTGGCAACTCCCCGGATTCTTGTTACCCCCACCCCCCGCCCCGGCATGGCCTGGGCCCAGGAGACAGATACGAAATGAATGAGTGAATATCCACCTTTGCTACTTCGTCATATTCAGATGTTCGTAAAAATCTGTATGTTCGTCATATTCAGATGTTCGTAAAAATCAAGTGGCAGCAGTGCTGGGGGTTAAGGAAATGGGGAGAGTGATGGCAGATGTGTGAGGGGAGACAAGGGGCACTTCCAGGTACTCACAGCCACCCTGGGAGCTGGGACAGCCAACCAGTGTGTTCTCATGCTCCCAGCCCCTGAGGCTCAGAGAGGGGAAGCCATCTGGGTCACCAAGCTCCTGCCTCTTGCCAGTTCTGTGACCCCAAACTAGCCATTGTGCCTTTCAGGGCCTCCCCAGTCTCCTGACCTGCACAATGGGGATGGTTCTAACGTCTACTTCCTGGGGACATCACCACGCTAATGTGAGACAATACTACAAAACCTGTTAGCTGCCTCACAGACTTAGAGATGGAAGGATTAGGAAGGAAAAGGGCCTTCAGAGACTGCAGGGTCCTGCTGACCCCTGGATTTTGGACCTCTGGCCTTTACAACTGTGAGGAAAGAAACTTCTCACAGGGGCGAGACACAGCCCGGAATACAAGTCGGACAGGCTGGGCACTGGTGCTGTGATCTGGGGAAAGTCACTCCCTTCTTGGTCTGGTTTCCTCATTTGCACCATGAACGGGTTGAAAATGAAGCAAAAATCAGATATCGGCCCCCTGTGGCATATGGGAGCATCTTCCAATGGGAACACCTTCCAATGGCTCCCATGATGTTTGTTTGTTTGTTTGTTCGTTTGTTTATTGAGACAGGGTCTGGCTCCGTCGCCCAGGCTGGAGTGCAGTGGCATGATCTTGGCTCACTGCACTCATCACCTCCCAGGTTCAAGTGATTTTCCTGCCTCAGCCTCCGGAGTAGCTGGGATTATAGGCACCTGCCGAGACACCCAGCTAATTTTTGTATTTCTTTTTTGTAGAGACGGGGTTTCACCACGTTGGCCAGGCTGGTGTTGAACTCCTGACCTCAGGTGATCCACCCGCCTCGGCCTCCCAAAATGCTGAGATTACAGGTGTGAGCCACCGCGCCCAGCCTCCGTTATGTTTAGAATCAGGCCTGACTGCCTCCTCTCAGACACTGTCCCAGGCAGCCTCCACACTGGCCCCAGAGATCCCTGCCTCCTGGTACATAAGTTGCTGAGTGATCCCCTTCCTCCGAGGGTGATTGGATTTAGTGACTGGCTTCTCACCAACAGAACACAGCACAGGTGATGTGAGGTCACTTCCAAGATTTACAAAAAACTATGACTTCTGTCTTGCTTGTTTGCTCTTGTTTTCCTCCCCACCTTCACCCCTCACTCTGGGGAAGTGAGTTCTGATGCCGTGAGCTGCCTGCCCTACAGAGAGACCCACATGGCAGTGAACCAAGGGAGGGCCCCCACCAACAGTCACAGAAGAACTGATGCCCTCAGTCAAAACTGAATCCTGCCAATAACATGAGAATGGCCTGGGGGCGGGTCCTGCCCAGTCCAGCCATGGATGAGACCCCAGTCCCAGCCTCCCTTGAGACCTGGGGGCAGAGGCACCCAGCTGAGCTGCCCTGGATCTGGGTCCACAGAAACTGTGTGATGATCAATGTCTGTTGCTGGAAGCTGTACATTAGGGTAGTGTTGTCACATAGCTGTCCACAGGCCCCTGGGCTGCCCCTCCCACCCCCAGCTCACTTGGGCCACACTGGCCTCCTTTCTCACTCCTCTCTGGCCAAACTCATTTCTGCCTCCCAGCCCTGCCTGCTGAGCCTTCTCCATCACACTGTCCAGACTCGTGCAGGGCTGGCCCATGCTTTGTCTTCTGGTCACAGCACAGATGTCCCCTTAGCGAGACCTCTCAGATCCCCACCCAGCAGGCCCCAGCCCTCCATGGCAGCCCCGGCATTATTTTCGCTGCAGCACTGCTTTTTCCTTTCTGTGCCTGTTTGCTTTTGTGCCCTGTCCATCGCCCCCTCCAGACTGCCAGCTCTGGAGGGCAGGCCCCCCTGGGTCACTTTCAGAGCCACACCCAAGCCCAACGCTGCCCCCCCACAACCCAGGGTGAGTGCTTGGGCACACCTGCTGAAGGGAAAGAGGAAGCTCTTGGAGCCCCCTCCCGCCTCTGAGCAGCTAACATTGTGGAGAGGGATGCTAGTAATGGGGGGTGTGCATTGGGTAGAGGCCGGGGTCCCCCAGAGGGACCCTGCCGGGCTCTCCCTGACTCCAGTTGCTCCAATGAGTACAGTGGGCACTGCCTCCCCCTGGTGGCCGGCACTAGCACAGCAGCAGCAGCCTCAGGCAGAAAACCCAGAAAACAAAACACACACCTTTGTTTGGGTGTTGTCAAGGTAGCAGCTCTCCTGAGTCCCAGGGGGTCAAAGGAGCAGAACCTGCAGGCTCCAGGGGTAATTCAAGGCGCCTCAGAAGCTTCATTTGCTCCCCTCTTTCCCTCTGCTGGTCCTGGGGTGTCCAGTTCACTCGTGAGGCCTCCTCACTCCAACCAGGGCAACGGCTCTGGCCCCACTTCCAAATAAGAACCCTGAGGCTCCAACAAGGACAGTCTTGTCCCACAAGAGTTGTCCAGTGCTTGGCCACGCTCTGCACCACCCCAGGCCCTCAGCCCTTCAGCCCCCCCGGCTTCTCTTGCTCAGAAGAACCTCCAAGAAGAAGGCATTTTCCACAGACCTCGGTGGGTAGTGGGGGCATCCCCAGTGGAGACCTAAGGCCGACAGACACGTCTACGAGCCTGTGGGACCCTTGGAGTCACCCAGGCCAAACATTCCAATTTATAGAGCAGGAATTTGAGGCTTCCTTTCCTACAGCCCCGTCCACACTGAAGGGGTCTTTTCCTGCTTCCAGGTGATCACAGCGGTGAACACAGAACCCCACAATCTGTCCTCTCCAGGCTGCCCCAGCCCAGACAGATCCTGGGAACCTTGGAGAATCCCCGCCCATCAAGCTGGCGTGTCCTCCCCTTGCCCCCCACCCCGTGCCATGGCCCCAGGCATGTTGCTGGGTACTGGATGCCCCTGCCCGTGGCAGAGTAGCCCCCGCCCTCTTTCTTCTTTCCCCCAGTCACTTCCCCAGCGTCCCGTCCTACTCTGAGCCCCAGGAAGTGTGTGGTGTGTGTGTCTGCGTGTGTGTGAGCATGTATGCGCAGGCCTGCGCCTGTACGTGCGCGGAGAAGCCCAGGCAAATGAGCCCACATGGGAGATGGGCAGGGGTCCCCAGGATCTTAGAGGCTGTCATTCCCAAAGCAAACCCCACGGGAAGGGTGAGCCGAGCCCTTCCTGGCCTAAGAGGCCGGAACCCTCCCTTCATCTCTGGACTCCGCCAACTTCGTGTGCCCCGGGCGAGTCCCTGCCCCTCTCCTGTCCTCAGTTTCCCTACTGTCCCGGGCGGGGTTGGACGCGGAGCTGCGTAAGCGCACGCTCAGCGTGGACGCGGCGCCGGGCTCCCTCCCCCCGGTGGGTGTGGGCTGGGGCATACGGTCCTCCCTCCACCCGCGACGCGAGGCTGGGGACGGCGCGCACTCACCTGGCAATCTACCATCATCCTCAGCCTCGGTGGCACATCGCCGGCCCCAGGGCGGGACCCGGGGCTCGCAGAGGCCGCTCGCCTGGGCCCGCGCGCGGCGCAGGGGTGCGCCCGGCTGCGGGGCTCATGGCGCGGCCTCCGGTCCCCGCCGGGCCCAGGACTCTGCGGCCCTCGGGGCCGCCCCGGCAGCCGCCAGCGCCGCTCCCATTGTCTGCGCCGCGCCGCGCTCCGGCCGCTCGGGCCTCGCCGCTCGGTTCCGCCCCGGCTCCCCGGGCTCGGGCCCGGGTGGGCGGGGACAGCCGCGGCCCCGCCCCAGCCCGCCCGCAGGTGCGAGGGGCGCGCCCCGCCGCGTGAGCTCGGGGACGCGCTCGGGGGCGCGCTCAGGCCTCCCTCCCGCGGGCCGACGCGGGTGTTCCCCCCGCGGGGCAGCCGGGCCTGTTGTCCAAGGCCGGGCGCGCACACGGGGCCTGCGCGGGACCGCAGACAGCGCGTGCACGTCACTCCGCTTCGCCGCGCGCACGCGCCACGCTCCCAGCGCCATGTGCGGCCGATCTCACGTGTCCGTCCGCCCCAGCCGCCTGCTCAGTACTCCCCACCCCGCTAGGACCTAGGGCCAACCTCGCCCCAGCCAGGCGGGGGCCGCTGAGTCGGCGCGCCGGCGTCACCAAATATACACGTTCACCCTGGCGCCCAGCACCCCGATGCCACCTGCTGGACTCGGCTCGGCGGATGGCTGGGAGCTGGGGGACCCGAGGTGACAGCGAACTCAGCCTGGGCAGGGAGAAAGTCAGGTCTCCCCTTCCCCTCCTCTTCCCCACCTCCCTCCTTGTCTTCCCTGACAGCACCCGGGACCACAAGGTCCAGCTGCAGCTTCAGCTGGTGTAAGATGGGGCTCAAGGGAGCCTGGGGGAAGGAGGCCTCACACTGGGGTTGAGCGACTGTTGGGGGTAGTCAGTGTTATTAGGGCTAACTGATTTCGTCCCTTTTTATTTTTTATTTACTTTTGTTTTTGAGATGGAGTCTCGTTTGTTTGTTTTTTGAGACGAAGTCTCACTCTTGTCCCCCAGGCTGGAGTGCAATGGCGCGATCTCGGCTCACTGCAACCTCCACGTCCCAGGTTCAAGCAATTCTCCTGCCTCAGCCTCCTGAGTAGCTGGGATTACAGGCACCTGCCACCACGCCCGGCTAATTTTGTATTTTTAGTAGAGATGGGGTTTCACCATGTTGGCCAGGCTGGTCTCAAACTCCAGACGTCAGGTGATCCTCCCACCTTGGCCTCCCAAAGTGCTGGGATTACAGGCATGAGCCACTGCACCAGCCGCAGTCTCCTTCTTGTCGACCAGGCTGGAATGCAGTGGCTAGATCACGGCTTATTGCAACCTCTGCCTCCTGGGTTCAAGCGATTCTCCTGTCTCAGCCTCCCAAGTAGCTGGGATTACAGGTGCACGCTGCCACCACCACGCCCGACTAATTTTTGTGTTTTTAGTAGAGACAGAGTTTCACCATATTGGCCAGGCTGGTCTCGAACTTCTGACCTCAGGTGATCTGCCCTCCTCGGCCTCCCAAAGTGTTGGGATTACAGGCGTGAGCCACTTTGCCTGGCCAACCCTTTTGATTTATTTATTTATTTTATTTTTTTGAGACAGAGTCTCACTCTGTCACCCAGACTGGAGTGCAATGGCACAGTCTCAGCTCACTGCAACCTCCACCTCCCAGGTTCAAGTGATTCTCCCGTCTCAGCCTCCCGAGTAGCTGGGACTACAGGCATGTGCCATCACACCCGGCTAATTTTTGTATTTTTAGTAGAGGCGGGGTTTCACTATGTTGGCCAGGCTGGTCTGGAACTTCTGACCTCGTAATCTGCCCACCTTGGCCTCCCAAAGTGCTGGGATTACAGGCGTGAGCCACTGTGCCCGGCCTTTTTTATTTTTAAAAAAACTATGTAGAGATGAAGTCTCACTATGTTGCCCAGGCTGGTTTGGAACTCTTGGGCTCCAGAGATCCTCCTGCCTTGGCCTCCCAAAGTGCCGCAATTACAGGCGTGAGCCACTGTGCCCGGCTTCATTCAATTTTATACCAGAGCCAAGGCACCAGCACTGCAGGCCACTCAGCTGTAAGTGGCCAGGCCCTGCTGTGCGTGGTGACCCCCACTTCATGGCTCTTCCCCGTCACTCATCCCCGAGCTGGTCATCAGAGGCCTCATCCTGTGTTGGGGCCTCGCTGGCCAGGTATCCCCTGAGTCCAGCGCTTGGGCCCCATATATATTGATCCCCCTGCTGGGACAGGCCTGCGGTGACCCCTGCCTCCTAGCCTGGCATTCAGAACCCTGTGTGACCTGGTCCCTATACCCCAACTCTAGCCTCCTGGGGCCATCCTGACCCAGGGACCCCATCAAGCCCCTGCCCCTCTCAGAGCCCCCTGCCAGCACTGCCCCTCCCTGTATCCTCCTCCACAATGCACTCACCTTCAGAGCTGCACTCCTCCCACCCTGTGCAGAGCACAGTCTTGAACCCAGATGACCTGGGTTCAAACCTGCAGCTGAGCCACATCACAGGCAAGCTCATGGTGACCTCTCAGAGTCTCAGTTTCCTCTACTGAAAATGAGTCAGGGACTCCCACCCGGGAGGGTGTGCCAGGGGTAAAGCTGGGTGTAAGTGGGGTGAGGGGGGTATGGGGGACTTCTCCCCTGCTAGGTGGAGCTGCCCAGGCCTCAGAGTCTGCTGTCACCTCAGGTCCCCCATCTCCCAGCCATCCACCCAGCTGAGTCCAGCGCTCCATGGCCCTCTCTGTGCTTTCAACAGAAGCTCCTCGGAGGCAGGGCCTACTCCTTCAGCACAGAACCCCTCCCCTGGAGCAGGTGCTCCCTATGAGGGACACAGAGGCCATGGTTCCATTCCTGCCCCTCTGCCCAGGAGGCACTCAGTGCCCCTTCAAGACTCCAGGCCTCTCCAGCCCAGTCTGTCTCCTCCAACTGGTCACTCCATCTGTCCACGCTCTTCGGGTCTGTCCCTGCTCGCCAGCCAAACCACAGGTGAAGGAAGAATGAACTCAGGGCTGGCCCCAGCTTTTCCACGGGTGACCAAGTGGGTGGGTGCCTGCCCGTTCCAGTATGACCAGAGTCTACCCCACCCTCCTTTCTGTCTTCTCCTTCCATGAAAAAGATGCTGCTGTCTCCAGGGCGGTGAGCACCAGGCCGCCAAGCCCTGAACCCATACCCCACCCCATCTCTGCGTGGCCAGGCAGACAGAACCACACTGTAGGCCTCTGAAGTCCTTCTGGATCCAGACTGGAGAGGTCATCTTCCCATGCCCTCTAATCCTGGCCTGCACCATTGGCTCAGAGTCCCACGCCCACTGGTGACCTCACAGGGCTGCAGTGACCCTGGATACGGGAGCTCCCAGGGTTGTCCGGCTGCTGGGCTCCATACCCCTCTACACAGTTGGGAGTGTGGTGGCTCTGCCAGCATGCTCCACTTCACCCAGTCTCCCTGGAGAACTGGAATGAAATCCTGTCCGTTGTAGCCTCTAGCTTTAGCTCAGATTTTCTGGAGTAACTATATCCCTATTCGATTGTGTTTGACTTCCAGTCTGCCTGTGTCCCCACTGCCTGATGGAACAGACACTGGGGACACAGGCAGGCTGGATGTGCAGGTAAAAACCACCTTAGTGGCCGGGCACAGTGGCTCACACCTGTAATCCCAGCACTTTGGGAGGTCGAGGCAGGTGGATCACTTGAGGCCAGGAGTTTGAGACAAGCCTGGCCAACACGGTGAAACCCCGTCTCTACTAAAAATACAAAAATTAACTGGGTGTGGCGGGCACCTGTAATCCCAGCTACTTGGGAGTCTGAGGCAGGAGAATCGCTTGAACCTGGGAGCCAGAGGTTGCAGTGAGCCAAGATCACGCCACTGAACTCCAGCCTGGGTGACAAGAGCGAAACTCGGTCTCAAAAAAAACAAAAACAAAACAAAAAAAATCACCCTAGCTAGGGTTGAGCACACGCCCCCTTTATTATAAACTGCCCCAAACCCTCTTAAGAAGGAGGTGGCTAGTCCCCTGAGAGTGCGGCTCACTTTGGGGTGCAGGAAACCGAGGGAGCCTAGACCTGTTCCATTTCAAAGGCTCACTCTGGGGGCCTGAGTGAGGAATTGGCTACATGTGGTTGGGAGACATCAAAGGACCCAGGACCCCTGTGACCAGAGAAAAGGGGTCTAGGGCGCCTTCACACCAGGGTATTAGAAATGCTACGTTAAGGGCAATATGCAATAAACGGGGGACTGGCGCGGCAGGGTTCAGGCACTCTGAGTCGGGCTGAGGCTTCAGAGCCTGCCCCGCAAAGGCACGGCTGCAGAACGTGGCAAGCCTGCCGGGCCCTGCCTTTGTAACTGCGCCTCCCCTCCCCCTGTCTCACTGTTCCCATGCCGCGTTACTGTGAGATCCTGTGTGCTACTGTGTGCACAGCCCTCTGCAGTTCACAGTGGCCTTTCCACGTCCCTTTTCCGGTTGAATTCGCCTGACTGACAGGGAGGCGGGACAGGGCTGGTCTGCACGCTAGTGAAGCACTGGTGGCTGCAGGTCTTTGGGTCCCCATCCATGGCAACCCCCAGCTCCGTGGTCAGCTCCTCAGGCAGCTGATATCCTTGTCCAGTGTAGAAAAGCGGATCAGCTTCAGGCTGGGTGGCTGGGGCTTCCTGTCGTCCCAGAGGTACTCGGGGGACAGCACCTTGGACGGCTTGTTTGAGATGAAGTGACGGTTCAGGTGGCTTTCCTCCCGCCAGGCAGCCATGATGCCATTGGCCTTGTCCGCCAGGATGGCCATGTGGCAGCCCCTAGTAAACTCATATACCCTGGCCACCTGCCCCCCGAAGACTGCCCCACCATAATAGAAGTCCCCTTCGCTGTCTGCCACAAAGGCAGTGGAAACACGCCTGCGCTCATAGGGGAACTGCTGGCGGGGAACGGCGTAGTAGCTTGGGTGAATGGCAGCCACCAGGTCTCCCAAGGTCTCAGGGCCCCACGGGTTCCGAAACACCATGTCCACATCAAGGCAGAAGAGGTAGTCCACCTCCCGGTGAGCCCTCTTAGCAATGTGCTGGCTGATGGTCTCCATCCGGCGCATGGATGTCTCCTCCCAGTGGGAGTGACCCTGGATGGGGATGGAGCTGAGAAGCCGGTGGGGACCCAGCGGGACCCCGGGAACGGCTGCAGGGTTGTCAGTGAAGATGTAGTAGTGCACCCGGTACCCACGCATGAAGAACTCCTCGGCTGACTCCAGGAAGGACTGGATGAAATGAGTGTACCTAGTGATGATCACCCGGTCACCCACTGCTACACCAGCAGCCTGCCAGGGTCCCCACTGTGTGCTGGGGTCAGCCAGGCTGGGGTCCACTTACCAGCTCCCCATCTCAAGATGTCACTCTGCTCTGGCCCTCTGGGTCCTCATTTGTCCAATTCCCAAAATGCTAGTACCAGCCTCTTACGGCTGTTGTAAGCATGTTCCTGGTAGAGATTCTTATGCTCCTAGGCCAGGTGAACTTTTACTGAGCAATTTCTAAGTGCCCAGCGACGTTCTAAGAATTCTTATGATCTTTGATCTGCATAAGCATGCCCATTTTACAGGCAGGAACATTGAGGATCACAGAGAAGAAAGTAGTGAAGAAGCAGGTAAGTGGACGAATCAAGGGAAGGCAAGTTGAGCTAGATGCTGGGGGCATGGAGGGGGGTGTGGTTGACACAGCCCTGCCCCCAGGCCAAAACTCATTGGACAAGGGGGTCACCTGACCCTAGGTGGACCATTCATCATCTGGTCATGCTTTAGGGCCCCAGGAAGTTCCAGGAAGGAGTCCCAGAGGCCCAGAGGAAGGCTGCCAAGCGGCAGCTCCTAAAGGAAGGCCAGGTGGGGTCATGGGAGAGACAAGGGCAGAGGAGGGGTCTAGATGAAACAGGGAGGGGCAAGGGGGCCTCCTGACAAAGGCTCCTGCTGTCCCCTCACCTGGACTCTGCATCCTGTCTATGCTAGAGCCAGATCCCCTACTCCAGGAAGCTCCCATCCCACTATCACACCCTACACTGTACTTTCTATCTGCTTGGCACCTGGTTCCGAGCCTCCCGGGTGCCCAGCAGGGTCCTGTGTGCACGTCTGGTCTGGTCTCTTCCCAACTATAAACTCCTGTGGCTCAGGGAGACCTCCCTCCCCTTCCCCAGCCCACTACTCACTTCCCCACGGCAAACACCGTGACCCCAATGGTCAGGTTCAGTGGCTGGTAGATGTGCTGCAGAAGCTCTGGGTTGAAGGTTCCCTCGGAGACGATGGGCGCCAACCAGGGTGTGAGTGTCAGCAGCTGTGTGGGCCTGGCAGCAGGGGGGCCGTGGGCACTGAGACCCTCCCCTGTGAAAGCCTAAGTCTCATCCCAGCCCTGGCTCTCACACTGTGTGACCCGGGGCAGCTTCGTCCCCATCTCTGGGCCTCCCTTTCCTCATATGGAAAGTGGGGATAATGATAGCCACCTCCCAGCAGGGTTGGGAGTACCAGGAGTTAACGCACACCAAGGAGAAGCCTGGCATTATTCATATGTGCCAAGCCCCTAATAAATGAGGGTCATTAAAAAGGGCAAGACCACGTTGTTATGAACAATGGCCTGAGCACCTCCTGAGTGCAAGCACGGTGCAGATGTTACAATACCTCTCATCTGCTCCTCCAAACTCCAGTGAGCTAGGCACTACTATCCACCTGCACAGAAAAAGCTCAGAGCAGTTGGGTACGCTGCCCAGGGTCACACAGCCCAGGTCCCTGACTCCCAGCCCTGTGTCTTTCCACAGTCCCTAACTCTCTGGGCCCCAAGGCCACCCTGATGTTAGCACCTCCACTACCCCACCTTATAAATCAGAGCTCTTTTGTCCTTTTCCCCCGCCCCCATCAGGCCTCTCCATGACACCTACCTGTGCTCCAGCAGCTTGGGCTGAGGGTACTGTGACCTGCAACCAAGAAGGACCAGTGATGGAGGAGAGCCACCACCCTCACGGCCACAAAAGAGGAAATGCCAGTCTCCTTACCATACCACGGGCTGGAGTGGCTTCTCCCTCTTGTAGTGCAGCTTCATGTTGCTGGTGGCAGAGGCAAGAAAGAGCCATCATCATGGGTCTGGGGACAGAGACACTCAGCACAGGAAGAAGGAGGAGTCAGAGGCCCCTGCGGGTGGGCACCCAGGGTCCATGCAGGCTCCCTCTGACCTTCCCCCACAGCCCCACCCGACTCTACAGAGGAGCTGGGGACCCCTACAGAAGTGATCTGTCCAGGGTCACTGAGAGAGTAAGTGGCAGGGCAGTGATTCGAACCCAGTGCCGCTTGCTCCCAAGGCTGATGCTTTTCCAACCATGTCGCTCTCGTTGTCGGAAAGAAGATGTGAAAACCTGCAAAGGGCCAGGCGCGGTGGCTCACGCCTGTAATCCCAGCACTTTGGGAGGCGGAGGCGGGTGGATCACAAGGCCAGGAGTTCAAGACCAGCCTGGCCAAGATGGTGAAACCTCGTCTCTACTAAAAATACAAAAATTAGCTGGGCATGGTGGCGGGCGCCTGTAATCCCAGCTACTCGGGAGGCTGAGGCAGGAGAATTGCTTGAACCCAGGAGGCAGAGGTTGCAGTGAGCCGAGATCGCACCATTGCACTACAGCCTGTGTGACAGAGCAAGATTCCATCTCAAAAAAAAAAAGGAAGAAAAGCTGCAAAGGCCTGGTGACTGGGACCTCGGGTGAGCTAAGAGCTAATTAACCTGAGCCCACTGTAATGGTCAGTTGTAGGCAATCCTCCTGCCTTAGCCTCCTGAGTAGCTGGACCTGCCAGGCACTCATTACCACCCCCGGCTGATTTTTTAAAATTTTGTAGAGATGGGGTCTTACTATGTCGCCCAGGCTGGTCTGTGAAAGTATTTTGTAGATGTGATTAACATTCTATATCAGTTGATTTTACATAAAAGAGAGTATCCTAGACAACCTGGGTGGGACCGATCCAATTGGTTGAAAGGCCTTAAGAACAGAACTGGTGGCCAGCCCAGGTGGCTCACACCTGTAGTCCCAGCACTTTGGGGGCCCAACGCGGGCAAAGCGCTTGAGCCCAGTAGTTCAAGACCAGCCTGGGCAACATGGCAAGACCTCATCTCTACAAAAACAACAAAAATTAGCTGGGTATGGTGGTGTGCACCTGTGGTCCTGGCTACTTGGGAGGCTGAAGCAGGAGGATGGCTTGAGCCCAGGAGGTGGAGGCTGTAGTGAGCTGTAATCACACTACTGCACTCCAGCCTGGGCCACCCACAAAGTGAGACCCTGTCTCAAAAAAAAAAAAAAAAAAAAGAACTTCACCTGTGGGCTGTGGTGTCTGCTCCTATCTGAGTTTCAGCTGCTTAGCCAGCCTCACCATCACATAAGTCAATTTTCCTAGGTATGTTGGCCATCTGTCTACCTTCCTACCTCTTACTGGTTCTGTTTCTCTAGTGGAACACTGACTGCCATTTCTCTGCATCTGCAAAATGGGCAAAACCATCCTTAGCCTTAGCGATGTGGTGAGAGTTACACAAGGTGTGTGAGGGGCTCTTGACCATGTCCAGCATGGAGCAAGTGCTCAGTAAGGTGAGGGATCCTGGGCAAGTCTTGGCAGGCAGCCTCCATGGTCAGTTTCAAGGTCAAACTGGTTGGAGAAGAAAGAAGGGGGTCCATGAAGGAGGTGCCAGGGCTGTAGGGTCAGACCCCTGGGCTCACCTCTGGCTCTGCCACTAACTGGCCCAGGGACCTGGAGCCAGACAGTTGACCCTGTGAACTTTAGTTTCCTCATCCACAAAATGGGGACAATAAAACCATCCACTTAGAGTGTTTCCAGCAGGTGGAAGCGAGGTGCAGAGAAGGGAAAGACCGGCCGGGCGTGGTGGCTCATGCCTGTAATCCCAGCACTTTGGGAGGCCAAAGCGGGCAGATCACAAGGTCGAGAGATCGAGACCATCCTGGGCAACATGGTGAAACCCCATTTCTACTAAAAATACAAAAATTAGCTGGGCGTGGTGGTGGGCACCTGTAGTCCCAGCTACTTGGGAGGCTGAGGGAGGAGAATCGCTTGAACCCGGGAGGCTGAGGGTGCAGTGAGCCGAGATCCCGCCACTGCACTCCAGCCTGGCGACAGAGCAAGACTGCATCTCAAAAAAAAGGGAAAGGCCACCCAGCCAGCAGCAGCAACAAAAGGCCCGAGGCCGACTGTCCCCAGGCAGAAGCTCATAAGGATCCCACCCACTGATGACACAGTAGTCTGCCAGGTCCTTGTAAGTTTCTTTTCTTTCTTTCTTTTCTTTTTTGAGGTGGGGTCTATCTGTGTTGCCCAGGCTGGAGTGCAGTGGCACAATCTCGGCTAACTGCAGTCTTGACTGCCTGAGCTCAAGCGGTCCTCCCACACCAGCACCCTGAGGAGCTGAGACCACAGGTGCCCACCACCACACCCAGCTGTTTTTGTATTAATATTTTTTGTACAGACTGGGTTTCACCATGTTGCCCAGGCTGGTCTTGAACTCCTGAGCTCAAGTGATCTGCCTGTCTTGGCTTCCCAAAGTGCTGGGATTACAGGCATGAGCTGCCTTGCCTGGTCCCCTGTGAGTTTCAATACATCATGTATGATGGGGTGGCTGAAGCCTCCTTGAACTCTTCCACCTCTAGGCTATGCTCTTTTATTTGTGGTAAAGTATACAAAACACAAGATTTACTACTTTAGCCATCTTTAAGTGTACAATTCAGTGGCATTAGGTACATTCACATTGTCATGCAACCATCCAACATTTGTGTCCAGAACTTTTTCATCATCCCAAAAGGAAGCTCGGTCCTCATTAAACAACAGCTTGCCGTTGCCCCGCCCCCAGCCCCTGGGAACCATAATTCTACTTCTGCCTCTATGAACTTGAGTATGGAAAGTACTTCCTATAAGTGGAATAATAAAGTTTTTGTCCTTTTGTGATTAGTAGCTACTTTTTTTTTTCTTTTTTTAGATGGAGTCTCAGTAACCTTGTCATCCCAGCTGGAGTGCAGTGGTGTGATCTTGGCTCACTGTAACCTTAGCCTCCTGGGATCAAGTGATTCTCCTGCCTCAGCCTCCCAAGTAGCTGGGACTACAGGTGTGTGCCACCACACCCCGCCAATTTTTGTATTTTTATTAGAGATGGGGTTTCATCATGTTGGCCAGGCTGGTCTTGAACTCCTGAGCTCAAGTGATCCACCAGCCTCGGCCTCCCAAAGTGCTGGGATTACAGGCATAAGCCGCTACACCCAGCCAAGTTGCTACTCTTGAATCAACAATTTTTTAAAGTCAGTTCGTCAAATTGGCCCTCTGCCCTAGTTTCCTACAAGAAAGCATGTTTCAGGGCCCTGCTCAGAAAGCCCTGGGATTCCAAGAAGCGGTCAGGAGTTAGAAGGGGTACCAAACAGCCCAGCATTCTGTGCCTCCCTGGCAGCGAGCTCCTCTTTTCTCTCCACAAGCCCAGACACACTCCAGCTGCAGTGAAGAGTTACATACAAGAATACAAAAGCAGGCCGGTGTGGTGGCTCATGCCCGCAATCCCGGCAGGGGCGAGTTGGGACGACCCCTTGAGGCCAGGAGTTCCAGACCAGCCTGGGCAACATAGTGAGACCCTGTCTCTACAAACAAATAAAAAAAAATTAGCTAGGAGGTGTGGTGGTGAGTATCTGTGGTCCTAGCTACTCAGGAGGCTAAAGTGTGAGGATCACTTGAGCCCAGGAGGTCAAGGCTGTAGTGAGCTGTGATCGTGCCACTGCACTCCAGCCTGGGCAACAGAGCCAGACCTTATCTCCCTCCGCCACGCACACACACAAGATAGACAAACTGGAAAGAAAAAAAAAAGTTGTAGGTATACTTAGCCAAGAGTGATGATAGAGAACCCACAAACGGACCAAACAGAGAAGGTGGGGAAGAAGCACTTCACACAAGAAAAATTTCAATTAACGGGAAGACGTAGGGAAATGAGAGTCTCACTAGTAATAATAAAAAAAAAAAAAAATTAAGGCCAGGGGTGGTGGTTCACGCCTTTAATCCCAGCACTTTGGGAGGCCGATGAGGGGGCGAAGCCTGGCCGAAGGGGGCAAAGACCAACCTGGCCAACATGATGAAATGCTGTTTCTACTAAAAATACAAAAATTAGCGTGTGTGCCTGTAATCCCAGCTATTCAGGTGGCTGAGGCATGACAATTGCTTGAACCCGGGAGGTGGAGGTTGCAATGAGCTGAGATCACGCCACGGTACTCCAGCCTGGGTGGCAAAGCGAGACTCTGTCTCAATATAATAATAATAATAATAATAATAATAATAAATAAAATTTATACCAAAGAGGATAGCATTTTCCCTCTCCCAATCAGCAAGGTAGGTTCATTTTTGTTTTCATAACCTCTGGTATTCCCAGCAGTAGCCCAGGTGTACTACACGGTGGCTTTGCTGGGTACTGCTTGGGCAGGGCACATGAATGAGTGACTGATGTGCTGTGGTCCTTCTGGAAATAACCCAATGAGTTGGATCAGAACCTATCCACATCCTCCGGCCACTAAGGGAACATATCTGAACAAAATGATCTTTGAAATGGAGAAAGGGTTATGCTGCTCATCACAAACTAACTGAGAGCCCTGGGAAATTGGGAGCAACCTAAATCCCGAGAGCAATTGGTGGTGGGAAAGAGAGAGAGGCTCAAAAATTATGTGTCAGTCCCTGGGTGGAATAAGATGATGGTGACCGGACCGATGCAGTAGCTCATGCCTGTAATCTCAGCACTTTGGGAGGCTGAGGCAGGTGGAACACTTGAGGTCAGGAGTTTGAGACCAGCCTGGCCAACATGGTGAAACGCCATCTCAAATAAAAATACAAAAATTAGCCAGGTATGGTGGCGGGTGCCTGTAATCCCAGCTACTTGGGAGGCTGAGACAGGACAATCTCTTGAACTGGGGAGGTGGAGGTTGCTGTGAGCCAAGATCACGCCACTGCACTCCAGCCAGGGCGACAGAGTGAGACTCTGACTCAAGAAAAAAAAAAAAAAGACTCCTTAGTTGAGGAGGACTTTGGTCACATGTTCATTTGTTCCTTGAATCCATGGAACACAAAATTGAGCAACAAGGTCAAGTCCTAAAAGCACTGAACACAACCCCTGCTGGTCACCGGGAGCAACAGCAGGCTGTTTATGGGCATCTTTGCACTCTGTGTTCTCAGTGGCCAGACACAGCAAGCAAGGCTCACAGCTGTGCAACATGTGGACGGTCAGACCATGCAGGGGGCTGCAAGGATGCTGGAAGACCGAAATGGGAATTTCACTTCACGCTTGTCACAGCCCTTAAATTACATAAATACTATTGCATTTATCAGAAACATGAACTTAGGAATCAGGAACCGGCAGATGAAGTGAACTTAAATACTCTCCTGTCTCCCCAACTGTGAGCAGCCCTCAGGGCCCCCAGTTCTCCTAGCCACACCCATACTTACAAGATCTCTGGGCAGGGGAGATAATAGGGGACATAGGAGACTGGCAGCCAGTTCTCAAGATACACCCTGTGAATAAAAAAAAGAAAAAAAATCTGTTGATCCACTCTGCACCAGAGGCTGAAAACGCACCTCATGCACGTCATTGGGAGTGCAGGTCTCCCACAGTGCATTAGGAGGCCAGGTCCCCTGTCATTCTGTAGGTCTGGCTGACCTTGGAGGACAAAGCCTGCTGGTATTCCTGGCATGTGTCACAGGGCCTGCCATGCAGTCATTCATTCACCCATAGAGTCATTCATTCCTAGGGAGTGTATATTCTTGATGCCAGGCCCCCCACACAAACAGCAGGGTGAGGGGCAGCCCCAGGAGCTTCATGGAAGGACAGAAACAGAGGGTGAATTTGGGAGCGTGAACGGGGATTCCCCATCAACATTGGTTGAAGGATGATCCAGGCAGAGAAAAGAGCAAGTCAAAGGCCAGGAGGCCAGTACAAGGCAGAATTCAGAAGCCGGAGACACTAGTTGGGTCTTGTTGGGGCTGGGGTTGGAGAACAGGTGAGTCAGGAGGGGTTGGTGGGATCTGGAATCCTATGAGGAGATCAAGGTTTTGGGGTTGATCTGCAGAGACAGGGGGAGTCCTGGGTGGGGATAGAGACAGGGAGAGTCCTGGGTGGGGATAGAGACAGGGGAAGTCCTGGGTGGGGATAGAGACAGGGGGAGTCCTGGGTGGGGATAGAGACAGGGGGAG
The DNA here is from genome assembly GCF_000001405.40 of Homo sapiens. Lineage (NCBI taxonomy): Eukaryota > Metazoa > Chordata > Mammalia > Primates > Hominidae > Homo > Homo sapiens. Next base: position 133,162,211 of record NC_000009.12, read on the forward strand.
TCCTGGGTGGGGATAGAGACAGGGGGAGTCCTGGGTGGGGATAGAGACAGGGGGAGTCCTGGGTGGGGATAGAGACAGGGGGAGTCCTGGGTGGGGATAGAGACAGGGGGAGCTCCGTGGGGCAGACTCACCACAGGACACTGAGGCTTGTGCCCGCCAACAGGCAGAACCCCAGACCCAGGGCCAGTCTCCGGCGATGCATTGCTGGGGGCTGCACCTGAGCCTGGGCACTTGTAGAGACCCCCACTGGCCTGGGCGGATGAGGCTGTCCCCTCGCAGGGATGTCAGGCTCTGAGCCTGGTCTCTGAGGTCCCAGGAACACCTGCAAAGGAACACTTTTGTTGTTTTGAGATAGAGTTTCACTCTTGTCAACTGGGCTGGAGTGCAGTGGCGCAATCTCCATTCACTGCAACCTCTTCTCTTGGGTTCAAGCGATTCTCTTGTCTCAGCCTCCTGAGTAGCTGGGATTACAGGCACAAGCCACCATGCCCAGCTAATTTTTGTATTTTTAGTAGAGAAGAGGTTTCTCCATGTTGGTCAGGCTGGTGTCCTGACCTCAGGTGATCCACCCGCCTCGGCCTCCCAAAGTGCTGGGATGACAGGCTTGAGCCACTGCACCGGGCCAGGAATGCTCTTTATGGGGAGACGGTGACCCCAGCCCTGCAGCCCTGCCCTCCCTCGGTCACCCACTGCGGTCATGTGGACTCTAGGTCCCGCTGGACCCCGGGCTCAGCTCTGGCAGCTCTGGGAGGCGCACGGTGGCAGTGGCTCGGTGCTCAGCTGTTGCTTCCAGCTGTCCTTTGGGAGAGGGGCTGGGACCGACTTCGCAGAGGCCGCGAAGGCGGATCCCTGCCTTGGCTCCCGCGTCTCCGTACTAGGTCCATTGTCAGAGGTGAGCCGAGGCCGCCGGGAGGGGTGCATGGGCCAGTCCACCGTCCGCTGGAAATCAAGCACCGAGGCACAGCGAGGACACATGCAGTCCCAGCGCAGGATGCGCGGGAAGGGGCGCCCAGGATTCCCCGAGGGGAGCGAGGTGGCCGCTGTCCACCTCTCCGGGAGGCAGGGCCCGGGTTCTCCACGGAACGATGGGAACGCGCCTCAACTCGCTGGCTCGTTGACCTTGGGCCAGTCATCCCCTGCTCCCGGCCTCAGTGGATGGGGGGCGGCACGCGGCGCCCGGGGGGAGGACACGCGGGAACGGCTGTAAAACGCTGGGCGCAGCCCGGGCCACAGTGAGCGGAGAGCCGGGGTCCTGGGGATTAGGCCGCTGCCACTCGGGAGTGTCCGGCAAGCCCTCTCCCTCTCTCTTCCTCTGGGGCCTCAGTTTCCCCACTCGGGCCTCCAAGCCCCGTCTCGCCCCCGCCTCCCGCGAACGCAGAGCCCAGCCCCGAGCGCCGCCGGCCCCAGTCCGTGGTCGGGACCCGGGACCCTGGGTCCGAGATGCGCACCTCCTGGGCTCAGGGCCCTCCTCCTTGGCCCCTTGCGTGGCAGGGACTGGGTGGGGCCAAGGGAGCGCGACTGTCCCTACGGGGTGCAGACTTACTCCTTGCTGCCGGCCCGGCGTTAGGACGGTTGGAGGGGCGCCACCCCGGCGCGGAAAACGGACTCAGCTGGCCTGGGCCCCCGCGATACCCGGGCGATCGGCGGCGCAGGTGGAGCCTGGAGCAGGGCAGGCAGCGGGGCCGCGGGCCAGACAGAAAAGAGGAAGACAGACAGGAAAGAGGACAGAAAAGAGAAGCCAGACGGGAAAGAGGGCGCCGCAGCCCCGCCCACCTACCGCAGGCCCCGCCCCTGCGGTCCCAGAGCCCCTTCCCTGCGGCCTGGGAGCAGGATCCCGGGGGACCGAGCGCCTGAGCTGACCCCTGGGCCTGGCTTCCGCTAGCCGCCTAGAACTCTGCCTAGGATGCAGCAGGCCCAGCTCGGGGGGCCGAGAACCGCAGGTCCGGGGCCATGGTAGGGTGCGGGTGGAGAAATGAAGCGATTTGTGGGGAAAACCTTACCTTGTTTATAAGAGCTTTGAAGCAGTCACGGAAAGGGAGAACCAGCTGGACGCAGCTTGCTGTCCGGTTTAGGATCTGTCCTCCTTTGCTGGGGGCCTCTGAGCCAGGCGCCCCTACCCAGCGAGGGGACACAAGTGAGTGGCTCCCAGAATTACCCGGAGCCTCCGTGTTCTCTTCTGTGAAATGGGACTGGCCACACTTTCTTCCCACGGCCTGTCGGGGTTGCATTATCCCTTCCACGAAGGGCTACTCTTTTCCACCCCAGGGACTCTGGGACCCCAGGAGAGACCCTCTTGCAGCTCACCAGAGGTCCGCCAGTGCATGGGGTAGAAAGTTTTCGTAGCAGAAACCTCTCCTAGGAAGGGTGCGAGAGGGGAGGGACAGTAAGGCGAAATGAAGGGGCCCTAAGGGAAAATAAAAGAGAGAGTGACCCAAGGGGTGGGGGGTGGGACCCAGCCAGAGACGGGCTCAGAGAGGTTATGGGTGTGCTCCAGGTCACAGTGCAGCTGGAAGTTGGAAACCCAGCCCTGCCTGGTGCCTGGGCACAGCCTCCCAGGCCCCTCAGGGGTGTGATGATTACCTGTGTCCTTGGGGTTTCTCTAGAGCACCTTGGGGTTCCTGTAAGGCAGGGCCTGTTTTCTCAGTCTGCAGGAGCCTGGCACCGGCCCTGGGAGCTGGTGAGTGCTGTTCAAAAGGTCATGCTTCCACCTTTTCGCTGCAAACACTAGCTCCCTGGGACCTGGTCTGGGATCTGCTGATTCATTTTCCTTACTCAGTTTATGTTTGCAAAGTTCCCTGGTCTGCCTTCCAGACACTGATGCCTCTCTGGGAATTGTTTTCTAATACAGCTTTAAGGTGAGCAAGACAGGGCCGACCTAGCCCTATGGCTGTGCCTACTGGCTGCAGCCCTCCCTTGGCCCATCCAGCAGTCTCTCCATCCCTCCCCGCTGCACCCCCAGAGGAGAAAAAATGTGGCCTAAAGACAGCACTGGCCTGGAGGGGGCTGGGTGCAAAGGTGAAGAAAGACAAGAGAGACCTCCGTGACTTAAAAATATAATAATCAAAGGCAAGGGAGGTAAAAGGAAGATGGGAGAAGACACTGTAGGTGGATGTGGGCATCTTTCTCATCCGGGAGTTAAGTGGGCTGAAATAGGAATGTAGGCAGAGACTTGCAGTGTTCAAGGGAACCAGAAAGAACAAATCCAAGCCAGGCAGAGTGGGAGAAGAGCAGTGGGGAGAAGAGTCACTGCTAGCCTTCCAGTTCTGTCTCTCTCTGTCTCTGTTTTTCTGTCTGTCTCTCTCTATATGACTTAAAGAAAACTCTTATTAAATATTACTTAAGGCCGAGCATGGTGACTCAAGCCTGTAATCCCAGCACTTTGGGAGGCTAGGGTGAGAGGATCACGTGAGCCCAGGAGTTCAAGAGCAGCCTGGGTAACATAGCAAGCTATGAGGCTGGAGCAAGGGTGCCAGAGTGAGACTATGTCTCAAAAATAAGTAAATAAATAAAATTTATGTTTTACTTAATTTTTTTTTAATGGAGTCTCGCTCTGTCACCTGGGCTGGAGTGCAGTGGCGTGATCTTTTGAGATGGAGTCTTGCTCTGTCGCCCAGGCTGGACTGCAGTGGCACAATCTCGGCTCACTGCCTCCCAGTTCAACCTCTGCCTCCCAGTTCAAGCAATTCTCCTGCCTCAGCCTCCTGAGTAGCTGGGATTACAACATCTGGCTGATTTTTATATATTTTTAAGTAGAGACGGGGTTTCACCATGTTGGCGAGGCTGGTCTCGAACTCCTGACCTCAGGTGATCCACCCACCTCGGCCTCCCAAAGTGCTGGGATTACAGGTGTGAGCCACCGTGCCTGGCCTTACTTAACTATCTTTTGAGGAGGTGGTGGGCCACTGAAGCTGGGACCCAGATCGGCGCTTCCACTGCTAGCTGTGGGTGAGATGCTGTCCCTGCTTTTGCGCTGTGAGCTCTCAGGACAGGGATGGTGTCTGGGGTTCACTGTCATATTCCAGGTGTCTGCACACAACAGGGGTGCTGGATGCATGAATGAGTGAAGGAATGAATGAAACCAAGACTTCTTTGTGTCTCAGGTTCCTCCTCTGTCAAATAAGAGTACCTGCTTCAAGGGGCTGTTGGGAGGATGACACTGATTCATTCATCTATTTATTCAATAAATGTGAAGTGCCTCCTGTGCCTGAGGCTCTGTTCTAGAGGCTAAGAACACACGGTGAACAAGCACGTTCCCCGCCGGTGTGGAGCCCCCCCCACCCCGAGCAGGGTTTAAATGAGGAAAGACGGGTCTCAGGCACGTGGTCCAAGCTCAGCGAGGGCAGCGGCTGGGATCGGGAGGTCAGAGGGCAGCGGCTGGGATCGGGAGGTCACGGGCAAGTTCTTGTGCAGCAGCTCAGGGCCAGCCTGGGTGGGGTCGGCGGTGGAGGGGATGTAGGACTCTTGGTCCGAACTCCCAGGCTATCCAGTGTCCCTCTGTGACCATTCCCCTCACTGGGCCTCAGCTTTTCATCTGGAAAATGGGCTTGTGAGGACTCATCTCTCGGTTTCTCCATAAATTGGTCTTGATCTTCTGAAGCTGACAAAGAAGTGACCTGTCTTCCCACTGGTAATCCTGGAGGGCTGAGGTTTGCATTCATGAAGGGAATGGGGAAATGTCCTCTCGTAGGGGGCTGGCTAAAGTCCCCCTTCTGGTTAGCGGCAGAGCTGGGCTGAGACCCCTTGGCTCAGACAAGAGAGACCTCCATGACTTAAAAATATAATAATCAAAGGCAAGGGAGGCCCTTGGGCTCCCCACCATGCACAGACCCTCTGTAATTGATCCCCGGCTGGGCCTTACCTCTGGGATGCCAGAGAATGCTCCAGAGTGTTTCCCAGAAATAAGGGAGTTCATGGTCAAGTCTGGGAACTCAGGTGAGCAGGGGTGGCAGAACCCCCCAGACCTTTAATCTCTAAGGAGAGGTGGGGAGAGTCTGCAGAGCTTCCCTGGCCGTGGAGCTGGGGTGGAGGGACTGGGTGGGGTGGAGGCAGGCCCCATGGCCCCCCGTGTGGGCCTCACTCTCCTCACTTTAGGAGAAGCTTCTGTCTGGAACAAGAGCCAGTGCTCTCCTGAGTGGCCATCAGGCATCTCTGCAAAGCTCAGTTTGGACCCAGACATTGATTTTGGCTCCCCTTGGCCTTGGAACCTGGGGGTGGGCAGCAGCAGGAGGGTCCTGAGGACAGACCCCAAGTCTCAGCTCATCACCCAAGCTTCTGCCCCTGCTTTGCTGGCTGATCTTGGACAAAGCCTCAGTTTTTCCCACTATGCATTGCAGTGACAGCTTCCTTTAGTGCTTGTCAAGCTGGGCCTCTCAGAGGCCTAGGAATGGGGTGTCGGGGAGGAGGCTCCTGAAGTGTGTCTGTGTGTCTGGGTTGGGGGTAGGGAGTCCAGACCTCATCCCAGCTCCACCCTGAGCAGCTCTGTCCTGGGTTTGATACATTGGGGTTCTACATCTGTATTATCAGAACAATGTATCACTGCCCCAAAAAGGTGGGGTTTAAAGACTACAGGGCTGGGTGGACTCTGGGCCAGCCCTACTCCTCTGGGGCTCCCTTCACTGTGTTCCTCTTTGACCTGGTGTTTCAGGAGGACAAGTGCGTTCACATCCATACAGTTGGCCCACCCAGAACCCAGCGGCATCCAGGAGCCAGTCTCTGATCCAAGCCCATCATCCTGCACTAGCTAAGGCCTGGCCTGGATACAAGCAGAACCCACTGCACCCTGTCCCAGGGAAGCCAGTCCAAGCACTAACTGAAACCAGCCAGCTAGGCCCGGAGGAGGGATCCCAGGGCTGGTTCCTGGGCCCCCAGCACCTGGGAGAGGAGCTTCTTGGCTGTGCTGGAAGCCATACCTAGACCTTGACCCCAGGGATGCCCAGAAGAACACATGTTCAGCAGGCTCCCCTGAGAGCAGAAGGGGCCACGCTTCAGAAATGGTGGAAAGATGAAAATCCAGCCTCCGCCTGCATCAGGACAATGAAATAAGATAATGAGTTAGATAGCATATCTCACCTATGAAGTGTGCAGCCATTTCCCCCAAAGGTCCTTGAGTGGAAAACACACACATACACACACACACACACTCTCTCTCTCTCTCTCTCTCTCTCTCTCTCTCTCTCTCTCTCAAAGGGCTTTTTCTCTTCCCTCATTCAACAGTCAACACAGAAGACTTCTGTGGTCCAGCGTGTGGGGGTTTCCCACACACCAGGCAACAGACACCAGGAGGTAGCATCAGATCCCCCGGGTTGAGATCTCAGTCCCACAAGACTGCCCCCTCCCCCACTTCCCACTGACGCCATCACAAATCTGGGTTTCCAAGGAGAATCGCTTGAACCTGGGAGGCAGAGGTTGCAGTGAGCTGCGATCACACCATTGCACTCCAGCCGGGGTGATAGAGTGACTCCATCTCCAAAACAAACAAAAAAACAAACAAACAAATCTGGGCTTCCAGAGCTTCTGACTCACCAGCTGCAAACTGGAGTTCCCAGAGCCTCCTCTTTGGGTTCAATTAATTTGCTAGAGCAGCTCACAGAACTCAGGGAAACATGTTTACTGGTTTATTATAAAAGATACTACAAAGCATACAGATGAAGGGATGTGTAGGGCAAGGTATGGGGGAAGGGGTGCGAAGCCTCCAGCCCTCCCCGGACGCCCACCCTTTGGGAGCCTCTATGTGTTCAGCCATCCAGAAGCTCCCTAAACCCTGTCCTCTTGGGCCTTTTATGGAGGCTTCACTGGGTAATCGGATAGGCATGACTGAAGCATGGACAACTGTGTAGAAACATGGTTGGACAAAAAGGGCATGGTCTAGCATTAGCGCACAATCTAGCATTGGCGCACGGTCTAGCATTGGCGCACGGTCTAGCACTGGCGCACGGTCTAGCACTGGCGCACGGTCTAGCATTGGCGCACGGTCTAGCATTGGCGCACGGTCTAGCATTGGCCCACGGTCTAGCATTAGTGGAGGGGGAAACTCACAAGGCCTGTCTGTGCAGATTCTTCTTGGCCTCTCCCTACAGCATTCCTTCCTCCAGGGTCTGGGGTGGGACTCCTAAAATGGGGATCTTGTGACCTACAATTAGACAAGGTAGGTCAGAGAATTTATGGCCAGACAGAAAGGCAGGGGAAGATTCTTGCCTTGGGGAGAAAAAGGAGCAGGTGAAAGGAGGGCAGGAGAAGGTCAGAGAGAGAGAGACAGAGAGAGACATTCTGTTTTCTGAGGCCTGCTTCTGAGGCCTAAAACACCCCAACATTATAACAAGCACTATGGGAGTTATGAGCCAGGAATCATGGATGGAAATATATATATTTGGCATGATATCACACCCCTGAAGTTTGAAACCCTTGGATTGGCTGAGGGGGATGGACACTTTCCCCCTGGCAGTGGGAGAAGGGTCTGGACTCTCCTTCTGGAGGGTGAGTTGGCACTAAGACCCCAGCACACCCGCCCTTGGATTCAGTTTGTCTACTTCTAGAAAACAGGAAAGGTTTAGAGACACGAACAAAGGGTTCAAGTTCGAGGATAGTCATCTCTGCCCATCTCAGAGCCCCGAGTGGCACACTCGCCCCCCAGCCTTGAGCAGGGGGATCTGGTGTCCCTGGAGGAAGAAACACGCCCCGCAGCCATTAAAGGTGTTGCTGTTGGCCGGGCACGGTGGCTCACGCCTGTAATCCCAGCACTTTTGGAGGCCAAGGCGGGCAGATCACGAGGTCAGGAGTTTGAGACCAGCCTGGCCACATAGTGAAACCCCATCTCTACTAAAAATACAAAAAAAAAAAAAAAAATAGCCAGGCATGGTGGCATGTTCCTGTAGTCCCAGCTACTTGGGAGGCTGAGGCAGGAGACTCGCTTGAACTTGGGAGGCAGAGGTTGCAGTAAGCCGAGACTGCGCCACTGCACTCCAGCCTGGGCAACAGAGTGAGACTCCATCTCAAAAAAAAAAAAAAAAAAAATGCTGGTGTCAGATCAGACACGGTGGCTTACACCTGTAATCCCAGAACTTTGGGAGGCCAAGGCAGGTGGATCATTTGAGCCCAGGATTTCAAGACAAGCCTGGGTAACATCGGGAGACCCCATCTCTACAAAAAAATTAGCTGAGTGTGGTGGCATGCACCTGTGGTCCCAGCTACTTGGGAGGCAGAGGCAGGAGGATGGCTTCAGCCCAAGAAGTTGAGGCTGCAGTGAGCCATGATCGTGCCACTGCTCTCCAGCCTGGGCGACAGAGCAAGACCCTGTCTCAAAGAAAAAAAAAAAGCTGGTGTCAGACAGAGGTCAGCACACCCCTCACTGGACCATGAGCCGAGTTAATGGGGTAGACTGGGATTTTTTAAATTTATTTATTTTTGAGATGGAGTTTCACTCTTGTTGCCCAGGCTGGAGTGCAATGGTGTGATCTCAGCTCACTGGAACCTCCGCCTCCCAGGTTCAAGCAATTCTCTTGCCTCAGCTTCCCGAGTAGCTGGAATTACAGGCGCCCGCCACCACGCCCAGCTAACTTTTTGTATTTTTAGTAGAGATGGGGTTTCACCATGTTGGTCAGGCTGGTTTCAAACTCTGACCTCAGGAGATCCACCCACCTCGGCCTCCCAAAGTGCTGGACTTACAGGCGTAAGCCACTGCGCCTGGCCTGGATTTTAAACAAAATAGAAAACATTAGAGAGTGGCCTCCCAGGAAGGGCCAGGGTTTCGTGGACTGCTGGTCTCAGGTGTGTGCGTGTGGACACCGTCAGACATGAAGTGTTCTAGATGGGGGACAGGCCAGGTGTGGCAGGTGTGGGAGGGGGTTGGGGTAGCCCAGGACACCTGTACAGGAGAGGCCGCCTCCTGGCCTCTGACATCCTTGCTCAGGGCTCCCCGTTCCCAGGAGAGTGGGGAGCCTTGTCTTTGAGCCAGACAGACCTGGCTAAATCCCCAGCACTGCTACTTACTGGCCAGGAGGTGCTTCCATTTCCCACTTAGAGCATGGGGGAACCACGTTCTCCACCTCAGAGGCTTGGTTGCAGATGACACGGTTTGCGCTCCAGCCCCCGGCACACACTGATGGCAGCTGGTAGATGACTACACCTGCGTCTGGCCTGGCTGTACTAGGCAGCTCCCTCACCCAGCCCGCTGCTCCGAGCTTGACCAGGCACTACGGTTACCTCTCAGGCACCAGGTGCCCTCCCGGCTGAGCTTTCCTGGCCCGAGGAGGCTACTTACTCCAGCCTCTCACAAGGGGGGATGCGTGCGGAGACCCCAGGGAGGCAGAGAGGATGCAGCCCCTGGCTGTGCTGGGGTTTTTCTACTTACAAAGCTCCTGGTGCATTCGCTTCAGGCTCTGTGCCGAGGCAGCCCGAGCTGGGCAGGAACCACAGCTGCACCGCTCTCTGGCCGAGAGACTTTAGTCATGACCGTTTCCCTCTCTGAGCACCGGCTTCCTTGTTTAGAACAGAACAGGGATCCACGGTGAAGACCCCTGCTCCCAGGTGGGATAGCATCATGTACTTCAAACCCCATGGGAGCGTCCTCGTTTGCATGCCAGCACCAGCCAGCAGAGCAAGAGCATTAATGCCCCAGGGACGACCCTTTACCACAGAGATGGAGCCCATCCAGGTGGGACGCCGGGAGGCTGAGCCGAGACTGAGCCCAGGCACCCACCACAGAGCTCGCTCATCAGGGCCACTCTCCGGCTCCCCTCCTCCGGGCTCACCTTCCCATGTCCTCACTCAGGTGTCCTGGGATCATCTGCAACAAATGACATGTCCCCAAGTCCTTGTCTGCTTTCAGGGACCCAGACTCTGCCAGGGTTCCACACTGTCTGCAGGACTTGAGCAGGTGGTCTCTACCTTCTGGACTTGAGTGTCCTAATCTGTAAAATGGGGACAAAAGTCCTAACTCATGAAGTCACTAAAGGAGACACGGCATGTGCACATGCAAAGTGATGCACAGTCAAAATGCCAATCAATTGCAAAGGGAAATGCAAATCGTGGGAAGAAACCGGAGCTCGCCTGGCTGAGGAAGGGCTGCTGGCAGCCTGTCCAGACACAGCAAGCCACTGCCAAGGGAGACCCTGGCGGAGTCAGATCACTTAGCAATGGAAGAAGAGACAACTGACAAAAAAGATAATGTGACAGACGGTTTCAAAGAGAACAATTTAAGCACTAGAAGATTTACGAACCCTTAGGAAAATTAATGAGGCCCTAGAAGATTTCTGCTGATACGCTATAATTTTGTCGTAAAAATTGTGTCACACGTACCTAATCTACTGTGGACTTATTTATTCATTGTTGTTTCTAAAACTCAGTGTATACTTGCTATTATAGCTTCCTTTTCTGGGGGAGGGGGGTTGGGACAGAGTTTTTCTCTGTCACCCAGGCTGGAGTGCAGTGGCATGATCTCAGCTCACTGCAACCTCTGCCTGTCAGGTTCAAGCGATTCTCAGCCTCAGTCTCCCCAGTAGCTGGGATTACAGGTGCCCACCACCACGCCCAGCTAATTTTTGTATTTTCAGTAGGGACGGAGTTTCTCCATATTGGCCAGGCTGGTCTCAAACTCCTGACCTCAGGTCATCCGCCCGCCACAGCCTCCCAAAGTGCTGCGATTACATGCGTGAGCCACTGCACTGGGCCACATTTTGTTAAATATACATTTGGCTGGACATGGTGGCTCACACTTGTAATCCCAGCACTTTGGGAGGCCGAAGTGAGCAGATTCCTTGAAGCCAGGAGTTCAAGACCAGCCTGGGCAACATGGAGAAACCCCGTTTCTACAAAAAATACAAAAATACAAAAATTAACTGGGTGTGGTGGTGTGTGCCTGTAGTCCCAGCTACTTGGGAGTCTAAGGTGGGAGGATTGCTTGAGCCAGGGAGGGAGAGAATGCAGTGAGATTGCACCATTGCACTTCAGCCTGGACAACAGAGTGAGACCCTGTCTTAAAGCAAACAAGCAAACAAAAAAGGCTACATTTATTTTTCATATTTTTATTTCATTTTTCAAGATCAAGTGCCAAGTAGGCCTTTTCTCCATTATTTCTTTCAAATACAGGACTCTCTTTTAATAAAATGGCCAATTCCCGGTGCTCATCATCCCTGCTAACCCCATGGACCGTCCCTGCACGTCACAGAGTGGGCGTGAGCTCCACGTGGGGAGTGACCTCATCGGATCACGCTCACTGAGGCACACAGCTGGGCACACAGCAGGACCAGAGAATATTTGCTGAATGAGTGAATGCATCAGGAAGCTATGGTGCTGGTGTTACCAGCTGTTAAAACTTCAGACAAGTTAAATTTGATGGAGTTTAATTGGAAAAAAATAAAAAAGAAATGATTCACAAATCGGGCAGCCTCCAGAATCACAGCAGATTCAGAGACTCTGGGGGTTCCTCGTGGTCAGAACAAATTTATAGACAAAAAAGTAAAGTGATGTACAGGAATTGGAAATGAAGTACAGAAACAGAGATTGGTTGCATCTCGGCGTTTGCCTTAGTTGAACACAGTTTAAACACTCAGCAGTCTATGAGTGGTTGAAGTATGGCCGCTGGGATTGGCCAACACTCAGCCATTGTTATAGGTGCATACTACTAAGTTGGGTTTTCCATCTTGTCTGCCTATTAAGCCAGCTTATGGTTCATCCACAAGGACTCAAATAGAGAGGTAGGGAGTCCCTTCTTAGGCCATATTTAGTTTGCTTTAACAATTCCCCTCTTTTGGTCAGCCTCTCAATTTAGAGAGATTGACCGAAGCTTTAGGCATTGATGCCACTCTCTGTCACCATCCTAAAGACTTATTTGGTCTCAGTGTGGAATTCACAAGTCTTCTTTAGTTTCAGTATGGAGTCTCACACATCTTCTTTGGTGTTAACATGGAATTCACAAGTTGCAGCTTTGTACCAGCTAAATGATTCTTTATGTTCTTTTTGACCTGGTTGGAATGAGACCATTCAACTCTCAATGGATGGCTGCATACAAAACATTTAAGACTTGAGAGGATACAGTGTATCAGGGTGACGATTATTATGACTATCAAGAGGATACTATCAAAATGCCAAGGCGTACTCCTTAATGAGAGTTCTTATGAAATGAACCGAACCAAATTAGCCAAGTGAAGGTTCAGACAATATAGGCAGTTCAACAGTGTTAGGGTCCAATTGGTCATTATCCTCGTTTAGAGTATGATAGCGATTAAGGACCATGGTTTGCTGTAAAGTGGCCTGACTTAAACAGTTACTCATTTTCATTGTTACATTGGTAATACAAGTCATAATAACTTGGAAACCTACTAGAAGAATTATAAGGATTAGAAGCCCTTGGAAAACCCAAGCTTGCCATCCACCCTTAGGATGCCTGCAAACCGTTAGTTGCCTATTGTAAACATGTCATGGGCTCCTTTCTCTTGAGAGATGTCTTTAATGTATTTGGTGGCAGTGTCTAAGGAAACAGCAGTATCAGCACCTTTTAAATTAAGCTTCCTGTAATAACAAAATCAGGTAAGAGATAAGTAGTACAACATTCAGTTTTGTTTAACACCAAACCTAGGCTTCCAGCTTGAGCAAAAAGATCTGAGGTTGCACGATGTTCCAGTAAGTGTTTTTGCTGAATTCACGTGTTGTCATCTATCTTTTTTTTTTTTGAGATGGAGTCTCACTCTGTTGCCCAGGCTGGAGTGCAATGGCATTATCTTGGCTCACTGCAACCACCGCCTCCTGGGTTCAAGCGATTCTACTGCCTCAGCCTCCCAAGTAGCTGGGATTACAGGCATGAGCCACCATGCCTGGCTAATTTTTGTATTTTTAGTAGAGATGGGGTTTCACCATGTTGGCCAGGCTGGTCTCAAACTTCTGACCTCAAGAGATCTGCCCGCCTTGGCCTCCCAAATGCCGGGATTACAGGCGTGAGCCACCATGCCCAGCCCTGTCATCTATCTTTCTGAGAGCAGCTTCTACCCATCTGAAACCCTGGGAGGTCTGATTGATTACAAAATCCAAGATTTTTCCCAATTTACAAATTAGCTTTAAATTCCATACAACTGCTATCTCACTACCACCAAGAGTGCACCCCCAGGAATCCCACTGGAATCTTTCCTCAGTAGAAACGAGCTTATCCTCAAATATTTCAAGGCTAGTGCTAATTTCAGTTATTGATCATTTTGGCCTCCAATCATAAGGGCCATCATGAGAATTTTCAGGGGAAGCTATTTGAAAGGCAGGAGCAAGCCAGGCCACATAACAAGAACCCAACCAATGAGGAGGCAGAACAGGATACGCAGACTCTTCACAGACCCAGTATAGACCCTTGGGGATTGGAAAAGAGGGCCACCTAGTTGCATTTGAGCAGAGATCAGTCAGGTTTGTTCGACCACAAATCTGCATACCTCCTGAACAACGTCCAGTGGGAAATTTACTTTTCTGTGGCCCCTTTATAGCATGTTGTAAGGGTATATAACCATATCTAGTAAAAAAGAGACCCTACTGGATTTAATCCAGTTACATTATACAAGCAATCACTTGTATCAACATAAGTAATTCCCAAATCTTGAGTGCGTGATGTCTGGAAGCACAATGTATCTTTTGCTGGCATCACTTGGATTTTTTTTTTTGAGACGAAGTTTCGCTCTTGTTGCCCAGGCTGGAGTGGAGTGTAATGGCACGATCTTGGCTCACTGCAACCTCTGCCTCCCAGGTTCAAGTGATTCTCCTACCTCAGCCTCCCCAGTAGCTGGGATTATAGGCGCCTACCACCATGCCTGGCTAATTTTTGTATTTTTAGTAGAGATGGGGTTTTACCATGTTGGCCAGGCTGGTCTCAAACTCCTGACCTCAGTTGATCCACCTGCCTCAGCCTCCCAAAGTGCTGGGATTACAGACATGAGCCACTGCACCCAGCCTTGGATTGTTTTTTTATATTTGGTAATGATCGACTTATCAATTGAAAAAGTTAGAGTGTTGTTTTTAGTGAGTGTAGGAAGCAAGTAGCAGTGATGTTTAGCATATCAAGAATAACTTTCTGTTCTTCCCTTAGTTTCAGGTAGCTCTCGCTGGGAACGCGGAGGGGCACTGGCACCAGTGGAATCATTTCCTGATTTTTTTTTGGCATTAGCCCACAAACCCAACAATTACTCTGGTTTTGTGCTAGAGCATAAACTTGAGCTAAAGCCATCCACTGATTATGGTGCCATGGGTTTGCCTGTAGGGAAAAGGACAAGATTAGGGCAGAAGATGAGGAAAACAGAAAAACACATAAGGCTTTCCTGATGATAGAGAAGTCTTGGTCCATGATCTTGGGAAAGCTGTCCAAAACTAGGATGCTGTCTGCTTCTGAAGAGAGATTTCCTTGGTCAGCTTTACTTTAAAGTCTCCAACAGGTGTACAGTTCCAGGACTCTGAAGGGGCCCCTTTTTGTTTTTTTGAGACGGAGTCTTGCTCTGTTGCCCAGGCTGGAGTGCAGTGGCGCGATCTCGGCTCACTGCAAGCTCTGCCTCCCGGGTTCACACCATTCTCCTGCCTCAGTCTCCCGAGTAGCTGGTACTACAGGTGCCTGCCACCACGCCCGGCTAATTTTTTTGTATTTTTTAGTAGAGAGGGGGTTTCACCATGTTAGCCAAGATGGTCTCGATCTCCTGACCTTGTGATCCACCCACCTCGGCCTCCCGAAGGGCTGGGATTACAGACGTGAGCCACCACGCCCGGCCAAAAACATGCAAACTATTACAAGAACATACTGATACCCCATTGCGCGTCACAACTAAATTAAGTCCATCTGTAAATGCTCAAATTGTTCATCAGGTGGTGGAAATATATGACCTGAAGTTTTGATTGTTTTTCCAGGATTATGAGTTTGACAAGTCAAACATTGATTATAAACCATTTTAGCAATTTTGGAACAGTCACCCGACCAGTATTTTTTCATAATTTGGATCATTTTGTCTGTTCCATGATGAGCGGTGGAGTGCAGCGTTTTCAACAATGGAAGCTTCAAAGACTCAGGAAGGACCAGGCGGCCGTCTGGGCCCTCCGTGAGTCTGTGCATCACATTAAATTTACATCCTTTTAGATACCAATTTTGCTTTTCCAAATCAGGTGCACTGCACTGTTTACTAAGCAGGTCATCATAAGGAAGTGGGCTCGGCTTAATCCAATGGAGTTCATTCAGATTGCATTTCTTAACAGTTTCAGCACTAGCTGATTTAGCATAAAAATTTGCTAAAGCATTTCCCTGATATTTGGGTTCAGTTCTACAAGTATGAGCTTCAATCTTAGTAACAACAGTCTACAATGGTAACAGGATAGCAGAAAGGGGCTCATTTACTTGGGGTCTATTTTTGATGGAGGTCCCACTAGAGGTGAGAAACCCTCATAGTTTCCATATCACGCCAAAATCATGTACTACTCCGAAAGCATATCTACTAGCTGTATAAATATTTACTGACTTGTCCTCAGCTATATGACAAACTTGGGTAAGGACAAAAAGCTCTGCAGTTCGGGCTGACTTAAATTGAGGAAGCGTTTCCTTCTCTATTCACTCATTTTGGATGGTAACAGCATATTCTGCCTGGTATTTTCCTTCTGAGATTTTAGGATAGGACCTATCAACAAAAAGTATAAATCCAGGATTATCCACTGGAGTATCTTGTAAATCAACATGAGGGGCCACTATTTCTGGCACTACATTTACACAGTTGTGTTCTTCACCATCGTCAGGCAAAGGTAACAGAGTAGCAGGGTTAAGTAGATTACAGCATTTTAAATGAAGATTAGGAGATAGCAGTAATTCATAAAATGTTAGTTTACTTACTGAAAAATGCTGGGTTTGGTTGGAATTTAACAGACTTTCCACAGCATGTGAGGTTTGCAAATTAAGTTCGCTTCCTAAAACCAGATCTGATGAAGCTTCTACCAGCTTGGCAGCTGCTGCTACTGCTTTTAAACAGTTAGAATATGCCTTAGAGTCTGGGCCTAATTGCAGGCTATCGTATGCAATGGACCTATGTTTAGCACCACGTTCTTGTGTAAGGACTCCTAATGCCTGATTGTCACACTCATGAACAAACAAGGTGAAAGGCTTAGGGTAATTTGGAAGTCCTAAAGCTGGGGGCTGTTGTAAGGCCAACTTCATTTGGCTAAAAGCCTGCTCATGACTATCTTCCCAAGGTAAAGGCTCTGGTACAGCATTTTTAGTGAGTTCATACAATGGCGAACCTATTAAGGAAAAATTTGGAACCCAGGATCTGCAATATCCTGTAAGTCCAAGAAATCCTCTTAATTGTCTTTTGGTTTCAGGTCAAGGAAAACTTTGAACAGTTTTTATCCTCCCAGGTGAGAGGAAATCCCTTTGGCAGTCAAGTCATGTCCCAAATAGTGGAATTTTTCTTTTGAAAACTGAAGTTTTTCCATTTAAGCCTTGTGATCTTTATATGCAAGTTGTTGTAAAAGGTAAACTGAGTCAATTTCAGAGCACTCCTTAGTGGGAGAACAATAAGTCATCTACATACTGAATGAGAGTACAATTTTGAGGAAATTGTAGTGTTATTAAGTCCTGATGCAATGCCTGGGAAAAATATGAAGTGGCTTTGGTAAACCCTAGTGGCTTTACAGCCCAGGTGTATTGCCTATTTTTCCAAGTAAAGGCAAACAAGTATTGACTTTTTTTTTTCTTTGGAGACAGAGTTTCGCTGCTGTCGCCCAGGCTGGAATGCAATGGCATGGTCTTGGCTCATTGCAACCTCTGCCTCCTGGGTTCAAGCGATTCTCCTGTCTCAGCCTCCTGAGTAGCTGGGATTACTTACAGGTGCCCGCCACCATGCCTGACTACTTTTTGTATTTTTAGTAGAGATGGGGGTTTCACCATGTTGGTCAGGCTGTCTTGAGCTCCTGGCCTCAGGTGATTCACCTGCCTCGGCCTTCCAAAGTGCTGGGATTACAGGCGTGAGCCACCAAACTTTCTTTATGAACTGGAATGCTAAAGAAGGCTAAGCAGAGATCTATTACTGTGGACCACTTGGAACTAATTGGTACATTAGATAATAAAGTATCAGGATTTGGAACTACAGGAATCTTGGTATTACAATTTTATTAAATGCCCGTAAATCTTAAACAAATCTCCAGCCTTGTCCATTTGGTTTTTTAACTGGTAGTACTGGACTGTTACAAGGGCTGGTGCACGGGATTATGAGTCCTTGTTTAATGAAATCCTCTACAATTGGTGACAGCCCTTGAATTGCTTCAGGTTTTAGAGGATATTGGGGTAATTTAGGCAAAGGTTTAGAACGATCTCTTTGTACTTTTATAGGTTCCAAACTTTTAATTCTTACCATATCAGTTGGGGAAGAGGCCCAAAAACATTTAGATATTTTTGAAAGATCAGGGGTATTACAGGCCTGAGTTTCAATCTTATAGATTTCTGTCTGTAGACAGCATAACAATTCTAGTCCAGGAGAATCAGGAAACTCTAAGGTTATTTCTCCTGAGAAAAATTTTATGTGCCCTTTTAGCTTTGAAAGCAAATCTCGCCCTAACAAGTTTACTGGAGCAGTATAACATAGTAAAAAAGTGTTTTTCTGAAAAGGGGCCCAAAGCTAATTGGATTGGTTCAGATACGGGAACCTCTTAAACTTGATTTGAAACCCCCACCACAGAAATGACCTTTTTACTCCAAGGGATTTGTTGGCTTATTAAAGTGGGGTTTATGGTAGATAGAGTAGCCCCCATATCCCCGAGGACTGTACACAACTCCCCATTTATTTTAACCTGTTTCTCCACGTTGATTTAAAGGCACGGAGAGCAATCTACTGGAGAATCCCTTGGAACCTCATCAAGGTTGATTATTATCAGGAGGCCTAAGGTCTCTTGGGCTCCCTCTAGTGGTGAAACAGTTTGGCCGAAAGGGAGGCTCATTGGTGGACTGATAGAAAAGCGGACAATCCCTTTTCCAGTGCCCTGGTTGTTTGCAATACAGGCAGACATCTTGGGGCAAAGAACTTCTTGTTCTAGGACCTCCTGATTGTGATTTAAAATGAGAAGGAGGCAGAGCGCAGTGGCTCACGCCTGTAATCCCAGCAATTTGGGAGGCCAAGGCGGGCGGATCTTTTGAGGTCAGGAGTTCGAGACCAGCCTGGCCAACATGGTGAAAAGCTGTCTCTACTAAAAATGCAAAAATTAGCCGGGCACGGTGGCACGCACCTGTAATCCCAGCTACCTGGGAGGCTGAGGCATGAGAATCGCTTGAACGTGGGAGGTGGAGGTTGCAGTGAGCCGAGATCTCACCACTGCACTCCAGCCTGGGTGACAGAGTGAAACTCCGTCTCTAAATAAATACATAAAATGATTAATCCCTTGGGTCCCGGTCCCTGTAACTGTTATAGCTGAAGGGCCATAAGCTTGTTAGCCTTTTGAGTTTTTTCTTGCTCTAGAGTCCTCTCAAAATGTCCAGCTAAGGCCAACAATTTAGTCATATCTGTAACTTCCTATCCCAACTCATGTATTTTAATTAAATTGCTGAGTTCGGGATGGAGTCCATTTACAAATAGAGCACTTAATGCCGTTTCAGTCCTTGCAGGAAATACTTCTTGTTGTACTTGGATCCCAGAATGTTTCACAAACAGCATTTCTAAGTGAGTTCTGTAATCTGAAACTGAAATCTTTTTTTTTGTTATGTTTACAAGATTGTATGATGGACCAGTCCATTTTTTGCGGAAAAATTTTAGGAATTGAATTTAAAAGGTTTTCAGCAATTTTTCCAGCGACTTTTGGTCCTTCTTGTGAGGAGCTTTTGGAGGGGTCTTTAACATCCTCCTCAGGTTTGCCCCATTCTGCTGCTGCCGTCCATTTCCGAGCTTTACCAGGCCCCAATATCACGGGAATACATTAGTGAAGGTCAGGAAGTCCTGGATCATAAGCTCCTATGAGGATTCTAAATTCCTCAGTAAATTTTTGAGGATTTTCTCTTGGATCAGGCAAGTCCCTCACAATGGCTCTAAGCTCAGTTTTAGACCATGGAGTGAAAGTAGTTACAGCAGGCAGGCATGACTGATCAGAAAGTCTCACTTTGTAAGGTGCCTGTCTAACTTATTATTATTTTTTTAATCGTCTTCAGGGTGAAAGGGTAATATATACATATTTTTTATTTTTTATTTTTTTGAGACAGGGTCTCACTCTGTCACCCAAGCTGGAGTGCAGTGGTATGATCTCGGCTCACTGCAACCTCTGCCTCCTGGGTTCAAGCAATTCTCCTGCCTCAGCCTCCCGAGTGGCTGGGATTACAGGCACGCAGCACCACGCCCAGCTAATTTTGTATTTTTAGTAGAGACGAGGTTTCACCATATTGGCCAGGCTGGTCTCAAACTCCTGATCTCAGGTGATCCACCCACCTCGGCCTCCCAAAGTGCTGGGATTATAGGCATGAGCCACCAAGCCTGGCCTGAAAGGGTAATTTAGCAAAAAGGTTAGTGGACTCAGAGTATGTAGGTAGAGAAGGATAAAGAGAAGGAACAGTCAGGATGAGGTCAGTCACAGTACAGTCCTCTTTCATCATGTCGTTAGTTTGTTGCTTAAGCTTTTCGTTTGCTTTTTGCAAAGAATCTTTTAAGGAGTCAATTTTTGATTCATTTACTCTTTTAGGGGCTTCTGCATACCAATAAAAGAATACACATCCCACTGTTTTATGGGGTTTTTCATTCCCCCTTTTCTAATATGCCTCATAAATAAACAATTTTATCCAAATTAAAACTTCCCCATTGCAGCCATCTTAATTCTAAGTTTTCTTTAGTTAGGTTAACCCATTTTTCTAAAAATGCACAAGTTCTGGGCCCATAATTTTTATGCATAAAATTAGCTGGAGTCCCAGAATGTGGAGTCCCAGACTCCTTGGATTGAGAGGGTTGCATCTGAGCTGGTTCCAGCCTTGGAGTAGGGGCTGCTGCTGGTCCCAGGCTCCATGCTGGGGGCCTGGTGGCCAGATGGAAGGTTCAGCTTTGCAGCGGTCACACCTGCTGGGTGAATGGGTGTTCTAAGGGTGCTCGTTGGCACAGGTGGCTGTGACTCATATCTGGGAAAGTGTGAGGGAAGCGCACAGAGGGCAGCCGTCCCTTTGGTGTCAGGGCTCCGTCCCCATGGGCAGTGCTCCTTGGAAAAAGTCAGCTACTCCTTTGGATCCTGGGGAGCAAAAGGCACCTAAGGCAGTGAGTAGTCCACAGAGGCCAGGTCAGCCTGGTGACCAGGAGGTGTCCTGCCCAGCAGCAGGACAGGTTCTGTGTGAAACTGGAATCTGGAGGTGGCCTGGGCTGACAGGTGGGTGGAGGGTGTCTGGATGGCTTTGTCCACTCCCGTCTGTAAGTGCTTAGCCACTCTGCAGGTGAGACCCTAGGAAGGGAAGCCCTGGTTGGTGCCAGGGGTTGATTAGAAGATGCCCTTGCAGGCATGGTGGCTCATGCTTGTAATCCCAGCACTGTGGGAGGCTGAGGCAGAAGGACTGCTTGAGCTCAGGAGTTCAAGACCAGCTTGGGCAAGATGGTGAAACCCTGTCTCTATAAAAAATTTAAAAAATTAGCATGTGCTTGTGGTCCCAGCTACTTGAGAGGCTGAGGTGGCAGGATAGCTTGAGTCCATGAGATCAAGGCTGCAGTGAGCCAAGATGGCACCACTGTACTCCAGCCTGGGTCACAGAGTGAGACCCTGTCGTAAAGCAAACAAACAAACAAACAAACAAAAAACCCCCCCAACCCCATAAAGTTAGCAGATGGAAGGAAATAATAAAGATTAGAGCAGAGATAAATGGGATAGAGGAGAGAGGAGCACTAGAGGAAATCAGTGAAAACATGTTCCTTCCATGAAAGGTTAACAAAATTGAGAAACCTTTAGCTAGTTGACTAAGAAAAAAAGAGATAAGACTCAAATTACTAAAATCAGAAATGACAGGGTGACATCACCAATGACCCCACGGAAATAAAAAGGATTTATAAAGAGAATGCTAGGAACAATTGTAGGCCAACTAGTTGGTTAACGTAAATGAAATGGACACATTCCTAGAAACATACAAACTACCACACCTGAGTCAAGAAATGGAAAATCTAAACAGACCTGTCAGAGTGAGGAGATTGAGTCAGTGATCAGAAACTTTCCCACAAAGAAAAGCCCAGAACCAGGTGACTTCACTGGCGTATCCTCCCAGACATTTAACATGTAACACCAATCCTTCTCAGACTTCTCAAAATCTTCAATATGATACACCGTCTCCCTAGAATGAAGGGAAAAACCCATCATCCCAATTCACGCAGAAAAAGCATTTGACAAAATCCAACACTGTCATGATAAGAGCACTCAATAAAAGAGAAATAGAAGGGAACTTCCTCAACAGGATTAAGAGTACTTACGAAAAACTCACACCTACTGTGACTCGGTGGTGAAAGGCTGAGAGCTCTCTGCCTCAGATGAAGAACGAGACAAGGATGCCTGCTTTCACCACTTCACTCCAACATCGTGATGGAAGTTTGACCAGAGCAATTAGGCAAGACAAAGAAATAAAGGCACTGAAATTGGAAAGAAAGAAGTAAAAGTATCTCTGTTTTTTGTTTTGTTTTGTTTTGTTTTTTGAGATGGAGTCTCGCCCTGTCGCCCAGGCTGGAGTGCAGTGGCGCAATCTCGGCTCACTGCAACCTCTGCCTCCCAGGTTCAAGTGACTCTCCTGCCTCAGTCTCCCGAGTAGCTGGGATTACAGATGCGCACCACCACGCCCAGCTAATTTTTGTATTGTTAGTAGAGACGGGGTTTCACCATGTTGGCCAGGCTGGTCTTGAACTCCTGACCTTGTGGTCCACCCGCCTCGGCCTCCCAAAGTGTTGGGATTACAGGCATGAGCCACTGCGCCTGGCCAAGTATCTCTGTTTATTGATGACATGAACTTATGTGTAGAAAATTCTATGGAATAAAAATAATCTTAGAGTTAATGAACAATTTCAGCAAAGTTGCAGCAGAGATGAGGAATACACATACAGATCAGTGGAATACAGTTGAGAATCAGGAGATAAATCCATACATGTATGTCAATTGATTTTCAACATGGCTATCAGGATCATTCAGTGAGGCAGAAACAGTCTCTTCCACAAATGGTGCCAGCAGAACTGGATATCCTCAGGCAAAAGAGGGAAGTTGGAGCCTTACCTAATACCATATAAAATATTGACTTAAAAGGAATTAAAGACCTAAATTTGAGAAATGAAACTTTAACACTCGGCCGGGTGTGGTGGCTCATGCCTGTAATCTTAGCACTTTGGGAGGCTGAGGCGTGTGGAACGCCTGTGGCCAGGAGTTCGAGACCAGCCTGGCCAACATGGCAAAATCTGTCTCTATTAAAAATACAAAAAAAAAAAAAAAAACCAGACATGGTGGCACATGCCTGTAATCCCAGCTACTCGGGTGGCTGAGGCACGAGAATTGTTTGAACACCGGAGGCGGAGGCTGCAGTGAGCCGAGGTCACGCCACTGCACTCACTCCAGCCTAGGCAGGGGGAAGAAAAATGACACTCTTAGAGAAAAGAGCAAATCTCTATGCCCTTTGATTTGGAAATGGTTTCTTAAATATACAAAAAGCACAAACAACAGAAGAAAAAAAACAGGTAAATTGGACTTCATTGAAATTAAAACCCCTTAAGTACACCCTGAAAAGAATGAAAAGCAAACCCACAGGATGGTAGAAAATATTTGCAAATTATAAATCTGACAACGGTTTTATATCCAGAATATATACAGACTTTTTACTGCTCGACATCAAAACACAAATAACCTAATTAAAAATGGGTAAAAGACTTGCAGAGACATTTCTTCAAAGCAGATGTACAAGTAAGTGGCCAGTAGCACAGGAAAAGATGATTCGCATCCCGAGGTGTTGGAGAAATGTAAACCAAAACCACAGTGAGATCCCACTCCACACCCACTAGGTGGCCACATTTTACAAAATGAGAGTAACGACGGCTGGAGAGGATGTTGAGGAAACCGAAGCCTCATATTTTGCTGGAGTAAGTGTAAAATGGTGTAGTGGCTGGAAAGCAGTTTGGCAGTTCCCCAGAAAATTCAGCATAGTGCTACCATTTGACTCCGTGATTTCTTTTTTTTTTTTTTTTTTTTTTTTTTGAGACGGAGTCTCGCTCTGTCGCCCAGGCTGGAGTGCAGTGGCGGGATCTCGGCTCACTGCAAGCTCCGCCTCCCGGGTTCACGCCATTCTCCTGCCTCAGCCTCCCGAGTAGCTGGGACTACAGGCGCCCGCCACTACGCCCGGCTAATTTTTTGTATTTTTAGTAGAGACGGGGTTTCACCGTTTTAGCCGGGATGGTCTCGATCTCCTGACCTCGTGATCCGCCCGCCTCGGCCTCCCAAAGTGCTGGGATTACAGGCGTGAGCCACCGCGCCCGGCCCCGTGATTTCTTTCCTAGGTATATACCCAAAAGAATTGAATACAAGCTGGGTGTGGTGGCTCATGCCTATAATGCCAGCACTTTGGGAGGATGAGGTAGGAGGATCACCTGAGGCCAGGAGTAGCTCAAGATCAGTCTAGGCAACACAGTAAGACCTCATCTCTCCAAAAAAAAAAAAAAAAAAAAAAAAAAAAAAAAAATTTAGTCGGGTGTGATGACGTGTGCCTGTAATCCCAACTACTCAGGAGCCTGAGGTGAGAGGATTGCTTGAACCTGGGTTGTCGAGGCTGCAGTGAGCCATGATTGTGCCATTGCACTCCAGCCTGGGCAGGCAACAGAGTGAGACCCTGTCTCAAAAAAAAAGTATGGTCTGTCCATACAGTGGAATATTATCCAGCCATAAGGAGGGATGAGGTATTGATATATGCTACAAAGCTGATGAACCTTGAAAACATCTAAGTGCAAGAAACCCTTCAGCGAAGGCCACACGTGATATGATTTCACTTGTATGAAAAATCCAGAGAAGGTAGACGAATAGACGGGTGGCAGATTCGCGGCTGACAGCAGGGGGAGCTCTAATGGGAGCTCAGGGGCCAGCTCTGGTGCTAGAGGCGCCGAGTGGGAGATGGGGCGTGACTACTTACCAGGGGCAGGGTTTCCGTTTGGGGTGATGGAAGTGTTTAGAACTGAGAGTGGTGATGGTGCCCAGGATGGTGAATGTAGTGAATACCACTCAGTTGTACAATTGGGTACGTTTTAAAAGGTAAACTTTAGGCCGGGCGCGGTGGCTCATGCCTGTAATCCCAGCACTTTGGGGGCCGAGGCGGGCGGATCACGAGGTCAGGAGTTCAAGACCAGCCTGGCCAACATGGTGAACCCCCCTGTCTCTACTAAAAATACAAAAATTAGCTGGGCATGGTGGCAGGCACCTGTAATCCCAGCTACGCGAGAGCTGAGGCGGGAGAATTGCTTGAACTCCGGAGGCGGAGGTTGCAGTGAGCTGAGATCATGCCATTGCACTCCAGCCTGACGACAGAGAAATACTCCGTGTCAAAAAAAAAAAAGTAACCTTTATTTTATATGAATTTTATAACATAAAATACAGGTAACTATAAAGTATATGAATAAAAGAAAACCAGGCAGGAAAAAAAGAATGCCTTGACAGGTGAGGGCCATGAAGGTTCTGGTCCTGGGGCTGGCACTGGCTGTATCTTGGGAGCTGGGACTGGAGCTGGTGCCAGAGCTGATTCTAGCTGTGGTTCTGGGCCAGCGACTGGCTCTCCCTCTGGAGGTGATGGCAGAGTCGGGTTTGACGTGCAGCCGGCACTAGCCTTAGCTGTGAGGTGGATGCTGGAGTGGCTCTAGGTCAGGAGGTGATACTACAGGAGGTTCTGGACCTGTATCCGAAATGAAAACTCTCACTGGCTGTCTCCTTGAATTGGTGCTGGGGCAGGTCATAGCTCTAGAGATGGCACCAGAGTTGGCGTTAGAGCTGCCTCTATCCCTGGAGTTGCTGGGAGTGGTGGTGCTTGAGCGATTTCTGGATTGGTGTTGGAGCTAGAGCTCTTGTTGCAGCTGGGGTTAGCTCTAGAGATGGTATCCGAGTTGAGAGAGCTGCCTCTATCTCTGGAGTTGCTTTGGTGTTGGAGCTAGAGCTCTTGTTTAGGCTCTGGAGGCAGCACAGGCTCTAGCTTGGAGCTAGTGCTAGAGTTGGCTCTGGACCTGACTTCCTCTGAATCTGGTGCTGGCCATAGTATGAGCCTGGCATTGACTCTAATTCTGTAATCATTTTGGAGCCGGTTCAAGCTCTAGAGCTGGTGCTAGAACTACCATTGCAGCTAGTGCAGCAATTTGTGATAAAGGTGCCCAAACTCCGGATTTGATGTTCAAGTTCGTACTGGAGCTAGATCTACCTCCGCTGATGGTGCTAGAGCTGTTTCTGGAGCTGCTTGTAGCTCTGAAGCTAGTGCTGGGGCCATCTGTAGCTCTGCAGCTGGTGCGGGAGCTGCTGCTGGCCCGGGCTCTACCTCTGGAGCTGATGCGAGAGCCAGTGCTGCCACTGGCTCTTCCTCTGAACTTGGCACTGGGTCTAGCTCCATGTCTGGTGCTGGCTCCAATTCTGAATTGGTTGGGGAGCTCGTTCTGGCTCTAGATGAGGACTGTGGGGACCATCAGCCTCCGCTCAGGCTGGGCATGCTGCCTGGATGGCCCAGAACTGGTCACTTGTCAAAACAGTCCTGCAGGAGAGGTCCGTCTGTACCCAGAGAGGCCTGAGTGAGGGGACCAGGGACTGCCCACCTGCCTGGCACCCCAGGACGCTCTTGTACCTGTTGTCTTGTCCTTGTCCGGGCCGATGTGGATGACGTGGCGTCGCCTACCTGCAGGTTGTAGAGCAGCGTGAGGAGCTGTGGCTGCAGAGCCCTGAGACTGAGAATTTGAAGGTGGGTTTAGCAGCCGTGGTGTGCTGGAGGCTGAAGAGGAGGAGGTGCTGCTGGAGTCGGAGTTGGTGCCGGAGGTCCCTGCGGATGACAGCAAGGTCGATTCCCAGAACTGAGGGGAATAGCAAGATCAGCAGAAGCCTGGACCCTGCAGGGCTTCTGAGGCCAGCGTCCCCCTCTGGGGCTTGTTAGCAGCTCCATTCAGCAGTCAGGGGTTTGTTGCTTCTTTTTTGGGTGCAGAGTGGGGAACGCAGGCACCGGCTGGGAGGGGACATAGAATGAAAGAGCTGTCAGGGAGAAGGGCAAGCAGTCGCCTTCTTTCCCTGCCATTAGGGGGCTCCAGGACAAAGCTGACATTGATCTCCTTCACTTTGCAGCTGGAGGAGCCGGCTGAGTGCACGCTGAGTGCATTGGCAATGTCCCGGCTGCTGAGGGAGGAGCTCACCTGAGCTGGTCTCAGGGCTTGAGTGGAAGCTGCCTCTGGTCCTGAGCTCCCTGCTGGGGGCCTGGCGGCTGGAAGGGCAGCTTCACCATTGTCAGATCTGCTGGCTGAGTGGGTGCTCTAGGATGCCCCGGGCATGGATGGCAGTGACCTGTACTAGAAGGGTGTCAGGGACATGCTGGTGGGGGGGGGGGCAGCACGTGGGGCCAACAGGGCTCGGAGCATGGTGGCAGCACCTGCTGGAAAGGGTTAGCTGGTCCTCTGGTTCCCAGGGCACAGAAGGCAATTATGGCGGTCCACTGAGGCCAGGTCAGCCTGGTGACCAGCAGGTGTTTTATCCAACAGAAGGACAGAGCCCCTGGAGTCTGGGGTGGCCTGGGCTTGCAGGTGGCTGGAAGGTGCCTGACTGGCCTGGTCCCCTCCAGTCTGTAAGTGCCTAGCCAGCAGCCAGACCCTGGGGAGGGCGGCCCTGTGGTGAGTCAGCACAGGAGATGGCTGAGAGGATGCCCTTGGGAATCTCCAGTCCCTTCTGCTTCATGCAAGGAGGGCCGAGCTGCCTCCACACCTGACCTGTGTCCCCTTGCTAAGCGTTGCTTCTTTTGGACAAAGTCATAGTCAGCGGTAGAGTTCACGGTTGAAAACGTGTTGGCGTTGTCAGGGGTCTTCAGCTTGGTGGGGAAGGGCAGAAGGATGGTCAGCTGTGCTCAAGAGGGGGCCACAGGCCAGACAGAGAACTCCACAGGGACAGAAAGCAGATGAGTGGTTGTCAGGGGTGAGGGGTGGAGAGTGACTGCTTAATGGGTACAGGGTGTCTGTTAGTGGTGATGAAAAAATTCTAGAACTAGAGAGTGGTGATGGTTATACCACATAGTAAATGCATTTAATATCCATGAATTGTATAGTTTACAATGATTAAAGTTTAAATTTCATTTCATTGTGTATAATTTGTTTTAGTTTTTTGAGACAGAGTATTGCTCTGTCACCCAGGCTGGAGTGCAGTGACGAGATCTCGGCTCACTGCAACCTCAACCTCCCAGGCTCGAGGGAAACCCCCACCTCAGCCTCCCGAGGAGCTGGGACTACCACTTGGCTAATTTTTTTTTTTTTTTTTTTTGTAGAAACAGGGTTTCACTATGTTTCCCAGGCTAGTCTCAAACTCCTGAGCTCCAGCGATCCACCTGCCTCAGCCTCCCAAAGAGCTGGAATTATAGGCATGAGCCACTGCACCTGATCTGTATATAAAATTTAAATCACAAAATATAATAAACCATAAAGAATATGAAATAGAAACATACTATAAAAATGAAATGTTGCCAGCCCAGGGAGGGGCCTTAAAGCTCTGGCACAGGAGCTGGTGCTGAAGGTGGTGCCTGCCTGAGGCTCCCGCACTGGAGCTGGAGTGGTGGCCGATGCTCGAGCTGCCGCGTTCTGGCTGTGGAACTGGCTCAGTAGCGGGGGCCTGAGCCAGGGCTGGAGCTGCCTCTATCCCAGGCAGTGGTGCTGGAGCTAGATCTAGAACTGGCTCTTATTCTGGAGCTGATTCTAACTCTAGCCTGGTGCCAGAAGGGGGGCAAGAACCGACACTGAAGATGGCTTTAGCTCTGGAGCTGGCCCGAGTGTTGGAGCTGGAGGTGGCTCTAGCTCTGTGGCTGGCACAAGACCTTATGCTAGAGCAGGCTCTAGCTTTGTAGCCTCCACTGCTGGCTGTGGGTGAGATGCTGTCCCCTCTGTTGGGCTGTGAGCTCTCAGGACAGGGATGGTGTATAGGTTCACTGTCATATTCCAGAGGTCTGGGGTTCACCATCATATTCCAGGTGTCTGGCGTTCACTTTCATATTCCAGTTGTCTGGGGTTCATCGTTGTATTCCAGGTGTCTAGGGTTTACCATTGTATTCCAGGTTTACGGGGTTCACTGTCATATTCCAGGGGCCTGGGGTTCACCACCATATTCCAGGTGTCTGGGGTTCACTGTCGTATTCCAGGTGTCTGGGGTTCATCGTTGTATTCCAGGTGTCTGGAGTTCACCATTGTATTCCAGGTGTCTGGGGCTCACTGTCGTATTCCAGGTGTCTGGGGTTCACTGTCATATTCCAGGGGCCTGGGGTTCACCACCATATTCCAGAGGTCTGGAGTTCACCATCATATTCCAGGTGTCTGGCGTTCACTGTCGTATTCCAGGTGTCTGGGGTTCACCATTGTATTCCAGGTGTCTGGGGCTCACTGTCGTATTCCAGGTGTCTGGGGTTCACTGTTGTATTCCAGGTGTCTGGGGTTCACTGTCATATTCCAGGGGCCTGGGGTTCACCATCATATTCCAGGTGTCTGGCGTTCACTGTCGTATTCCAGGTGTTGGGTTCACTGTTGTATTCCAGGTGTCTGGGGCTCACTGTCGTATTCCAGGTGTCTGGGGTTCACTGTCATATTCTAGGGGCCTGGGGTTCACCACCATATTCCAGGTGTCTGGGGTTCACTGTCGTATTCCAGGTGTCTGGGGTTCACCGTCATATTCCAGGTGCTTGGGTTCACTGTTATATTCCAGGTGTCTGGGATTCACTGTCATATTCCAGGTGTCTGGGGTTCACTGTCATATTCCAGGGGCCTGGGGTTCACCACCATATTCCAGGTGTCTGGGGTTCACTGTTGTATTCCAGGTGTCTGGGGTTCACTGTCATATTCCAGGGGCCTGGGGTTCACCATCATATTCCAGGTGTCTGGCGTTCACTGTCGTATTCCAGGTGTCTGGGGTTCACCATTGTATTCCAGGTGTCTGGGGCTCACTGTTGTATTCCAGGTGTCTGGGGTTCACTGTTGTATTCCAGGTGTCTGGGGTTCACTGTCATATTCCAGGGGCCTGGGGTTCACCATCATATTCCAGGTGTCTGGCGTTCACTGTCGTATTCCAGGTGTCGGGTTCACCGTTGTATTCCAGGTGTCTGGGGCTCACTGTCGTATTCCAGGTGTCTGGGGTTCACCGTCATATTCCAGGTGCCTGGGTTCACTGTTATATTCCAGGTGTCTGGGATTCACTGTCATATTCCAGGTGTCTGGGGTTCACTGCTGTATTCCAGGTGTCTGGGATTCACTCTCATATTCCAGGTGTCTGGGGTTCACTGCTGTATTCCAGGTGTCTGGGCTCACCATCGTATTCCAGGGGCCTGGGGTTCACCATCGTATTCCAGGGGCCTGGGGTTTATCATCGTATTCCAGGGGTCTGGCATTCACCATCATATTCCAGGGGCCTGGGGTTCACTGTTATATTCCAGGTGTTTGAGGCTCACTGTCATATTCCAGGTGTCTGCATACAACAGGGAGCAGCACACAGGTGCTGAATGCATGAATGACTGAATGAATGAACCCAAGACTTCTTTGTGTCGCAGGATTCTTTAGAGCACCCCCTCGAAGGGCTGTTGGGAGGATTACACTGATTCATTCATCTATTTATTCAGTAAACATTAAGCACCTCCTGTGTCAGGCTCTGTTCTAGAGGCTTGAGAGAATTGCTGTGAACAAGTACGGTCCCCACTGGTGTGAGGCTGCCCGAGCAGGGTTTAAATGAGGGGAGGCGGGTCTCAAGCACGTGGTCCAAGCTCAGTGGGAGCAGCTGCCGGGATCAGTAGGTCAGGCACAAGTTCCTGTCCCGCAGCTCAGGGCCAGCCTGGGTGGGGCCTGTGGTGGAGGGGATGTGGGATCCTTGCTCCAAACGGCCATGCCATGCTATCCATGATTCCCAATGGCTTTCCCCTCACTGGGCCTCAGTTTTCCCATCTGTAAAATGGGCATGTGAGGATATCCATTTCCTGGTTCCATAATGAAGTTGACCTTGATTCTTTAAGGCAAGCAAAGAAGAGCTCTCTGCAGTTTGTCTGTCTTCACGTGACCTGGAGGCCCAGGGTTAGAGTTCACTGCAGGACCTGGGCTATGTGTCCCCACAGGAGGACTGGCCAATATCTCTCTTCTGGTCAGTGGTTGAGCTGGGCCAGGAGCTCCGGCCTGGCCCATAGTGACCATGATGACCCAGGTGTTGGGGACATGCTGGTAAAGCAATCTCCTAAGGTGCTGGTAAAATCCAGCTGGGTGCCTCAGGCACAGAGCAGTAAGTGCTAGCCCTGGTAGCAACTGGGTTTAGCCAGAGATCTTTCCAGAGTGATACATAAAAGGCTCCCTCCTTTCACTTTTTCTTATTTTCTTTCCCAACTACATTGTATTTTGTCATGTGGATGGTCATCATTTATTTAACCGGACCCTTGCTGGAGGAAATTGGGTTGTTTCTAATCTTTGGCTCTTGAGAGGAAAGCTGCAATCAATAACTGTGAACACATGTCAAGTGTAGAAGTGTTAAGTGGGATGAATTCCCTGTACTGGGACTGATAAATGAAAGGGTAAATACATTTGTAATTTTGTGGGGTTTTTGTTGTTGTTGTTATTGTTTTGAGACAGAGCCTCTCTCTGTTGCCCAGGCTGGAGTGCAGTGGTGCGATCTCGGCTCACTGCAACCTCCACCTCCTGGGTTCAAGTGCCTCAGCCTCCCAAGTAGCTGGGATTACAGGAGCACCATCATGCCCAGCTAATTTTTGTATCTTTTTGTAGAGAAGGGGTTTCACCATGTTGGCCAGGCTGGTCTCGAACTCCTGACCTCAAGTGATCCACCTGCTTTGGCCTCCCAAAGTGCTAGTATTACAAGTGTGAGCCACTGCACCTGGCCAATTTGTAACTTTGATAGATATCGTCAAACTGCATCCATTGGCAGGCAACTTATATTTCTGTTGGCAATGAATAAAAGTTCCTATTTCTACACAGCTTCAGAGTATATTTTCAAACCTTTGGATTAGACAATTTTGTATATTATCATTGAGAATGAACATACGTTCATATGCTTAAAACCTTTTGTATTTCTTTCTGTAAAGGGTCTCATACTCTCTTTTGCTGATCTTTTTCTTATCAATTTCTAGGAGCTCTTTACATATTGGGGATGGGAGTCATTTTCCTGAGATGAGTTGCAGGTATTTGTTCCCAGCGTATTCCTTCTTTTTCACATTGTGGGGCTCCCCCTACCATGTATTACTGAATTGAGTTCTCCCCAAATTGATCTATAGATGCAATACATTCTTTATGAAATACAACAGCAGATATTGCTATGTGGAATCTGAGGAACCAATTTAAAAATTTATGTAGAAATACAAAGGACTAAAATAGAACCAGAAGAATCTTGAATAAGAACAAATTTGGAGGACTTATGCTATGAGATGTTCAGACTTATGACGCTACAGGAGTCAAGGCAGTGAGGTTGTAGTGCACAAAACAGACCCACAGAGCAACAAAAACAAATGGAGGCCCGCAGGGTGGGGTGGCTCACACTTGTAATCTCAGCACTTTGGGAGGTTGAGGCAGGCGGATCTCTTGAGGCCAGGAGTTCTAGACCAGCCTGGCCAACATAGTGAAACCCAGTCTCTACTAAAAATACAAAAGTTAGCCAGGCATGGTGGCGCATGCCTATATTCCCAGCTGCTTGGGAGGCTAAGGCAGGAGAATCACTTGAACCTGGGAGGCGGAGGTTGCAGTAAGCCAAGATCATGCTACTGCACTCCAGCCTGGGGAACAGAGTGAGACTCTGTCTCAAAAAAAAAAAAAAAAAAAGAAAGAATGAAAGAAAAAGAAAGAAAGAAAGGGAAAAAAGAGAGAAAGAGAGAGAATGGAGGCAACCCAGACCGAAACATAGACATTTATGAATCCCATGAGCTGAATTCAGGAAGCCAGACACATGAGAGTATATTCTGAGGATGAAGCAACATATGAACCACGCAGACACATTAGCAGAACGAAAGACAAACCCCATGGTAATGCCAACTGATGCAGAAACAGCATGTGGCCAAGATTCAACATCCTTTCACAGTAAAAAAAAAAAAAAAACACTCCACACATAGGAAGAGGACGGAACTGCCTCAACACAATGAAGGTCGCTTATGAAAAGCTCACTTCTAACATCATACTCAATGGTGACAGGCTGAACGCTTTTCCTCCGAGAGTGGGAACAAGCAAGGGTGCTGGCTCTTGTCTTTTCTGTTCAAGTGAGTATTGAAACTCATAACCAGATGAGTTAGGCGAGGAAAAGAAAGCAAAGGCACCAAATTGGAAAGAAAGAAGTAAAATCATCCCTGTATGCGGGTGACATGATCTTATACTTAGCAAACCTCAAAGTTACCAAAAAAGTTAGAAATGTAAACGAATTCAGCCAAGTTGCTGATACAAAATCAGCGTTCAAAAGTCAGTTGCCTTTCCATACACCAACAATCAACAATCCAAAAGGAATTAAGAAAATAATTTCAATACAGTGGCATCAAAAAGAATAAAATACTAGTGGATAAACCTACCCTACAAGCTCAAAGACTTGTACACTGAAAACTATAAAATCTTGCTGAAAGAAATTAGAGAAGACACAAATAAATGGAAAGATATCTTGTGTTCTTCAATTCAAAGACTTTAATATTGTCAAATTTCCCTACCACTTGAAGTGATTCACTGCAATTTCTATCAAAATCCAAATGGTATTTGTTTCATAAATATAAAAATTCACCCCAAAATTCACATGGAATCTCAAAGGACCCCAAATAGCCAAGACAATTTGGAAAAAGAACAAAGTGGAGGACTCATACTTCCTGAATTCAAAACATATTACTAAACTACAGTAATCAAAACAGTGTGGTACTGGCCAAAGGCAAAGATATAGACCAATGGAATAAAACAGAGAACCCTTGTGTACATATGTTCAAGCAATCCTCAACAATGGTGCTGAGACCTGTCACTGGGGAAAGGACAGTTTCTCCAACAAATGGTGCTGGGAAAAATGATATTCATGTGCAGAAGCATAAAGGAAGACCCTTGCCTTACACCACATCCAAAAATTAACTAGAAATGAAATAAGGACCTAATGGTAATACCTGTAACTGCACAACCTCTAGAAGAAAATACAGGAAAATTTGAAATTGCATATCTGACTTTTCAGATATGACACCAAAAACACAGGCAAACCAAAGCAAAAACAGACAGACAGAAGTACATCAATCATAAATACTTTCAGGCATCAAAAAATGCTAACAGCAAAGTGAAAAGGTAACCTACAAGCTGAGAGAAAATATTTGCAAATCATATCTCTGATACAGATTTTTATCTAGAATAAATAAACCCTACAACTCAACAAGAAAACAATTAAATACTCCCACTTAAAAAAATGAGTAAAAAAGGTGCTGAAGAAAAAAAAAAGAAAAAAATGGTAAAGGACTTGAGTAGACATTTTTCTAAAGGTGGTTTTCTTTTCTTTCTTT
This sequence comes from Homo sapiens, assembly GCF_000001405.40. Classification (NCBI taxonomy): domain Eukaryota; kingdom Metazoa; phylum Chordata; class Mammalia; order Primates; family Hominidae; genus Homo; species Homo sapiens. Next base: position 133,195,845 of record NC_000009.12, read on the forward strand.
CTTTCTTTTCTTTTTTTTTTTTTTTTTTGAGATGGAGTTTTACTCTTGTCGTTCAGGGTGGAATGCAATGGCGCGATCTCGGCTCACTGCAACCCCCGCCTCCCGGGTTCAAGTGATTCTCCTGCCTCAGCCTTCCAAGTAGCTGAGATTACAGGGGTCTGCCACCACACCTGGCTAATTTTTGTATTTTTAGTAGAGACAGGGTTTCACCATGTTGGCCAGGCTGGTCTTGAACTCCTGACCTCAGGCGATCCGCCTGCCTTGGCTCCCCAAAGTGCTGGGATTACAGGCGTGAGCCACCACACCCGGCCTTAAAGATGGTTTTCAAATGACCAACAAGCACACACAAACATGCTTCACATCGCTAATTATCAGAGAATGCAAACCAAGTCCACAATGAGATAATATCCTCACATCCATTAGGACAGCGACTATCAATAACAAGTGTTGGCAAGGATGTGAAGTTGGAACACTTGTGCTCCATTGGTGGGAATGTAAATGGTGCAGCCTATGTGGAAAAAAGTGTGGAGGTTCCTCACATCATTAAAAATACGAGTACCATATCATCCAGCAATCCCACTCCTGCATGTATTGCCAAAACAATTGAAAACTGGGTCTGGAAAAGATACTTCCACATCCATACTCACAGCAGTACTATTCACTGTAGCCAAGAGGTGGAAGCATCCTAAATGTCCATCAAAAGATGAACAGATAAGCAAATATGGTATGTGGTATGTATGTATAAGAAAATATTGGCCAGGCACAGTGGCTCACGCCTGTAATCCCAGCACTTTGGGAGGCTGAGGTGGGTGGATCATGAGGTCAGAAGATCGAGACCATCCTGGCTAACATGGTGAAACCCCGTCTCTACTAAAAATACAAAAAATTAGCCAGGCGTGGTGGCAGGCACCTGTAGTCCTAGCTACTCGGGAGGCTGAGGCCGGAGAATGGCGTGAACCTGGGAGGCCGGGCTTGCAGTGAGCCGAGATGGCGCCACTGCACTCCAGCCTGGGCGACAGAGCAAGACTCCATCTCAAAAACAAAAACAAAACAAAAATACAAAAACAAAACTTGTACAAAAACAAATGTGTGTAGCAGCTCCATTCATCATTGCTAGAAACTGGAAACAACTCAAACACCTTCACCATCAATAGGGCAAACTGTTGTACATCCACGCAATGAAACTTCTCAGCAATTAAAAGGAGCAAGCTGTTGATATGCTTAACAGCATGGATTAATATCAAAGGCAGTATGCGGAATGAGTGAAGCCAGTCTAAAAAGGCTGCATACTATGCAGTTCCATTTATGTGATATTCTAGAGAAGACACAACTACAGAGATGCAAGAAAGATTGAGGTCCCCAGAGGTGAGGGGCTGGGGGAGGATTTGACTGTGGAGGGTAAGCAGGGGGGGTTGCTGGGGTGGCAGATCTGCTCTGCCTGTTGACGACAGTGATGGTTACACAAATCTACACATGTGGCTGTGTGCGGTGGCTCACGCCTGTAATCTGAGCACTTTGGGAGGCCGAGGAGGGCAAATCACCTGAGGTCAGGTGTTTGAGACCAGCTTGGCCAATATGGTGAAACCCTGTCTCTAGTAAAAATACAAAAATTAGCCAGGCATGGTGGCAGGCACCTGCAATCCCAGCTACTTGGGAGGCTGAGGCAGGAGAATCGCTTGAACCCTCAAGGCGGAGGTTGCAGTGAACAGAGATCGCGCCACTGCACTCCAGCTTGGGCGACAGGACGAGACTCTGTTTAAAAAAAAAAAAATCTCTGCACATGCTAAAATCCACAGAACTGTCCATGAAAAAAACCACTTTTTTTCTGTGTGAATTTCAAAATAAAATAATTAAAAAAATCAGAAAGAGACTCACGTTAAAAAACAAAGAATGAAAAGGAAAATATATTTTCCAAAAGAAGTTGCTGTGAAATATGAGGAGAAACATCAAATGTGAACACACAAAGATGCTTGGTGCTGATAACAGGAATGATCATCCTTAGGGAAAAGAAAATCACCACCATTGAGCTGGCCACACCAAAACAATTGTAAATTCTAAATATATGGAGCAAAAACTAATTGAATTTAAGGAGAACATGAGAAATCAACAACTGAAGCGGGATTATTTAACGGAGATATTCAGAAACAAATGGATGAAGTAGAGAAAAATATTTGAGAGTGTAAGATGTAAGTAACATGATCAGTTAAGTTCATCTAATAGGTGTTTGTGGAAATATGCAACTACCAAAACCCACAAATTAAGTTCAAGCACATGAGAAATGTTTGCAAAAACTTTTCAGCCATGTATCAGAAAGGAACTATCAACAGATTCCCATAGACAGTGTATACTCTTAGGATTACAAAGGAACTTATGAACTACTGAGAAATGAATAACAGTGACAGCAATCTCTATCAACATTTGTTGGATGCAGCTAAAGGTGTCCTTTGTTGCACTCAGAAAATTACAGACATAAGCATTAGAAACATAAAACATGGAAATATGGCCGAGCGCGGTGGCTCACGCCTGTAATCTCAGCACTTTGGGAGGTCGAGGCAGGTGGATCACTTCAGGCCAGGAGTTCAAGACCAGCCTGGCTAACATGGTGAAATCCTGCCTCTACTAAAAAAAAAAAAATACAAAAATTAGCCGGGCATGGTGGTGGGCACCTGTAATCCCAGCTACTCAGGAGGCTGACGCAGGAGAATCTCTTGAACCCAGGAAGCAGAGGTTGCCGTGAGCCAAGATCATGTCACTGCACTCCAGCCTGGGGCGACAGAGCAAGACCCTGTCTCAAAAAAAAAAAAAAAAAAAAAAAAAAAAAAGAAACATATAACATACAAATAAATGAACCAAGTGTTCAAATCAATATTAAAAATAATAACAGAGCAGGGCAGGAGCAGTGGCTCATGCCTGTAATCCCAGCACTTTGGGAGGCTGAGGCGGGTGGATCACTTGAGGTCAGGAGTTCAAGACCAGCCTGGCCAACATGGTGAAACTCCGTCTCTACTAAAAATACAAAAATTAGGCCTGGTGCAGTGGCTCACGCCTGTAATCCCAAGCACTTTGGGAGGCCGAGGCAGGCGGATCACAAGGTCAGGAGTTCCAGACCAGCCTGGTCAACATGGTGAAACCCCATCTCTACTTAAAATACAAAATAAATAAATAAATAAATAAATAAATAAGCCGGGCGTGGTGGTACTTAAAATACAAAATAAATAAATAAATAAATAAGCCGGGCGTGGTGGCGGGCACCTGTAATTCCGGTTACTCAGGAGGCTGAGGCAGGAGAATCGCTTGAACCTGGGAGGCGGAGGTTGCAGTGAGCGAGATGGCCCCACTGTATTCCAGCCCGGGCGACAGTGTGAGACTCTGTCTCAAAAAAAAAAACCCACGAAAACAAAAATTAGCCAAGCGTGGTGGCCCTCTCCTGTAGTCCCAGCTACTTGGGAGGCTGAGGGAGGAGAATCACTTGAACCCGGGAGGCGGAGGTTGCAGTGAGCTGAGATGGCGCACCGCACTCCAGCCTGGGGGACAGAGTGAGACTCCGTCTCAATAAACAAACGAACAAATAACAGAGCAAAACCAAAATGCCAAGGGAACGTGAGACAGGAGTGCGAGCTGGGAGTCGGCACACGGAGAGGCAGAGACACTCCTCGGAGGCAGAAGCTGGTTCCTTATAGAGATGGAAAGAAAGAAATGGACTCTGGGGAGACTGGAGAAGAACAGAAACACAGGAGGCAGAAATAAATACTGCGGATGGAAGCAGAGACAAAACAAAATGTAAGCTGCTCCAAATCGGCGGCGGAGCGAGTTCTGGAAGAGCGGCGGTGTGGGAACCTCCGGTGCCTTCCTCTCCCAGCTGCAGCTGCGTTCCCAGGCAGGCCTCCCGGGAGCCAGGGACGGAGGCCCAGGACTCCGCCAGGGGTGGGTCCGTTCCCCTTCTTGGAGGGAGTGTGACCCACAGGCCCCACGGAAAGGCAGTGCCACTCCCGTGACATTCCACAAGGCCCCGCTGGCCGGCCCCTGGCCTGCCCCCAGAGAACTGCTCGCAGGCAATGATGCCCTGCAGCCTGAGACCTGGGCACCCCGGCCTTTGCCCCAAGGAGGCTGGGGATAGAAGGGCTTCCTCCAGGATTCTCTGCAGGAGATGAGCAAAACGTCCGCAGAGCCAGTGACTGCGGGACCCACGACAATCTCAGGTCACGCCTGCCGGGAGAAGCAGCACCTGGACCTGAGCCCGGGGACGGGCAAAGGAACGCAGCTCGTGAGTGGCCCAGAGAGCGGGAACCAGAGCGCCCCGACGGCAGCGGAAGCCACCGCGGGCGCCAAACCAGTAACGCGCCCCTTGAGGACAGGAGGCCACGGCGCAAAAGCAGACTGGGCTCGGAAACACGTGCTTTACAAATGGGGAAATGAGTGAGACGATGCAGGAGAGACCGCAACCAGACGTAAAAGGTGAAGACCACCGCGAAGAGGAAGCTCTCAGCCAGAGCTGAGTGAGAGCCCGCGGGCGGGAGGGGGCCGGGCGCGCGGGAGCCTTCCCTGCAAACCCCGGGCGTTCCAGGAGCAGGGAGGCACACGGATGGAGGACAGGAGACCAAGAATGGCATAAAATTTCTCCGAGCAGAAGGAACGCCGCAGAGTGTGAGCGTGAGATTGCTAGCGCTCACAAATTCAGGCAAGGCAGGTGAGGAGAGACACAGGCCTGCGCATCCTGGAAAGCTCTTGGACTTAAAAGATGAAAATAAATGATCCTGGAAAGATCTCGAAAGATCAAGAATATAAAGCGCTTTTGTTTGTTTGTTTTTAATAAAACGAACCCCTAAACGCACACAGAAAGGAAGAACAAGCATCCATGGATTGTTCGGAGAAAAAGGTTGATATCCAAGAATGCGGTACCAGGCCAGGAACGGAAGAAAGTGAAGTGACCTGGGGGGAGGCGAGCGCTGATCCGAGGAGAGGAGCCAATGAGAGGCACTCACCAGGCAAGCGGGTGGGCGGGGGCCTGGCGCTGAGCACAGACAAGTCCAAGGGAAGATGCATAGGAGCTGATCGTGCAGAGATGGCAGCAAGTGGCAACGGAATCCCCCTGCATTGACAATAAACCTCCAGGAATCCCCCTGCATTGAGAGAATAAACCTCCCGGCTCTGGTTCTGTTCCGTGTCTGTTAGCGGGGTTTAGGGGTGAGTTAGGGAGAGGGCACTGCCACCAGCCCTCGGATATATTTCTCCTGCTGTTCACTATGTGTAATAGACAAACACCAACAAGAAGAGAAGAGGCCAGGCACAGTCGGTGGCTCATGACTGGAATTCAGGCACTTTGGGAGGCCAAGGTAGGAGGATCATCTGAGCCTAGGAGTTTGAGACCAGCCTGAGCAACGTTGGGAGTTTCTGTCTCTAAGAAAAAAAAAAATTACCTGGGCATAGTGGTGCACACCTGTAGTGGCAGCTACTCAGGAGGCTGAGCTACTCAGGATTGCCTGAGCCTGAGATATCAAGGCTACAGTGAGCTGTGATTGTACTACTGCACTCCAGCCTAGGCAACAGAGAAGGACAGTGTCTCATAAAAGAAAAAAAAAGAGGAGAAAAGCTTCCCAGACCTGCCCACACCATGGTGTCCAACAGGTGGCTGGGACCCCATGTCCTCCGGTCAGCTCTCACCAGGGCCTCATGGGACCTTCCTGCTGGGGGCTGATCTGAAATGCCCTGCTTCTTCAGACGGCTGAGGGTTTCTGCCCACCCAACCTTTGGCAATGCCAGGCGAGACAGGCACCTGCAGCCCCACCGTCACTGGCATCCTCTGGGCAGGTGCTCAGCGTTCCTTAGGGCCCAGGAGCAAGCCAGACGCCGCCTTTACTTTTGCAGGCAAAATAGAACTTTTTAAACTTCTGCCCATCTCTCTTTTGCACATACAGTATGATAGTCTTGCTAACCTACTGCCAGATGAGTGAATCTGCCTATCACCAAGCAACAGGTGCACTGTCCCATGAGAGGGATGGGGGTGGACGTACAGAACTCCAGGGTTCTCTGGGCACCCTCTGGTGCTTCCAGGCCTGTGAATTGGCACAGCAGGACCACAGACCTCCAAGGTGCCCACCTGGGGGCTCAGAACCCTGGCGGGGAAGGTCAGTGCTATCCCACCGGAGAAGAGACCTAGTCTAGCTGAGCCCCTGGCCAGCGGCAAGGAGGAAAGGATGAACATCAGCCACGCCTGGCACTGACTGCCACAGCCAGAGCCTCGCCCAGCCCAAGAATGTTTCTGTTCTAAGACTTTTTTCTTTTTTGTATTTTAGAAATTATCACAGGCAAATGTCACCTTGAAGACCCGGTGGCAGCAAAGTGTGAGCTCAGTGTGGGGCATGAGTGTTCTGAAGCTGCCAGGGGTGGACTGCAGTGGGTGCCATGGGGGCTGTCATAGCCCTTGGTTCTTGCTATTGCAGGCCACGCTGGCCACGTTTCCACCGCAGTGTCCTCAGCTCCTCTCTGGAGGGGTCGTCTTTCCACCTAAGCCGCCCTGCCCTGCAGCAGCGGGAAGTGCCAGGAATAAGTGCCCCATGGAAGCATCCCCATCCCGTGACCGGCTGGAGCTGGTCTAAAACATGGCAGCGCCAGGGACTGAGCCCCAGTTGGTCGCAAGTGGTCACCTTGATGCTGGACCCTTCACCAGTGGCCTTCCCTGCTAACGTCACCTCCCCAACCCTACTTAGGAGGGTCTCCTGGGACCACCTCCTAAGTAAACCACTTGAGCTTGCATCTGCCTCATCTGCTTCTGGGGGACTCACACTAGAAAAACAAAATTAATATTTTTTTGTTATATGGAGTGGTGTGATTTGAAATCCTTCTATGGATAATGAATGCTTGCTTATGTCTTTAAAAAAAATTTTTTTTTTTGAGACAGAGTTTTGCTATGTTGCCCAGGCTGGTCTCAAACTCCTAGGCTCAAGTGATCCTCCCATGTCAGCATCCTGAGGAGCTGGGACTACAGGTGCGCGCCACCACGCCCGACTCCAGCATCTTTGTTCTCTTAATATTGAGTCCAGACATGGAGTTAGGCAACCGCAGGCATGCAGATTACACTCCCCAGCAAGAAGGCTCATCATTGACACACATGCAGACTTAGGCTGTACCAGGCATGTATACCAGGGGGGTGCATTGTGAGTAGGTAGGTGTGTGTGCGGGTGGGAGACTGTGTGTATGTGTGAGAGAGAGCATGTGGCAGTGTGTGTGTAGGTGTGTGTGCATGTGTGAGAGCATGTATAGGTGTGTGTAGGGGTGTGTGTGTGCGCACATATGTGTGTTCATGTGTGAGATTGTGTGTAGATGTGTGCCCGTTCCTCACAGCAACCCTGCTGGTGAGTGCTCCTGTGGTCCTCTCTTTACGAACAAAGAAACAGGTTAAGCACTTTCCGGAAGGCTGGTGACCCACGAGCCCTGTGTCACACTTCTCAGTCTGCCTGGGGCCCTAGCTCTCAGCCTGGACACTTGGCCCCTGGTGAACAAGTCATGTCGGAGAGAACCCGTCTGGTGCGCCATCTCCAGGATACTTGTGTCCCTTTGTACATATATTTAAAAATTCATTTTGAAAGAACAAAAAAATCTCCACTGCCCTCCTTCACATCTGCGATTTCTTGATTTTCAAACACTGAAAGGCTCGTTTTGCTCCTGGAGAGATTCTGCTCGGTGCCTCTGCCATGCTTGGGTTGGGAGTGAAAGTTTTCCTGACTTATTTGGGATACTGTCCTCAAATATTTCAGATGTTGGGTGTCTGCGAGGGTCCCATGGTTATGAGCCATGGGAAGAGGCTTCGTGTGACTCAGTGATTGGAGAGTTTGTGGGTGGAATTGGGGGGTGCTGAGCTTGGAAGGGGAAGCTGCATGGGGCCAGGGCTCTCGGGAGCAGAAATGGATGATGGTTGGGGCCCACGTCCGCCAGGACAGAGCCTCCCACCTCGAGGGCTGCATTCCCAGGGCTACAGGTCCCTGGTCCACCCATCATGAGGTGGCCAGGACATTGGATGGATAGGGCAGATGAATGGACAAACAGCCCAGGCAAGGATGCAGGGAGACCCACAGCCGCCCATGCCAGGCCCTCCAAGTGGGCAGGAACAGGTTTCCCAGCTTCTTATGTGCCCACCTCCTGTTCCTGCCAGCATCTCCCTGCACCCACGCTCAGCGCTCTGCAGTCCAATCTCTGTCTTTCCCAAGGAGACCCTCCCCACTGCTTAGATGTGTCAAAAATCCTTTTCCACCAGGTTAATATTTTTACTATTTACTTATTTTTTCTTCTTTTTACAAACAGAGATGAGGTATCACTGTGTTTCCCAGGCTGTTCTCGAACACCTGGCCTCAAGTGTCCTTTCTCCTCGGCCTCCCAAAATGCTTACAGATGTGAGCCACTGCACCTGGCCAATTTCATATATATGTATTTTTTTTAACTTTTTAGGTTTTCTATCCAATAGCAAATAACCAACCAATCTTGAATTTTTACACATATCCTAACCTTTCTGGAATCTGCATGGTAGCACAGGGTGAGGGAGATGGCTTACTGCTCACCCATCTTTGTAGGGTGAGGTCTGCCCTGCCCTCCACATGTGGCCCGTGGACACCCAGGTTGGTTCCGCCTCGGCTCGCCTGGGCCCTGCTGGCCTGGCTCACTTCAGGACCACCCTGTAGCCTCACCCAAGAATCATGTCCAGGTGGGAGAGGAGGAGATGAGGATGCTGGTCTGGCGGGAGGTGGGCAGTGGTTACTTGGTGTGGCCGGGGGGAGAGGCGGTCGCTTTGAAGGCTCAGCCCCCAGGAGGCCTGTCCAGCTTGGGTTTGTGGTTCCTGGGGCATGTTTATCACTGCGGTGCAGTGGCCTCTCGTCCCTCACTGTGGTCGGCCTCCTCATGTCCCAGCAGCCCCAGTGTCTGCACAGACCATGGCCCCTGGACAAGCCATGGGAAGGCCAGGGTGGGGCCAAGGATCTCGGAGACCAGGGTCGGCTCTGCCTTGCTCTGGGGGTGATGATGGAGGCGCCAGTGTCCCTCTCTCCAGCGCTCCTCTCTCCAGTGCTGCCACTGAGCCCAGGCTGCTAAAATGGGGGAGCTTGGAGGATCCCTCTGAGACCCCTGAGGCGGGAGCCCTGCGGTGGCCCCACTGCTGCAGCCCTGACGCCGTGTCCCCGCTCCTGTCCTCCCCAGTAGCTTTCCAAACGCTCCTGCCCAGGGCCCTGCCTGTCCTAAGCTGAACCTGAGACCTGAGGGCGGCTCTGCAGGAGGCCCCTCCAGGACATCACGCAGCCCCTCAGGCCTGTTGGACATCGTGCCTCTTGTGGTTTGGCCCTTGCTAGGTCCAACATCTCCCCAGCTTCCCTTGTGGCTCCCCCTCCCAGCAGACCTCCCAGGGAGCGGGTGCAAGCCCCTCTGTCCCCACAGATAGGCCTGCCCAGAGCTGGGGGAGAAGGACTTTATTTGGAGTCAGGTGGGTGGGAGCAGGGAAGGGTCATGGCTGGAGGGTAGGTCCAGGTGGTCCAGGCTCTGTGTCTGGTGGTAGGGTGGGCTCTGGAGGTGCAGACCCGGGGGCTGCTGTGCTGGGAAGAGGAGCAGAGGTCAGGGAGGCTGCAGGGTAGGGCAGAGGCCAGGGCCAGAGCTCCCTCCCCAGGCTCTGCAGCCCCCACATCGGCCACTGCTGGGCAACCTCGGGGCTCCAGAGCGACCTCAGCTCCTCCAATGACTGGGCAGGCCTCTGAGCATCCTTGGTGGGTGGATGGTGGGGAGTGGACCGCGTGGGGACAGGTGCAGGGGGCGATGGGCTGAGCTGACACCTGAGGGAGCCGGAGGGAGGCCTCGCTGTGGAAAGGCCGAGGAGGACCCTCACTCGGGCTGGCAGGTGCAGGAATGATAAAACAAAGGACTTCCCGAATGTCCCAGGAACTGTGGGTGGGCAGACTCTGAGGTGCCAACCTCGTGCCTGACCCTGGGGGGGTCTCCCTGGCTGTGTGGGATGGGAGGGGCCAGAGCAGATGTACCCTCGAACCCCGGGAACCCAGGACTCTGGGCTTGTCCAGTGCCCTCCTAAAGGCTCACTCACCCTAGTGTTCGGGAACGCAGCTTCCTGCAGAGACCAAGAAAAACCCAGGGATTAGAAGGCGCCCTAGACCAGGGCCCAGACCCCATCGCAGCCCAGAGCTCAGAGCCCCAGAGCCCATCGCAGCCCAGAGCGCGGAGCCCCAGACCCCATCGCAGCCCAGAGCGCGGAGCCCCAGACCCCATCGCAGCCCAGAGCGCGGAGCCCCAGACCCCATCGCAGCCCAGAGCACAGAGCCTCCAATGAGGAGGACGCTAAACAGGGCCCGGGAGCCCCTGCGAGGAGACTCGGGGCACACGGGGAATGCGGGGGACATGGGAGGACATGGGGGTCATGGGACACTGGAGATAGCAGACAGACACAGCAGAGGGACACAGGGGACTGGGCACAGCCATCCTCACCCGTCTGCAGGGGCGTGAAAATGTCCTCCTCCGAGAGTCCCTTGCGCTGCACCAATTTCTTAAATTCTTCCAGGGCCTCCCGGTTGGTATCAGAATTCCTACCTGCAGGTGAGGTGGCCAGGTGAGCCGACGTGGGGACAGCGGCACGGCCCTGCAGGGAGCAGATGCCGAAAGGAGACGACCACGGCCCAGCACCAGGACAGGGGGAGAGGCCTGAGAGTGGATCAGAGCTCGGGGGTGGGGCTGGGGACAGAGGAGATGGCCACTGCCCAGCACCAGGACAAGGGGAGAGACCCAAGAGTGGACCAGAGCTCTGGGGTGGGGCCGGGGACAGAAGAGATGGCCATAGCCCAGCACCGGACAAGCAGGAGAGGAGACTTGAGAATGGATGAGAGCTCAGGGGTGGGACTGGGGACAGAGGAGACAGTCACTGCCCAGATGAGAGGTCCCCAGGAAGGGGGACAGTGGCGGGGACTCTCCAAGCCACTCGGCAACCCCAGGGGACCTGGGCAGCTCCCAATGCCACCCTGCAGGGTCACAGCCCTCACCTGGAGGGACCTTGTCTCCCAGAGGCACCGGCCACCCTCCTGCCCTGGAGGGTCCCTGCCCCATGAAGAGCTCTCTTAGGACGCTTAAGGTGACCCTCCCCCTTAAGGTGACCCTCCTACACCCGAGACCCCAGAAGTGGCCCTTGGCAGGTTCATGTCACCGAGGGCCATGTCTGTCCCTGCCTGGCCCATCCCATTCCCACTTCAGGTACTTGGACCGGCTGCCCAGCGGTGCCCGGCACATGAAAGCCGGCACAGGGGGCTTCCTTTTCCCCCATGCCAGGGCATGGTGGTGCTGGTTCCACCGGCTTCCAGAGGCAGAGACCGTGGGGCAGGACACGCAGACCCCAGCAAGCCCCTCACCCACAAGCTTTCCCATGTGGAGCAGGCCCCCATGGTGCTGGTCTTTGCAGTAAAAGATGTAGTGGTCCCTCCTGGGCAGCTCCTGCAGGTACATGAGCTTCCTGCCCCCATCTGTAGATGACAGAGAAAATGGGTCATTCCCAGAGAGAACACTCGGGGCCACATGAAGAAACACTCGGGAATGTTTCAGCGGTCACCCAGGTGCCCTGGACAGCCTGAGCCAGGCCTGGCTGCTCCGCACAGTGTGGACCCGGACACGGAGGCAGGAGCCTCCTCTCAGGAAGGTCCCAATGCAAGTAATGGAGCCACAAGGCCAGAGCACGTCCAGGACTAGAGTCCGGCCTTCCCAGCTCCAGCAGCTGCTCCTGCCCCACTTCCCTGTCCCTAACCCTCATCTTCCCCCTCAGCCTCCCCATCTCTAATCCTCAGCTTCCGCAGCACTAACCCTCGGCCTCCCCATCCCTAACCCTCGGCCTCCTCATCCCTAACCCTCAGCTTCCCGATCCCTAACCCTTGGCCCCCGTCCCTAACCCTCAGCCTCCCCATCCTTAACCCTCAGCTTCCCCATCCTTAACCCTCAGCTTCCCCATCCCTAACCCTCAGCCTCCCCGTACCTAATCCTTGGCCTCCTTGTCCCAATCCTCAGCTTCCTCAATGTGTCAATGGCTAGGGCCTCCCAGAGGGCAGGCGTGATCTGGTCCATCTCGACTGCGGACAAGCCTGTCACACCCGGTGTCTGATGTCAGGGCCACCAGCCCCCCAGGAAGGAGAGGCCAGCCCCTCCTTGGAGGTGGGCAGAGCTGGGGCCCTGGCAAAAGGGCAGCCTGGGCACTCTCTACCTGTGGAGGCTGGTGCACTGGGGTTGGCGGTGGGGGAGGGTGGGGGTGGGAGTGGGGGAGGGGCTCACAGGCGCTGTATTTGCCAGGCTCCTCCGTCTTCCGCATCAGGATTTTCTTCTGGATGCACCTATCCTCCCTCCTGGAAAACAGGAGACACGCGGGCAGCGGCTCCCAGGACACCCATGGCCCATCCTCAGCTCACCTGGTGCATGGCCCTGACCCGGCAACCTGAAAATTCCACTGCCCCCCACCCCACCGAGCTTCAGGATGCCCAGGCTGTTTCCCTCCAAGGCAGGGGGTGACTCTTCCCAACACCCGAAACGTGGATGGGGCAATGGGCACCAGGTGGATCTGGGGAGGGGAGCGAAAGTGGCCTGAGGGGCCCTGCAGTGGGCAACACTCACATGAAGGTGAACGTGGCTTCCAACTTCCCACCGCCCAGGGCTGTCACCTTCACTGGGGACACCTTCCTGGGCCTCCTGTCCTCCGGAAAGTCCTTATCGACCACCATGGCCTTCACGTACCAGGTCCCTGTGATCTGGAGCAGGCCAAGGCCGTGAGCCCACCATGGGTGGCCCAGATTCTACTCTGACCCTGGCACTCAGGCCTGCAGCTATAACCAGACACCCATGGTGCCCGGCTGCTGCCCTTAAAGGCAGGCTGTGTTCCTGCACCTTAGTTAGAGCTCAGCTGGAGTGAGTTAGAGCCAGCCCCCTGCTCAGGGCTCCCAGCCCCCAGTGGAAGGAGGGCATGTCTGCACCCCATGGACCCCCGGGCCCCAGCACCAGGTGAGCCCTCCCTCCACAGGGCCCAACCCTGCGAGACCTTCGGGCTTCAGGCGTCAGTGCAGCAGGAACCCCTGAGACGAGCCTGCTCCGGCCCTGGGCCTCGGGGGGCCGTGTCTGCTGGAGGAACAATAGGACCCCTCCACCACCACCCCAGGCTGGGAGCACGGGGTCAGAAGCCAGCCTTCAGTGACACCTCCTAAAGCAGGGCCCCTGGCACTGCCCCCTGCCCAGGAGTCCGCCTGGCTCCTCCATCCGCCCACGCCAACCCAGCTCACATCCTCCTCCTCCAGGGTGAAGGACAGGGCAGCGGCCAGGCCGAGCGTGACACCCAGGAACAGGGTCTTCATCTCCAGAGCTCTGTGCTGCCGACCTCGGCAGGTCACTGGGCGTCTGAACAAGGCTGTGCTGGCTCCTCTCGAGATGTTCTTTATAGCCCCCTGGCCAGTGTCCTGGGAGCACGTGGCACGGTGCACCCCTCCCCATGGTGGCAACCAGTCCTGCATCCGGGAGGGGGAGTGTCCTCATTGCTGGCATCTGGTGAACAGCAAGTCAGTGCCAGCCAGAGAAGAAAAGACACACGATGCCATCCAGAGTTTGCACCACCCGAACGCGCCCACTCAGATGAGCCCAGAGGACTCGAGAGGACAGGGCAGGGTGGTGTCCATCTGCACCCCAAGCCACAGAGGCAGGGCCCACAGCCTCGGGATACTCCCTCACCAACCCCTGCACCCTCCCAGGGCCACGGCTGGGACCCTGGGCAAGTCCTCTGGGGAACTGGCCATCTCCCTGCTGAGCAGAAATGGACTGGGCTTTAGAACCAGAGAGACGTGGGGCTGCTGCCAGCTGAGTCCCGCACGCCCTAGAGCCCAAGCTTCCGCCCACTCTGGGACCCACTCTGCATTGATTTTCCCCACCTGGACCCTGCACTCGAGCTTCCTAGGGGCAGAGGAGGGCACTATTGTGTGGCTCAGGGTCAGTTTATATACGGCCTCCTCGGGCCATATGAGGGACCCCGCCGCCTCCCCGACCCCGCTTCACTCCGTACCGGAGCCTGGCTGTGCTGTCCTCAGAACACGCGATCTCTCTGGATTGTCCTGTCCATTTCTTCCTGCACGTATTCATCGACCATCTCCCTGTTAGAATATACATTCCCCTCTCTCGTCAGCTTTGACGGCCCCCAGCCCCCAGGACAGGCCTTGAATCTCATCCCTTTAGATAAACAAGTCGCATGAGGCACCAAGAGTCACCTGCCAGCCTGTGCTCAGAGTTCGTGGCTGAGGTCCCTTGGGCACCTGGCTCTGCTGGCCTCATCCCCAGCCAACCTGAGCCAGAACTTTGCCTTCTCCCTCCCGGACCCTGCATTTCCCAGGTGTGTGTCATCTTCCCTGGGACCCAAGGCTGACCCACGCTCTGCAGGCAGGTGCTGGACCCACACAATGGCATCTTTGTGCCTCTCTGGCCCAAGATCAGACACTCTCAAGTACTTACTCAATAATACTAATGCACACTCTAATAAACCCTGGGGCTGTAACGAACGGGCTGGTGTGACCCAGTCCCTCACCCCTCCCACGGCAAGTGCTGCCGAGCAGAAACCCCCCACCCTCATCCCCCCGGGCAGGAAAGAATGGGGCCTGGGCTCTTCAGGACCAGAGATGAGCAAACAGGCTGGAGTCTCTACATCAACGGGAAGGTTTCTCTGTTCTCTGTGTTTGTTGACTGTACCCCAGGCACCTCGTATTTCATTGGTTGTTTGTGAATCATTGATCTAAGCACCTTACAACACTGGTGCTGCTGGCTCAATCCTTGAAGAAAATGCTGGAACGACATGCACAGATGCTTCAGAGAACAGGGCTCTCCCATGAGGTCCACGCTCAGTGCGACGGGTGCTCTCCAGGAGTCTCCCATCATCCACCCATCTTGCCCTGTGTCCCAGTCTCATTCGCCAACTGTGTCCTTTTAGATACTGGTTGGGTTCAACTGGTGCAGACACCGTCAGGAGATGGTAGGGCTGGAGGTTGGGGGTCAACCCATGGCAGACATGAGGGGTGAGATCTCTGGCCCCCAGTGCTTTGTGGCCTGGGGCACTTCTCTGGATGGCTGTGTTCCTTCTGATGGTGGCTCCTGTTGGGCTGCCGCTACCACACAACTTTCTCTCTCACCACTTCCCTCACGACCCTTTTCTTTGAATCTCACAGTGATCACAGCTTTTCAGGGCTGCTAATTCCTAGGTGCTTCACTGAAGTGGACAGTGTCTGGGCTTTACTCGACACCTGGGCATAAGAAGGTTTAGATGGCACCACCAAACAAGCACCTAGACCAGAGCATGTGCTGGCTGGGACTGAGGCACGCCAAGAAGGAGCAGAGTGGGAGCTTACGATGAATCTCAGTTAAGGCTGCAAGACCAACTGCACAGTAGGGACCATCGCCTGTGCCACCAACCACCTATTTTAATTATTTCAGAGACGGTGGCTGGCCACCATGCTGAAGCATCAGTTACAAAATGGACTTGATTTGCTGTGTGAGTGGGTCAGTGCAGTGCAAGGGGTGGCTGAAGGCACTGGTGACCCACGCTCTCGGCCCACCTGCCACAGTTGTAGATCGTTCCTGGTGCACGGACGTATTCACAGCTTCCCACCTTAAGTGCCTGCACCTTTTCTTCTGTGCTTCCCCTGACACCGATGAAACCCAGATGTGCAAGTGAATCAGCATCCTCAGTCTGTAGGGATAGTAACTGATGGGATAAATGGTCTGGACTCTTCCTTCTAAGTGGAACAATCAAATATGGTTCCACCCTATTTCTCAGATGGTCCTCAGAAGGACTGAGTCCCAGTTGCCCACAATGGTAACATCATTAACATATTTTGTTGGTTTTTCTACCTTCCAAATCTCACTTGATCTCAGACTTCTGGCCACCAGAATGTGAGAAAATAAATTTTTGTTCTAAGCCACCCAGTTGGTAGTATTTTGTTATAGCAACCCTATAAAAATAATACAAACTCTAGCATGTTAATAATTATATTAAATGTAAATGGTTTAAATATTAAATGACAGTGATTGGCAAAGTGAATTAAAAGCCATTATACAACTATATGCCGTCTACAAGAAACTTACTTCAAATGTAACAATAGAGACAGGTTGAAAGTAAAAACATGAAAAAAGATATATAAACATTAATCAAAAGAAAGCAGAAGCATTATTTCAATAACAGGTAAAATAGACTTTAGAACAAAGACTAATTAACAGAGAGGGAAATTATACAATAATAAGTGGGCCATTCTGCAAAGAAGACATAGTAATCCTAAACGTGTGTGCACCAAACATTAGCTGCACAATATGTGAAGCAAAACAGAACTGAAAGGAGAAATTTAAAAAGCCACAATTATAGTTGGAGACTTCAATACCCTTCTCTCAGAGCAACTAGACAGAAAACCAGCAGGGACATCAAAGAACTCGGCCACCCATCAATTAACATAATCGAATTGACATTTGTAGAACACACCACCTGGCAACAGCACTACACACATTCTTTTCAAGTGCACCAGAATATATACCAAGATAGACCATATCCTGGATGAGAAAATGAGCCTCAAGAAATTTTTAAAAATTTAAATGATATAGAGGGTAGTCTCTGACCACATGGAATCTAACTATAAATCAATGCCAGAAAGATAATGGAAAATCTTTCTTCAGAGGCTTGGAAACAACACACCTGTGAATAATCCACAGGTCAAAGAGGAAGCCTGAAGGTAAATTTAAAAATATACTAGGCTGGATGAAAATGAAAATACAACATATCAGCTGGGCGTGGTGGCTTGTGCCTATAATTCCAGCACTTTGGGAGGCCCAGGCGGGTGGATCACTTGCGATCAGGAATTCGAGACCAGCCTGGCCAACATGGCGAAAACCCATCTCTACCAAAAATGCAAAAACTAGCTGAGTGTGGTGGTGCACGCCTGTAATCCCAGCTAATCGGGAGGCTGAGGCAGGAGAATCACTTGAACCCGGGAGGCGGAGGTTGCAGTGGGCTATCATGCCACTGCACTCCAGCCTGGGTGACAGAGCAAGACTCCATCTCAAAAAAAACAAAAACAGGCTGGGCACAGTGGCTTATGCCTATAATCTCAGTGCTTTGGAGCCCCACGTGGGCAGATCACTTGAGGTCAGGAGTTCGAGACCAGCCTGGACAGCATGACAAAACCTCATCTCTACTAAAAATACAAAAATAAATAAATAAATAAATTGCTGGGCATGGTGGCGTATACCTGTAATCCCAGCTACTTAGGGGGCTGAAGCAGGAGAATTACTTCAACCCAGGAGGTGGAGGTTGCAGTGAGCCAAGATAGTGCCACTGCACTCCAGCCTGGGATACAGAGCGAGACTCTACCTCAAAAACAAACAAACAAAAACATATCAAAATTTGTGAGACACAGCTAAATCAGTGCTGAGAGGCATTAAATGCATATATTAGAAAAGAGAAGTCCAAAATCAACTATCTAAGCTCCCACTTCAAGAACCTAGAAAAAGAAGAGCAAAATAAACCCAAAGCAAGAAGAAAAGAAATAACAAAGATAAGAGCAGCAATTAATAAATCAAAAGCAGAAAGCAGAAAAAATCGAAAGCAGAAAAACAACAGAGAAAAACAATGAAACAAGGGCTAGTTCTCTGGAAAAATTAATAAAATTGAGGCAGTTCTAGAAAGACTGACAAACAAAAAAAGAAAGAAAGACACAAATAACCAACATCTGGAACAAAACAGAGACTATCACTACAGACCCTGCAGACATCAAAGGATAATAAGGGAATACTACGAAGAGACCTTCCCACATATATTTGACAACATAGGTGAAATGAACCAATTTCTCAAAAAACACAATGCCAATATAAGATAGATAACTTTAATAGCTCTATGACAATTAAAGTTAACATTTTAATTTTAAAAGCTTCCAAAAATAATTCTTCATGTCCATATGGTTTCATTAGAAAATTCTACCAACCATTTAAAAAATAAATAACACCAACTCTGCATAATCTCAGAAGATGAGAGAATATCTCCCAACCAAAACCTGACAACACAAAAAGGAAAGCTGCAGAACAATATACCTCATGAATATAGATACAGAAATCCTTTACAAAATATTAGCAAATAATAATATATAAAATTAATTCTACACCATGACCAAAAGCAGTTTATTCCAGGGATGGAAACCTGGTACAATACTCAAAAATCAACCATATTAATATGTTAAGAAGAAAAATTACATGATCATATCGATCAATGCAGAAAAAGTATTTGACTAAATTCATCACGCATTCAGGAAAACAACTCTCAGAAAAGTAGGAATAGAAGAGAACCTCCTTAACTTGACAAAGAGCATCTACAAAAAACCTATGGCTAACATCATTTCTCATGGTGAAAGACTGATGTGTAACTGGCTCAAGTCCAGCTGCTCGCTGCTCAGAAGTCAAGGCATGAGAAGTGAAGTGTGGTGAAAGGAAAGCAGCATTATTCAAATGCTAGCAGTAGAGGAATGGCCAGGCCCATGCCTTTAAAAGACCATTCAAACTTTCTGGACTGAGCGAAGGGGTTTAAGGAGGAAAAGGTGTGGGAAATATGTGGGAATGGTGCAGGAGGATGTTGGTCTGCATCTTGTTCCAATGGTTATCATGAGTCATTAATCGTCTGTCCAGAGGTCTGGTTTGAGTCATCCTGATTTCAGCCGGGAAGTGGTAGGCTACCTGTAACTCCCCCTAAGAGGGAGGATTCTGCAGCTGGGTCTCTCTGCCTGGTTTGTTTCAAAATTGGCCCCTGGAATTTCTAAGTAAGCACATAATTAGATAAGCGAGCACTGCTCACAGAAGTGCCTGGTGGGAAAGGGAGAAATAAAGAGTTTCGAAGTATGTTTCAAGGCTGAAAGCAAGAAAGGAAAAAAGTTTTTAAGCACATTTTGAGGCTGGGATACTCAGTTACAAACGCTTTCTCCTTAACATCAGGGACAAGGCAAGGATGTCCACTTTCACCACTTGTATTTAACATAGTACAGAAAGTTCTAGTCAGAGCAATAAAGGTTTTTTAAAAAGGAAATTAAAGACATACAAATTGGAAAGGAAGGAAGAAAACTGTCTGCATCTGCAGATGACATGATTGTCTCTGTAGAAAATCCCAAGAAACTGAAAAACAAAACAAAAGAAAACAATACACCTCCTAGAACTATTAAGCGAGTTCAGCAAGGTTGCAGGATACAAGATAAATATACAAAGATCAATTGTGTGTCTACATACTAGTAACGGACCCTAAACTTAAAAACACAATACTACTTATAGTGGCTAAAAAAAAGAGATACCTAGGCATAAGTTTAACAACCCATATGCTGGATTTGTATGCTGAAAATAATGCAATGATTATAAAATAAATCAAAGAAGATCTAAACAAATGGAGAGATGTGCTATATCCATGGATTAGGAGACTCAACATAATAAAAGCGTCATTTCTCTCAAATAATATAAAGATTTAACACAATTTCTATCAAAATTCCAGAAGGAATTTTTGTAGACATAGACAAGATTATTCTAACATTTATATGGAAAGGCAGAGGAACTAGAATAACTAAAACTTTTTTTTTTAAGAATAAAGTGGGAGGAATCAGGCTACCCTTTCTTTCCTTTTCTTCTTCTTTCTTTTTTTTAGAGACAGAGTCTTGCTCTGTCACCCAGGCTGGAGTGCAGTAGCACAATCTCGACTCATTGCAACCTCCACCTCCCAGATTCAAGTGATTCTCCTGCCTCCGCCTCCCAAGTAGCTGGGATTACAGATGCACACCACCATACCCAGCTACAGGCTACCCTTTCAAGACTCATTGTATAGCTAGCAGATGGACAGATGCATAGATCAATGGGACAGACAATAAAGAATCCTCAAACAGACCTGCACGCATATACCCAGTTAAGTTTTTACAAAGATGCAAAAGCAATTCAATGGAAGATAGCTTTTGTAGCAAATGGGCTGGATTAACTGGACATCCACAGACAAAACCACCAAACAAAAAGAAGAACCACAACCTTGGTCTCACACCCTGCAAGAAAATTAACTCAAAATGGATCATAGACTTAAACATAAAACTTAAAACTATAAAAGCTTTAGAAAACAGAAAGAAAATCTTTGGGATATGGAGCTGGGTCAGGAGATTTTAGATGTGTCACCAAAAATATGATCCATAAAAGGAAAAATTGTTAAAATAGACTTCATCAAAATAAAAACCTTTTGCTCTGTAAGAGACCCTGTTAACAGAATAAAAAGACAAGCCAAAGACTGAAAGAAAATATTGACAAACTACATATTCAACAAAGAATTAGTTTCTATACTTTATAAAGAATTTTTCAAAACTCAACAGTTTCAAAAATAGAACGTAAACAAAAGACATGAAGGGACACTTGACTAGAGAGGATATACAGATGGCAAATAAACACATGAAAAGATGCTCAACACCATTAGTCATCAGTGAAATGCAAATAAAAGCCATGATATATCAGTACATACCTATTAAGGTGGCTGAGATAAGATCATAGTGATCACACTGAAGCCTGGTGAGGATGCATGGAAACTGGACAGTTTCTGGAAAATGGCTTGACAGGTTTAAAAAAAAAAAACCCTGCAACAAGCATAGAACCCCGCAATAGAACCCCTGGGCCTTTGTCCCAGAAAAATGAAAACTGATGTCCATGCAAAAACCTGTACATGTGTCATAGCCCAAATCTATAAACACAGACATCCTCCAACAGGTGAATAGTTAAACAGACTGTGGTACATCCATACCATAGAGCACTACTCAGAAGTAAAATGGAATAAACTATTGATAAATGCAACAATGGGATGAATCTCCAGAGAATGATGCTGCACAGGAAAAAAAAAAGCCAATCCCACAATTTTATGATTGCAATAGACGACATTCTTGCAATGAGCAGATTTCAGGAGTGGAGAACAGGTCTGTCATTGCTGGGGTTGGGGCTGGAGCAAGCCAGGTGAAGATACACATGATAGCTCTGTGTGGCTTTTTACAACTGCATGGGAATCTACAATGTCTCAGGGTTAAATGTTTAATTTAAAAACCACAATAAGCATAAATGCTTAAAAAAAAAAAACCTAGAGCCAAAGACTCAGCAACTCCACTCAGAAGCATCATTTCAACAGATACACTCCCACACATGAACCAGCAGAAGGGTTCAATTGTTACTTACAAATCTTGGAAATGCCTCAAATTTCCATCAAAATAACAATGACTGAATAAAGGTTCATTTTTATGTTTGATTTTTGCAGACTTTCTAGATGCCTCTCATTCTTTGGGGCACAAGGAATACATCGATCAATGAAACAAATGTCCTGTGCTCGGGGGGCTTATATTCTAGGTGCAGGGGACTTAAAATGAACACAATAAATAAGTGAATTGCAGTGCCAGCTATCAATGTCTTGCCTCCAGCTCCACACGTACCCTTCATGGCCGGTTCCGAGGCAATGGAGCTGGAGCCAGCAGGCGCTTCTCTTGTGCACCTGGTGCAATGCTAAGCTTTGTTGGTTGAGGCGTAGGGAGAAGCGCCTCCTAGCATGGGTCCAGGATGACTGGTTCCAGATGCTTCCATTTCTTCCTTTTTCTTTCTCTTCCTATGCAAATGGCAGTGGCACAAGTCGGGGACGTCTGGCGGCACACACCACATTGAATTCAGGGGACCGCCCCCAGATGGCTTCCTATTGAGATTCAGTGGCATCTGCACCTGTGGGTTCCCAGTGACTCTTGCAGGCTTCCCAGCCCCAGCCCACCTGCCTTGGGTGGGGAGAGAGGCTTCCTGCTTGCCAGACCCAGCCTACATTTCCCTGCCTGCTGGCCTCTGCCCTGACCGTGGGCCAGCTGTGGCTGGGACAACCCAGCAAACTTCTCCAGCTTCCCTTGGGAGAACCACACCTTCTCCCGTGAGGTCTGAACCCAGACTTGTGGAAAGGATCCCCACCCCTGTTTATTTCTTCCTTAACTGCCCTCGTGCAATCCTGAGCCATTCTTTGTGGTTCTCTTTA
The DNA here is from genome assembly GCF_000001405.40 of Homo sapiens. NCBI lineage: Eukaryota > Metazoa > Chordata > Mammalia > Primates > Hominidae > Homo > Homo sapiens. The sequence continues at coordinate 133,217,914 of NC_000009.12, forward strand.
AACCTCTAGAGCTGATTGTTCATTGTGCAAGCAATCCCTGTTCAATCTATTGTCTCTGGATCCTGATGGGTCACTGGTTCATACGTTATTTTAAATGGTGATCAGTGCTATGGAAAAAGCAAAGTGGACAAGTTGGACAGGAGTGTCAGGACAAGGGGTTATTTGTCCTTTAAATGAATTGATGAGGAACAGCCCCGCCAAGGTGGCATTCAAACACCGAATTTAAGACATGAAGGAAGCAAGCCATGAGCTCGTCAGCTGGAAGAGGAGTCCAGGTGGCAGGAGCATCCAGTGCCAGCCTGGAGGTGGGAGAACGCTGGCAGTTTCCGGGAACACACAGCAGAGCAGCCACAGCAAATGATCCAGGGAGACCGGCCACACATGAGGCTGGGGAGTGGGTGGAACTGCCATGTAGGGATTAAGGACCACCACGAGGACTTCAGCTTCTGCTCTGAGTGAAAGACCCTGGAGAGCTCTGACAAAGGCAAGCTGTGACTTACGTATTTAAGGGGTCACTCCAGTTGCTGCATTGAGCACAGATTTGGAGGCCGAATATAGAAGCAGAGAAAGCAGTTAGAAAAGACGCGGCAATAACCCAGGATGGTGCACTGATTTCTACCTGGGCATCCAGGAGAACAGGGGATGGACCTAACTGTCCCACCACAAACAGAGGGAAACTGGCCCCCAGGTGCAAAACGCTTGTGTTTAGAAACTGGACACAGACAGCGCAGGCTGTGATCCCTGAGAATGGGAGCTAACGAGCTCAGCTGGATCATGGCAGCTTTATGCCTGGAGGGAATTTCAATCCACCACAGAGAGAGGAACCCAACAGAGCAAGGAGTCAGACGGCGTGGACGGGACACAGATTGGACTCTAGGCATCGCAGACGACTAGAATGTGGGAGACAAGGAAAGAGATAGGAGAGCCCTCTGCAGAGGAAGAGCTCCAGAAACATGCAGAGTGGTCCTCAAGACCATAGCTAAATACCAGTCCATGCAGACAGAGGGTGGAACTCCACAGGGCCAGAGAAAATGATGTTTGGGTAAAGAAGGATTCCAAGGAACTGAAGAAAATCAACACCCCACAAACACAGGTGCAAGAATTAGTTGAGATGCCAAGATAAGAACTGTCTTCAACAAATGGCTCTGGGACAACTGGATGTCCACATGCAAAAGACTGAGGTGGGACCTCACGCCACACACAAGCTTTCAACCAGAATGGATCAAAGACCTCAACGTAAGAGCTAAAACTGTACAACTCTAAGAAGATGTGTAAATCTCTGTGACTTTGGCTTTGACAATGAATTCTTCTCTATACACCCAAATAGCATGCAACCAAAGGAACAGACAAATTGGACTTCATCAAAATTAAAAACTTTTGTACGTCAGTGGACACTGTCAAGGAAATGAAAAGACAAGATACAGAACGTGAGAAAATACTTGCAAATCACATATCTGACAAGAGTCGAGTCTAGTATCAACAATATATAAAATACACTTATAACTCAACATAAAAACACAACTAGCCCAATTTTAAAAAGGGAAATGAATAGACTTTCTTCAGAGAAGATATAAAAATGACCAATAAACACCTGAAAATATGCTCAATGTCATTAGTCATTAGGGAAATGCAAATCAAAACTACAGCGAAATACCACTTCACACTCATTAGGATGGCTAGAATCACAAAGCCAGATAATAACAAGGGTTGGCAAGGATGTGGAGCAATTAGAACCCTCATGCACCACTGGTGGGAATGTAAAATGGCACAGCTGCTCAGAAAAACATAGTTTGGCAGTTTATCCAACAGTTACACATAGAATTATTTAATACCATATGACCCAGCAGTTCCACTCCCAGGTATACACCCAGGAGAAATGAAAACATATGTTCCCATGAAAACATTTATGCACAAATGTCCCTAGCAACATTACAAAACCCAAGAAGTAGAAACAACTCAAATGTCTACCAATGGATGAATGGATAAAAAAGGTGGTATTATCCACACAATGAAATATTATTCTGTCATAAAAAGAAAATACCGACCCATGCTACCACATGAGCAAACGTTGAAACATTATGCTAAGGGAAAGAAACCAGGCATAAGAAACACATATATATGATTCCATTTCTATGAAGTGTCCAGAACAGGCAAGTTCATGCAGACGGGAAGTCGATGAGAGGTTCTGGGGCGTGGAGGGAAGAATGGGGGTGAGAGCAGACGGGCATAGGGACCTTTGTAAGATGATGAAGATCTCCTGGAATTAGATAGTGGTGATGGTTTCACAGCCTTGTGAATTTACTGAAACCCACTGAATTGGGCACTTTTAAAGAGTGAGTATGATGGCATGTGGAATATATATCAAATAAAAATTTTAAAAACCACCTCCCCAGAGAAGCCTCTCCAGGCTACACAATGGAAGATGCAGCCCCTCCTCTCTCTGTCACTTCCCTGAGCTGCGCTCCATTAGGACACATCACTCCCCGGAGACACCCTGTTCATTTACTTGCAGTCCTATTGATTGCCAGTTCCCCCCATGGGCAGACTGAATAATGGTCCCCTGAAGATGTCCGCATCCTCATCCCTGGCCCTGTGGATGTGTGTATGTGGTAGACTGAATAATGGTCCCCTGAAGATGTCCACATCCTCATCCCTGGCCCTGTGGATGTGTGTATGTGGTAGACTGAATAATGGTCCCCTAAAGATGTCCACATCCTCATCCCTGGCCCTGTGTCCCCCATGTGTAGACGGAATAATGGTCCCCTAAAGATGTCCACATCCTCATCCCTGGCCCTGTGGATGTGTGCATGGTAAAACGGACTTCACAGATATAATTCAGTGAAGGATCTGAGATGAACAATTACCCCAGATTATCTGGGTGGGCCCACTGTTATCACAGGGGCCCTTATAGGAGAGAGGCTGGGGAGCGAGGGAGGGAGAGAGAGGAGGGTGAGGAGAGAGAATATTTATGAACAGAAGTAGAAGAGGCTGTGCTGCTGGCTTTGAAGGTGGAGGAGGGGCCACAAGCCAAGGCATGTGGAGGCCTCTGGAAGCTGGAAATGGCAGGGACAGACTCCTGCCCAAGAGCCTCCAGAAGGAACCAGCCCTGCCAACCTTCGTTTTAGCCCCGTGAAACATACTGAAAAGAAGAGCTGGAATGAAGCATCTGAAGTTGTCTCAGCAAAACCTGCATGCTCGGTTGTGGTTGTGGGTTTTTTGACCAACAAATGAAAGCGTTCTAAGACCCCATGCACCATCGGCTGAAGGGGAGCATGAATATCTATTCCCAGTCCCAGCCTCACAACCAGAGGATGCGTTTCCTCACGGTTTTCTCCTGCAGCTCAAGGAGGGAAAGCATTTGGAATTATTTGACTTCTCCCCCTCACTCAGTGGAACTTTGGAGTCGTTCTTCCCACCCTTGTCAACCACAGGGCTTTCTCAGGTCTACAGGCGCGTGTGCAGATTGCTTGGGTGTGCACAGATGCAGGGAGGGCATCTCGTCGATAGAAAATGGGATACTCTTGGGCACGGCATGAAGTGACACCACAATTCCCTAAATTGTTTGCTGTGGTTGCTCATTGGGACGTGGCACCCACTGGAACCAAGACTTTGGGAAGCCAACTGGCTGCTGTGCTTGGCCACAGACGTGGTAATGACTTCAGGGAGAATGGGGCGGGGACTGCCTGACTGATCTAGGGCTTTCAGAAAGGAAATGCCAAGGTCTGAGCTTCAGTAACAGGCAAGACAATGGAGATGTTCCATCCTGGCCTTAGAATAATATTTCATTCTTGCAGCCACAGAGCAGAAATGGCTGAAAATCAGACTCCATATTTAATAGTGTGGATTGCATGGTGAGTTGGATTCAAAAGTCGCCAAGTGTTTTATGTGAAAGTTGGGTCACTGCTTAAGGAGTGGGACCATGACACACAGAACTGGGACATTTATGTGATCTCAGATGGAAGTGAGAATCTTGATCCCCTCCCCAATCTCCCTGAACCTGCCGGGGCAGAATCACCCCCTCCTCCCCTACCCAATCCCCCTGAACCTGCCTGGGCAGAATCATCCCCTCCTCCTTTGCGTGAGGAGATGAGACTTCCCTTTCTCAGACATCTTACCCCGAGGCAGTTGTGTAGGGGTGGATTCTAGGGGCTTTACACCAGGAGAACCGCGCTCCAATGTGGACCCAAGCTGAGTGTGTCAGTGCGTATGTGCTGAGTGTGTCAGTGCGTATGTACTGAGCACGGCAGAGCTCTCAGCATGGATCGGCTCCGCCCAAGCCCCTGCACCAGGAGACAGGAGATCGCCAAGCTCTCATGGCATCCAACAGCAGGAGGCGCATCCCTGGGGTGGCCCCAGCGCCCTAAATGCTTGCCTGAGAGCTCGGCACTGCAGGTGAATTTGCTGTGTGTCCTGGCCAGCACCCAGCTGCCCCTTCTTAGAGCTTTTGCTAAAAAGGGCTTACACCTGTGACTCCTTCCTCTGCCACTTTGAGAAGTCTGTGTTTCTCCTACAATGCAGAAGTGTATTTCTCAGGCTGGCTGCAGTGGCTCACATCCGTAATCCCAGCACTTTGGGAGGCATAGGTGGGTGGATCAATTGAGGTCAGGAGTTCAAGATCAGCCTGGCCAACATGGTGAAACCCTGTCTTTACTAAAAGTACAAAAATTAGCCGGGCGTGGAGGCACGTGCCTGTAATCCCAGCTACTCGGGAGGCTGAGGCAGGAGAATTGCTTGAACCCGGGAAGCAGAAGAGGTTGCAGTAAGCCGAGATCGTGCCACTGCGCTCCAGCCTGTGTGACAGAGCAAGACTCCAAAACAAAAAAAAAGTGTCATTCTCAGGGACCTGAGAGCCATTCCTTAGAAATGTGACCTTCAGGAAGAATGGGCCTCCTTCTTCCAGACTCTGTTGGGGGACAGAGTCCTCCTTCCATAACTGCCACACAGCTGGTCCCACTGCACTGACCCTGACCAGCACTCTGTAACTCTTCACCGGAGCCCCCACTCCCTCCCGCACCCCCAACCACTCTCCCTTCAGAACACCCCTTCTCCCCTGCACAAAGTGGCATGGAACCAGTCTGTTCCTGGCTCTGAGAAGTTGCTGAATAAAACCTGTCCTCACCGCTTTAACTAGCATTCAGCTTGGCTCACTGGTGACGACGTATCCAAAATGCCGTATTTAACACATTGGCTTGAGCGGTAGAGCAGCTCTCAGATGGCTTCCAGGACTGGCTGAGCTGGTGTTGAGGCCTCATTCACAGGGGCTGGGACGCCAGGATGGCCCCACATAACATGGAGAAAGGACTCTGTGCTGCAGGTGATTGAAGGGTTCCCAGGGTTTGCTTTAGGCTGGTGGGGGAAGACACAGCCATAGGAATGACTGTGGGACGGAGGCTTATTACACTTAGGCCCCTAGAAACAGGAGGGGCGGGGCCTCACGGAAGCACCAGGGCCTGTCTGGAGGCACCGGGCGGAGCCTGCACTGCGGTTCCCACGTTTCCCACGGGAAGGAACGGAGGAAGCAGGGTAAACAGGCTCAGGGCGGGCTGGTTTCAATAATGTCCCGGGCCCTGGGGTGTGGGGGCTGGCTGTCCCTAGCTGTCTGGTCCCTGCCCTGGGGAGGGTGTGGGCTCTGGACTGGTTGGTTTGCATATGGAAGGCACACTTACAGATGGTCCCTGCCCTGGGGAGGGTGTAGGCTCTGGACTGGTTACCGGTTTGCATATGGAAGGCACACTTACAGACAAGTCATCTGCTATTTCTAGAAATTAGCCAACTCCTGGAGAAGCACTTTCTCCAGGGTTAGCAAGGCCCCAGATGTCAAAGTGTCCAAATTCAGAAAGTAAAGGCCATGGTTCACACAGAGAGGGTGTCGGAGACAGGTCGCGCAGTCATTTGAAGAGCAAATTACTGTAAAGAATCCCCAGCTGGTAACAGGAGAGGGGCTACCAACGGGTAAAGAGGACTCTCAAACCACAGAAATAACAGAAATGGGAGCCAGCTCTACCCCAGGGCTGAGGCTGCACACCGGGGTAGGAACAACCTGGAAGGTGCTCAGGCCTCTGTGGAGAGGGTCTTGCTCTGTCCCCCAGGCTGGAGTGCAGTGACATGATCATAGCTCATTGCAGCCTCGACCTCCTGGGCTCAAGCAATCCTCCCACTTCAGCCTCCCAAGTATCTGGGATTACAGGTGTGCACCAGCAAGCCTGGCTAATTTTTGGGTTTTTTTTGGTAGAGCTGGGGTCTCGCTATGTTGCCCAGGCTGGTCTCCAACTCATAGCTTCAAGTGATTCTCTCACCTCAGCCTCCCAAAGTGCTGGGAACACAGGCATAAGCCACCATGCCTGGCCAGAATTGAGTTTTTTTTAATATATATATACACATATATATACACACACACACACATACACACATATATACACACATATATGTATATATATACACATACACATATATATATACATATATACACATATATATATTTTTATTATACTTTAAGTTCTAGGGTACATGTGCACAACATGCAGGTTTGTTACATATGTATACATGTGCAATGTTGGTGTGCTGTACCCATTAGCTCGTCATTTACATGAGGTATTTATCCTAATGCTATCCCTCCCCCTACCCCCCACTCCACGACAGGCCCCGGTGTGTGATGTTCCCCTTCCTGTGTCCAAGTGTTCTCATTGTTCAATTCCCACCTATGAGTGAGAACATGCGGTGTTTGGTTTTTTGTCCTTGTGATAGTTTGCTGAGAATGATGGTTTCCAGCTTCATCCATGTCCCTACAAAGGACATGAACTCATCATTTTTTATGGCTGCAGAGTATTCCATGGTGTATCTGTGCCACATTTTCTTAATCCAGTCTATCATTGTTGGACATTTGGGTTGGTTCCAAGTCTTTGCTATTGTGAGTAGTGCCGCAATAAACATACCCCAGGGCTTCTTGAAGCGCCACTGAGCCCCAGGGCTGGATTTTCTCAAATGTCCTCTAAAGTTGTTCGCTCACCCTAATCGCTCCCTGGAGAGCAGGTTTCTGCAGCAAAAGGAAGCACAGGCGAGTCAGGAGACCCCAGGAATGCAGTCAGGACCGGGGCCCCTCATCAGCCACCAACTCCACCACCCCAGGAAGGACAAAGCCAGAATTAGACACAGTACAGTTACGCGCCCGTGCAATGCAGCTCTGCTGACGTCCCCATGCGGGGACATGGGGGGCTCTGCAGGGCCATGCCTCCTACCGCTCTGCCTGGGGATGAGGATGCTCTCCGTGCTGAGTCCACGGGCTCCTGCAGCTTTCTCAAAGTCCTCCAAGGCTTCCAGGTTGTTCTCGGGGTCTCTGCCTGTGGGTGCCAGGACGAGATGCGGGTGCTCAAGGCAGCACTGGGCAGACGGCACCCCGTCCCAGCCTGGAGGCCTGAGCTAGCCTGGGGAGAGGGACCTTGCCCACGGTGGGGGGACTTGAACCCAGAGGTCCTCAGGCTGGCAAAGTGGGACCAGGGTGCCGTGCACGGCTGAGAAGGCTCCCGCAGCAGCAGAACCGGGAGAACGGGAAGGGCTCTCCGTCCATCCCCAAGCATCTCCCGGAGTGAGAATGGACTGCGGGACAGGCCCGCCCTGGAGGAAGCGCCTCTCCCCTCGGGGGCACCAGGGCACCGCCTGTCCCATTCCTCTGTCATTCACACACCCCTGGCTCCAGGGAGAACTCAGGAGCCTTCACGGGCCTCGTCCTCCGACAGGGACGGCACTGATGCGCCACCGTCTGTGGGAGCCACCGCGTCTGGAATTCAACCCCGGGAGCTGGAACGTTCTTTCCACGCAGACTCCTGCTCACATCCCCATTCCTCTCCCCTGCTGGACACCCCACAGGAACGCGCTCAAGGATGACACTGCAGGGAGCTGCCCCGGGGGAAGGCCTGGGCCACTCTGGGACACGTGTGACCTTTGAGCCCCTGTGCCGACAGCTGTGGCTCCTTCCTGCCTCTGTTGCAGAGACCGAGGCCGGGGCATCCCAAATCCTGAACTCCAGGGTGGGAATTGGGGCCTTTATCAGGAAAACTCATCCTAAGGAAACTGCAGTGTGTTCCTGGGTCCCAGTGGCTTCTCCCATGGGGAAGAGGGTGCAGGAAGCCGAGGGAGGAGGGAGGGTGGGTGGAGGCATGGGTTGCAGGGTGGGGGTACGGGACCCACCCACGAGCTTCGCCCCTCGGATCGGCTTCCCGTGCAGCTCACCCTCACAGTAAAAGATGTAGTGGTCCTTCATGTGCGACCTGATGATGTATGCCACGTGCTTGCCCCTGTCTGCAGAAGGACAGCAGCATAGTCCTGAATTAGCCACCGGGGCCTTCAGAGAGGATCCCGGGACAGTGTGCGTTGCCAGGCCCTGCAAGCCCCGCAGCTCCTGCACCCTTCCAGCCTCCCAGAGCTCCCTGACCCAGGTTCCCCACTGGGCCTGAGCCCTAGGCCATGGGACCCCCACTTCCCAGGAACCTGATGCACCCGAGAGGTGGCCACATCTCAAACCAGTGAGTCACGGGGGGTTCCTCCGGGTGTGAGGTCTGCGGAGGTGGGAGTTGGGGTACAGCCCCCCGCAGCCAAATATGACTCTGCTCCTGGCCCTGCCAGAGCCGCAGCTAGGGCTACAGGGAAAGCCCAGAGGGTCCACCCAGGGACAAACCCGTCACACCTGGTGTTTGGGGTCAGGTGTTCACATTTCTAAAGCAAATTGACCAGTGGGAGAGGAAAGTGGGCTTTTAGTGGAGTCAGGGGCAGCAGGCCAAAAGGCCACCCCAAAAAGGCACTGGCTACCCCCCCACATCCAGCGTGTGTTTGAGTTTAGGCTCTGGCTTAGGCTCCGGGACTCACTGGCCGTGTATTTTCCCGGCTCGTCAGTTTTCTCCAGGATGACCTTCACCTCCTGGCACTGGCCACTTATCCTGGAAAACAGAAGCCCCCTGGCAAAGCGGCCCTGACCTGTGCCTCCCCCGGCCCTGGAGCAGCCACGCTACAATGCCCTGCAAAGGTGGCCCTGAGTCTGCCACAGGCCCATGGAGGAGGATGCTTCTCTGCATCTCAGACCCAGGCACCAGCAGCCCCTCCGGGTCACACATGGCAGTTCCCGGGGTCTCCTGAGGTGGCCAGGAGCTCTGCATCGCTCCTCCTGGTGGCTGCCTTCCCAACCCCCCCGCCCCCAACACATTTCCTGCCAGATGCACCCGGGCTGCCTGGTTTGTAGGCAGTGTCTGTGGCGTGGGCCTGAGCCTCATCCCACCAGCTGCATTCTTCCTTTTAGAGACATTCAGGGACAGGCCCCATACCCATCATCATCTGGCCCAGAGAGGGAAAGGTTCAGTGAGGGGCTTTTGGGGAAAAAAAAAAATCAGGGTCATTGCCAGGGTCAGTGACTTCCTAAGGGTCAGCCCCCAGGACCGGAGCACAGGCACTGCATGCCACTCAGGTGGGAGCCACGCGGGTGAAATCACACAGGTGGGAAGTCACAGATGTGAGCCACGCGGATGGAAGCAGCACAGGTGAGAGCCGCACAGGTGAGCGCTACACAGGGACTTCAAGGGGGTCTTCTCCATGGTGTCCTATGCCCCCTCTTGGTCATTCTGCAAGCCCCATCCCTGCGCTTCTCCAAAGCAGAAATTTACTGCCAAGACTACAAGTCTAGAGTCTGTAAGCCCTGCCTGCTGGCTCTGACTCTGATCGGGGGTAAACACCTTTTCCCAAAGGGGCCTGCACGGCACCACACATTCCCTAGTCGGAGGAGGTGGTGGGTGGTACCCAGCACTGCCCCTGATAGCCCACAGGGGCCTCTACTCCCTCAGGTCCCCTCTAGCTGAGGCACCTCACTGGCACAGTTTGCCCTCAAGCATTGCCTGAGCAGGCAGGGCTGAGAGAGGCCTCCCAGCAGGTCTGCCCACCTCCCCAGCACCAGAGCTCTCCTGGGTGGGGAAAGGGAAGGCCCTAGACCAGGTTGCAGGCTGCCCGGCCGGCTGGCAGACACTCACAGCATGGTGGCCTTAGCTTCCAGGTTGCCCCCTTCCAGGATTGTGAGGGTCATGGGTGTCACCGATTCCAGATTCATCTCAGGGAGCTCCCTGTCCACCGTCATGGCCTTCAGATACCACGTCCCTGACACCTGGAGAAAGTTCCTCTCTATCAGGCTCAGGCTGACCGCTCCAGAGCCTCCCCCTTCCCTGGCCTGCAGCCCCCAGACTCTACCGCACCCCAAGGGCTGGAGATGGGGAACATTCCCCAATCTAATCCACCCAGAAAACACCCAGCACCCTCGCCAGGTCCACCCGAAGGCTCCAGCCCCCGCAAGTTGGCCAGGACCACAGGAGCCCTCACCCCCAGGAGAGAAGTGAAGTCAGCCAGACCCCCACCCTCCTAGCCCTGCCCTTCTGCACCCCGGCCCCCTCCCAGCCCAGACTCCTGCTGTCCCATCTCACCATCTTTCAGGGCAGGGCTTTAATGCCCAACCTGAAAATGAGGGTCTCCTTGGATGGGGGAGGGATGTGGTCTCCATCCAGCAGTCTCAGCCTCGCCCCTTGCCCCCTCCAGCCCAGCCTTCCCATCCGGGCCTCACATCCTGAATCTCCTCGTCTGAGGCCAGGAGGTGGTGGGCCTGCAGGGCAGCAATGAGGCTGAGGCTGATGGCCAGGAGCAGGGGCTTCATCTCTGGTGTCTGAGTTCACGGCCGCCTGACAGTTCACTTGCTGGGGCTGGGAGAGGGTGTGCCACTCCCACAGCCGCCCTTTTTACAGCTGGGCTCAGGATCCCCTGGGGACCTAGCACAGGTGACTGACCAATCCCTTCCTGGATGTAAACCACGGCCAGTTCTGCAACGGAGCAGATAACGTGCCATTGTTGCTGGAGGCTGGTGAATAACAGCTTGTTAATTCCAGAGGATCATCCGGACAGGACCAGGTCCAGAGGAGCGGGTTTGCAGATTTCACCTGGGAGGAAACTGAAGGGAGTGAAGGGCGTGCAGGCCTCCTGGGGACATGTGCGGCAGTAACAGGCGCCCCCCAGCCATCCCACATGCGCTGATGTGCACACCGTCAAGGGGGTTTGGGGTTGGAGTCCGAGGGCCGTGGGCCTGGGGCTCGGCTGAGCTTCCTGCATCTCTGGGCAGGTTACTTGGCCTCAGATTCATCATGGAAAAAAAGGGACCCTCCTGTGTGAACACGATACCGTGTGCATTTAAGGACGGTGTCCACTGTCCTGAGCAAGGTGTGCAGTAACGACCCTCTCTGCTCCACACACAGAGCAGCAATAGGTCAGACAGACAGAAGACCAAGACAGGTGTGTGTGTGTGTATGCAGGTGTGTACATATATACATGCACACACATGCACAAACACACACACACTCACATAAAACCAGGAATGGAGGAGAAGCACAGGCTGGTGATGGGGCAGAGGCAGGGGCCTGTCAGTTCCAAGTCCCAAGGCAGGCAGAGAGGGCCTAGATCCAGCTCCTGGGAGTGATGGGAGGGGCTTCCCTGACTCCAGAAAGGAGGCTGAGAAACTCTCCTTGACACATCCCAGGGCTGTAACTTCTTATAACTTAGTGGAGCACTGTGGGCATAGGAAGGCAAGAGGACATCGACACAGCCTCAAGGGCAGAAGCTGAGACAAGCCGTCCTCAGAAAGGGTGACTTTATCTGTGACATCCTCCACATCACTGCAGAGCAGAAGCCTGGGACCCGGGGCAGAGGCTACGAAACACTGCTAGACAGAGGACAGTGACAACAAGATGTCGGAGAAAGGCAGAAATGCAGAGACTCAATATCCTTGCCTTGAAATAAGCTAGAAAGGCCAGGTTCCAAATTACCCAAGGCAACACCACACCAAGAAAGGCAGGCTAAAAATGAGCAATTGGTACAGGAACTTACACCAGCTAAGGAAAGTCTGACACACACTTTAAAACTGCAGGAGTATGATCAAGATGCCTAGCATTTTAAAAATATATAAAGTATAAAATTAGAACTGGCCAGAATATAAGAAACAAGGAGAGATGAAATAGAAATAATTACAAATCTTGAAGATGAATAACAAAGTGAATAAAAAAACTCAATAGACAGGTTAAATTCCAGACTTGACATAGTAGAAAAGAGACTTAGTGTCATGGAAGATAGTACCAACAAAATCAATGAAGACAGAAAAATTAGAAAGAGAAATTGAGGTGTTACAGATAGATTCAGTCTCCATCCTGGAGCTAGTAATAAAATGAGTGGAGGAAACCATCCAGAGTGCAGCAGCTCTGAAAACACAACACACACAGATATACACACACACATGCACACACACATGCACACACACGCACATGTGCACACATACAAATGCACACCCCCCATACACATGCACACATACATGCACACACACAGACATACACACGTACACACACACCATGCATGCATGCATACATACATGCACATACATGCACACATACGTACACACATGCACATTCACACACATACACACATGCACAAAGTTAACACACGTGGAGAATAGATCAGGAGGCTCCAATATAAACAGAATAGGAGTTCCGAAAGAAAAACATTTTCTAAAATGGCAACAAAGCAACGGAATAGCTCAGAATTTTTCAGAATTGAAAAGACATGAGATCCCAGATCTAAATTACCAAGGAATGATAAAAATTGAGAAATCCACTCCTAGAATATTACAGTGAAGTGCAGATCACCCAGGAAAGGAGAAAAAAAGTCAAAACGACCAGAAAGAAGAGCCACACTACATACCATAAAAGCGGATGTGGACTGATGGCAGACTTCTCAATAGCAACGCTGCCTTCCGGAAGACAGTGGAGTGACATCTTTAACTGACCCGGGAGAAATCACATTTACCTGTGAATGTTATTCTCAGTGCAACTTTCATAAAATATTGAAGGCAAAATAAAGACATCTCGGACATTAAAAAACAACTGAGGCCCAGCGTGGTGGCTCACACCTGTAATACCAGCACTTTGGGAAGCCAAGACGAGGTCAAAAGTTCGAGACCAGCCTGACCAACATGGTGAAACCCCATCTTGACTAAAAATACAAAAATTAGCCAGGCATGGTGGCGTGCACCTGTAATCCCAGCTACTCAGGAGGCAAAGGCAGGAGAATTGCTTGAACCTGGGAGGCAGAGGTTGCAATGAGCTGAGATCATGCCACTGCACTCCAGCCTGGGCAACAGAGCAAGACTCCATCTCGAAAAAATAAAAATAAAAATTGAACAACAACAACAACTGAGAGTGTCTACCACTCACTGGTCTCCATCAAAGGGAGTTTGAAAGGGAGAATTTTAGCAAGTCTATAGGAGACCGAGGTCGGGGGTATAAATGATGTCAGCAAGGCAAACTACCTGCTGGCTGTACAAACATGAATGGTGCAGACTTTGATGGTGGGGGAAAGGTTCTGTTTTAGTGCATATTTAAAGAGTGCTAAATGCACACAAAACACACTTGTGCCCACACGCATGGGTTCATACGAACAAGAATGCACACAAAACACACTTGTGCCCACACGCATGGGTTCATACGAACAAGAATGCACACAAAACACACTTGTGCCCACACGCATGGGTTCATACGAACAAGAATGCACACAAAACACACTTGTGCCCACATGCATGGGTTCATATGAACAAAAGATGCACGTTAAGCACGGGAGAATAGTGATCCATGGAGAGGGAAGTGGAAAGGGGTGGGCAGGGATAATAAATTTTCAAAATACATAAAGAAGCCTGTTAGACAAAAGCATGATTTACTTTTCATCAGTATAGATGAAAAGGCAGCCAACATGAAAACAATTAAAAGCACAATCACAAGAAGACGAATGTTCATGAATGTGAAGGCATACTGCATCGAAATACAAGAAGCCAAAACAGACTGAAGAACAAAGGGGTCAAATACACAGTTGGAAGGGGAGATGTCAGAACTTCTGCATTAGAAACAGAGGGCGAGGGTGTTAAAAGTTCACACCCATGTCGAAATTTGGAACCAACATTGTAAAGTATACAAAGACACTGCCTCAAAAGGTAAACAATTATATTGTTATAATTGTTACAATGAACAATTCTTAATTGCTAATTCTTATTAAATACACATGGAATAGTTTTAAAATAGGCCACATACCAGGCAATATGGGGAACTTCACAGAACTAACGCAGCAGAGCCTGCCCTTTGTAGCTACAATGCAATAAACTAGAATCAACAATGAACAGAGTGTTACATAAAGAGAAATATAAACTTGAAGTCTGCAGCCTTAAACGCAACTATTATACAATAAAGACGTCAGGACAGAAGTCCTAGCTGTGAAAAGTTCTCGGTCATGAACACGCACGAATGCCCGGCCAGCTCTGCGCTCCTTCGTCAGGACAGAAGTCCTCTCTGTGTGAAAAGTTCTCGGTCATGAACACGCACGAATGCCCGGCCAGCTCTGCAGTCCTTTGGTGGTCACCTCGCAAAGGAGAATTGATCGGAGCTGCTGCTTACGGGGTGACACCCGTGGCAGCATCACTACACGCACATCGTGACGGCAACCGCGTGTGTCATGCAGCCCCCAACCGATGATGAGAAACCAACCTGAACCTCACGTCAGAGGGAAGGCTGTTATCTTTCCATTCTCTTTAAGAAAAATTATTTTAACACGAAGCAATAATCAAGGGGTAGCAGCCAAGAGATATAGAAAAAATAAGTTTGACAGAGGTATCCCAGGGAGTAACTAATCAAATCTTGTTTTTTTCTTCCATTTGATGATGTTTAGTGCACCTATCAGCTTTTTCATGTGCGAGCCTTGTGATTGTTTTATCACTTCAAATAAATATTTATTTTCATATCTAATTTGGATTCATATTGCTATTATTATTTAAAGTAACCCCTAAAGTTTACATATATTTTAAGCCCCACAAAATCCATCTACTCCTGCCTATATCTGTGAGTTTAATTTCCTTTTAAAATAATCTGAATATATACCAATGAGATTTTCTTTTTTTTAATTTTTATATATATATTTTTTTATTATACTTTAAGTTCTAGGGTACATGTGCACAACGTGCAGGTTTGTTACATATGTATACATGTGCCATGTTGGTGTGCTGCACCCATTAACTCGTCATTTACATTAGGTATATCTCCTAATGCTATCCCTCCCCCCTCCCCCCACCCGATGACAGGCCCCGGTGTGTGATGTTCCCCTTCCTGTGTCCAAGTGTTCTCCTTGTTCAGTTCCCACCTACGAGTGAGAACATGCGGTGTTTGGTTTTTTTGTCCTTGGGATAGTTTGCTGAACTAGAAATACCATTTGATCCAGCAATCCCATTACTGGGTATATACCCAAAGGATTATAAATCATGCTTCCATAGAGACACATGCTCACGTATGTTTATTGCAGCACTATTCACAATAGCAAAGACTTGAAACCAACCCAAATGTCCATCAATGATAGACTGGATTAAGAAAATGTGGCACATATACACCATGGAATACTACGCAGCCATAGAAAACGATGAGTTCATGTCCTTTGTAGGGACACGGATGAAGCTGGAAACCATCATTCTCACCAACAATGAGATTTTCTAATGCCGGGCATGGATGATAGGTGTTTTTGTTCTTGGCTTGCTCCCTGGGTGCTGAAATAGTCAGGATTAGGACAGCGGACCATGGAGAAAGTGCCCAGATGTGCTGGTACCTGCAGCTCAGGACAAAGGGAGGCAGCGTGAATGACACGTTCTTTTATTTGGGTTCTTGCTGCTCCCACGTTACTGTCACAATATTTTCTGTGGAGTTGAAAAGCAAATGCCCCAAGGCAAGCACAGAGGGTGCAGGGGTTGGGGTGTCCCGAGGGTGGGGCTGTGGGCGGGCCTGGACCCCCTGCACTGCGGCTCCTCCTCTGTCCCTGGGGTTCCGTCCTCCTTGGTGGCCTGCAGGGCCTCTGTCCACTGCCGGGCCACCAACTAGGCTACAGAGACACGGTGACGGTCAGGTTTCTCAGGTCCCCCGGGCTAAGGAACACGTGAGCCTTTCAGCCACCACGTTGACCACACATGCGACAAAGGCAGAGGGGCCGCCTGGTCACGGAGGACGAGCAGCCCTTTGCCCCGTCTCCTGGAGGCTGGCGCTCAAATGAGTAAACCCAGGGAGTCCTGAGATTCTTCCTGCTCAGACACAATGCCCTAGTGAGGTCGCTTCCTGACACGAGTTTAAAGGATGCACACGTGTTATAAATCTTAGAAAGCTGGAAGAGGGGAGAAAATCACTTCCAATCCCACCTCCCCAGTGACTCACTCGCGAGTTGGAACAGTTTCCTTCCTGTCTTTTTTCTAACAGAGCATCTTACGTGGATGCAGTGACAAAGATGCGTCATCCGCCTGCGACCGAAGGAAGCTGCGGGAAGAACACCCAAGGGCCTTGTGGCATCTCTCCTGCGCCCTGCACTTCCCTGGGGCCAATGCCAAGGGCAAGGCCAGCCGTGGCGGGCAGCAGCCCCTCTGCTGGACACGGCGCCTGCCCCAAGGCCAAGGCTCCAAACTCGGCCCCCTACTGAGCATCTGATTTCCTGAGTCCCCCTCCGAGGGCTCCAGGATTTGACCTCACATTTCCCGCCCGCCTAAGTCTGTGTGCTTTTAGGCCTGTGTGGCCTTCCCTGTCTGTGCCCTCAGTCTACCTGGACGCTGCCATCCTTCAAAACCCAGCCCAGTCCCACCTCCTGAAGGATGAAGGGGCCCTGCCCGCCTGGCCTCCAGGGCGTCTTGGGCCAGGGCAGCCGCAGTGGTCCCTGCATGTCCCCGTCACAGAGGGTGCCTGTCCTGAAGGAGTGCAGTCATCCCAACAGGCCTCGGCCCTCTCTGGCCACCGAGGCTCCCTCGCCCTTCCGGGTTGGGCTCAGCAGAGGCTCTTGGGGCTCAACTGGAGTGAACCGAGTCGCGGATGGTGGAAGTGAGGGGTACTTGGCCATGGAGGCCCAGGGCTTGGCAGGGGGGCCCAGGGCGCATTCCTGGAGGGGCCGCTTCCCGGGAAAGGTCGCGCTGTGTTTGTGTTCCGGCTCTTTCCTCCGCCTGAGTTCCTCCGAGGCCCTGGCTTATCTGAACACAGGACCCTGTGTGCCACGGCATGCACCATGTCACGGTGAATGTCACACAAACAGGAACGTGCCTGGAGGCCGCCTGGACCTGTCCTCCCGCCCATCAGCTGCCAAGGTGATGCTGTGGACATGGCCGTCCCCACTTGCTTCCCCACTTATGGAGCTCCTCATGGGCTCAACACCCCCTTCCAGAAGGCTGGCCCCAGGAGGGGAGTCGCCGGCATCTGGAAGCCTGGCAGGCCTCCGCAGCGTGGCCAGCATGGGGTCCATGAGTCAGGGGGTGGAAGAGGCCCCGTGACATGGGGAACACACTAAGCTCCTAGCCCAGCTCTTCTCCTGGAGGACCGGATGCCCTCGCTCTGCCGCTGGGGAAGGAGTGCGCAGGGGGCTTGAGGCCAGCAAAGGAACTGCCCCCCAAATCTTACTCCGGGATCGGCACTTTCCTGGAAGACCCCAGGAGTAAGGAGAAGGAAGAGCAGCGGGGAGGGAGGGAGTCCCAAGCCAGGTGCCACAGAGATGGGGCAGCGTGACCCTGTCCAGGTCACCTCCTGGGAAACTGAGGCCCAGCCAGGCAGAACTGGGTCTCCTGGTTCCAGCCACCACCCACCACTCAGGCAGCTGCCACCTGGGAGGCAGGAGATGTCTGAGGTGGGGTCTTCATACCACGAGCCACATGGAGGGAGGCCACGATCTCCGTCCTCCCACCTGCACACACACCCTCCCCCAGGTGAGCACTAGGAAGCCCTCTCTGGGGTGGGGGTGGATGCTAATGTTCTGTGCAGCTCTTTGGTTCAGTGAGTCCTTTTTGGTGAAAGGGCTCAGAGATGCGGCTAAAGCCTGTGCCAGCCTTGCACTCCCATGAGGTTGCTGTTACCCTCATGCCACTTTCTTGGGAGAGGAAGGTGAGGCTGGAAATGGTAAGGGGCTGAGCTCACTCAGAGGCTAGCACGACCCCAGGCTCACACCTGCCAGCAATGTTAAGAGGCACTGGGAGCTGAGAAGGGCTGAGGGTGCCACGCTGGGGTTGGCCAGGTCCAACCTGCCCCCTCCTTTGAGGCCCTCTCCTTCCTTCCTGTGCTGGCCTTTGGAGCCCACGGTTTCAGCATCCATCACGGACCCCACCGCACACCCAAGCGCTGCTGAGGACTTTAACTCCTGCTTTGGAATTTTCAGTGCTTCTGATTATTCGTAGACTCAAAATCAGAAGAGGCTACTTGCCCTAAACAGAACATGGTATATTTGCATTGCAGATCATTTTACATTTTTAAGAAAAAATGCAGTTTCTCTACAAAGTCATCCCCCTCCAAAAACAAAACAAAACAAAAAACCTCCCTAGGGATTTTGACAGGGCTGCCATCAGGCGTGTGACTGATTTGGGGATAATTCCCCCATCCCTTTGCTTTCCATTACCCTGTGGCCCCCGCGTCCTTCAGGGCAGGTGGCCTTGCCTTGTGAGCATCCTGCCCGTTTGGGGGCATTTCCTGGGCACCTGGTAGAGCCGTAGGTGAGAATGGCCCCAGTGGTACTGGGCAGATGTGAGCACAGGGACAATGTTAGTGCAGGAAGTCAGGGGCCCGTCAGGGCTGTTGGTGGCTGACGCGGCATCCATTCCCCTCCCCGCATCCCCCCAACACACCCGCACCCTCATGGATGGTGACTGCACTCCCCACTCCAGGGCTTGTCTGATTGATCTAATGGGGCGCCGTCCCTCTGGTCTGTGATTGCTCTGGAATGAGCCACGGAGCCCAGAGAAGGAACATGCAGAGGGCATCTGAGAACTGCAGCAGGGGACCCAGTTGGGATGAGGCAGCCCTGGGGACCTTGAGGAGAGAGGCAGGAAGTGCCCAGTCCTTGACACCATCCCCGAAGCCTGCCCCACGCCTGGACTCCAGCCAAGGCATGTAAGGCCAGGTGGACTCAGCAGTGTGAGGCAAAGCACGGTGCCCGGCTTGGATGCCACATGTGTTGAGCCAGCTGTGCTGTGGACAGGGCGCTGTGGACAGGGCACAGCAGACAGGCGGGGGATGTAGGCATCGGGAGGGGGAGTCATGGCTGGTGAGAGCACCCCTGGAGCGGGAAGTGCTGGGCAGCGAGAGGTCAGGGAGGCATGGGGGCTTGGGACGGCCACCAGCCACATCAGAGCAGCACTGCTGCTGATTCCCAGCAACATGGAATGAGGCCCCTTGGCAAAGTAACAGAACGTATCTTTGAAATGGCAGCAGCTGATCTTTAAAACAGAGGCAAGCCGTTCCTGTCTCAAAACGTTTAAATCCTCACCCCAAACCATTATGCGGCTCACTGCACCCGTGGAAAGCCAACATCAATACCTGCGTGCATGCTGGCCTCCCTGGCATGGGCATTCTTTGAGGTTGCTGGCTCAAAGCCCCCAGCACTGCCAGAGGGGGAAACCGGCAAACCCAGGAACTCCAAGGCTCAGCTCAACAGCCACACCCTTCCGTAGGCCAAAGGAAGCAAGAGCTTTTTCTTTCTCACTGTTCTCAGGGATTCATTGTTTTTGTTTCTGTTTTTTGTTTTGTTTTGTGTTTTGGGAAGGGGACCACGTCACAGGTTACTATAGAAACAACGCCTGAACTAGATGGATGACGAAGCTGTTATTCCTCGGGGAGGCTCTTCAACTTGAACCAATTGTGGGGCCATTCTTTAGAAAACGGCTGTTTTTGCTCTGGGAACATTTTTAAATTATTTCTTCTTCCTTTGCCTCAGATGGGAGGAGCATCGCGCTACTGGATCACCTCTAATCATTTTTTCCTTTTTTTCTTTTTTTTATCCAAAGCCCAGCTGGCCCATCACAGGGTCATGTGTGAAAAGAGGGCTCCATGCAGGTGTTCAGAAGAATGTTTTCAGTTTGTACTCATCTCAGAAAATGCTTCTGAAATGATGTTAATAAAGAAAACAAGATGCCAATGTGCACATTCAGCCTGGGCCTCACGCAGCCTGGGGAAAATGTGCCAAAATGTCAGCATGGAAAGGATTCACAGTGATCTCTAATTTCTTTCTCAGACCTTTATCAAGTTCTTACTATTTATGTGTTTGTTTATGGAGATGGGGTCTCACTTTGTTACCCAGGCTGGTCTTGAACTCCTGGGCTCAAGCGATCCTCCCGCCTCCACCTCCTAAAGCGTTGGGATTAAAGGTGTGAGCCTCCATGCCGGGCATTACTTTTTAAGAGCATATATAACTTAGCCACGAGAAAAACAGCAGCATTTTTCAGCAACAACAAAAGGGAGAGAGATGAGAGAAAGGCCCCCAGAGCTGGGCAGGGTTGGGGGAAGAACCGTGGGCAGTGGGAGCAGCGACCCCAAATTCAGCCCCGGGCCCCGCCTCCAGGCCAGCTCCTGGCAGGGTGGCCCCACCAGGGTGAAGGGCGGCTGTCCGCGGCCTCCAGGTCACCAGCAGGGCCTGGCTTATGATCTATGAACCCCCGGCCGATCTAGAGGTTAGGGCTCTAGATGGGGCGGGGATTCGGTTAGAGAGGGCAGGGTGGAGGGGAGGATAGACAGGAACCAGGGAGGTCCAGGCCCAGTGGGGGCTGAGCTGAGCGGGGGAGGCGGGGCCGAGAAGGGCGGGGCAGAGGAGTGGGATGAGCGTGGTTGGGGCAGGGCCAGTGGGGCAGGGTCAAGGCTGTGTTGAGGGGTAGAGTGGGCGTGGTCGGAGCGGAGCCGGTGGGCGGGACCCGGCGGTGTGGAGCTGCACCCGGAGTTTGTAAGGATCAGGAAAGCTGCCTGGAGCTGGGCAGACAGGCTGACCCAGGGACCCTGACCACCTACCTGAGCTTCCACCCAGCTTCAAGGCTGTGGGGATCGTTTCTTAGCCAAGGTGAAAGGCCCTGAGCCCTCCAGTGGGCTCTGAGGGTTTGAATGTTTATTCTAAATGGGCTCCAACACGGAGTGCGCGTGCGCTCAAGGACCAGCTGGCTAGGAGCGCCTTCTCTCCCCGAGGGGATCTGGAATGTTCATCCGCGGTCTTCCCAGTGGTCCTCTCCTGAGCACCCTGGGCATGGGGTTGGGAAGTGGGCACACTTCTTCAGTGCGTGGTACTTTCTGTCCCTCCCAATGACATTGGTCTCTTCCAAATTCCCCAGGCATAGGAACAGCCACAAGAGCCAACTCACATTTCCCAAAGCCCTCTGGGGGCACGGCAGCGCCCTGGGCAGAGGAGAGAACTGCCCAGCTCAGCGGGGAGAAATCCCAGTGGTGCTTTCCGTTCCCCCCAGGCTCGATGACTGCCATACTTACCAGCTGGGGGCGCTGGTGAGCACTGCCAGTCTCCAGCGCCCGCCCTTACCCCGGGGCAGTGCTGCTTACAGCACGGCGACTCCTAAAGGCAAGGAGTTAAAGGCACACGGATCCTAGCACTTTGGGGAGGCTGAGGTGGGCGGATCACTTGAGGTCAGGAGTTCGAGATCACCCTGACCAACATGGTGAAACCTCGTCTCTACTAAAAACACAAAAAAGTAGCTGGGTGTGGTGGCGGGCGCCTGTAATCCCAGCTACATTGGAGGCTGAGGCAGGAGAAGCGCTTGAACCCGGGAGGTGGAGGTTGCAGTGAGCCGAGATAGCACCACTGCACTCCAGCCTGGCAACAGGGCGAGACTCCCTCAAAACAACAACAACAAAAACAAAACAAAACCAGGCACACAGAGCAAGCGGCGGGAAAGCCAGATGGAAGCGAAATGGGACTTTGCCCTTCCGAGCCTCCTGTGGATAAAATGTCAAAGCTGGGCACTCCCCCTTGACTCAACGGGGCTGCCGCCCCGAGCCCCTTTCATCATCCTCCCCACAGCCCTGAAAGTTCTGTAACTCCACTTTAGGGATCAGGGATTCCCGACTCAGGCCCTGAGCTGTTTCTGGAGCTTTCACTCTGGGCGGTGTGGGGGAGGGGGCCCCTGCGGCCTTCAGGTCTGGGCACTGTCCAGGACACCAGGGCTAGCCCTGAGTCCGGCCACCTGAGATTCTGAGGCTGCCCTCTCTTGAGCCCACGGTGCTGACTGGGGGTCCCTCGTCTGGCAAACTCAGCTATGGGCACAAAGTCGGGACAACAAAATGGTGTGCACAGAATGACTCATTTCATGTTTTTAAAAACCTTTTGGCCGGGCGCGGTGGCTCATGCCTGTAATCCCAGCACTTTGGGAGGCCGAGGCAGGTGGATCATGAGATCAGGAGACTGAAACCATCCTGGCTAACACGGTGAAATCCCGTCTCTACTAAACACACACAGACACACAGACACACACACACACACACACAATTAGCCCCGCGTGGTGGTGGGTGTCTGTAGTTCCAGCTACTCGGGAGGCTAAGGCAGGAGAATGGCGTGAACCCGGGAGGCGGAGCTTGCAGTGAGCCGAGATCGCGCCACTGCACTGGGCGACAGAGCGAGACTCTGTCAAAAAATGAAAAATAAAATAAACCGTTTTACAGCTGCGCATGTGTGTAAAAACAGGACACAGCACTTCTGCCGCCCCACGTGCCAGTAATGCTCCGACTCCTTTACTCCTCATTCCCAGGCCCAGGGGCAGGCTCTACTGTCCTCTCCATTTTACAGGCAAGGAAACTCAGGCTTGGGGTTAGAGAGCAGAGATGGCCTGTAGTGAGTTGGACAGGAGCCTGGGACCTTTGGCTCCAGGGTGCCACACTCCCCCAACCTACTGTCCCAGGTAGAGGAGCTTTTGGGGGTGGGTGGTTACTTTCTGCTCATCTCCTTCCTTTTTTATGTTTATGTTAATTTTATTTTATTTTATTTTATTTTGGGACATGGTTTGGCTGGGTCCCCCAGGCTGGAATGCAGTGGCCTGATCACAGCTCATTGTAGCCTCCAACTCCCAGGCTCAAGTGAACCTCCCACCTCACCCTCCCGAGTAATTGGGACTACAGGAGAGCGCCACCATGCCTAATTTTTTTTTTTTTGCATTATTTGTAGAGATGGGGTTTCGTTATGTTCCCCAGGCTGGTCTCAAACTCCTGAGCTCCAGTGATCCACCCATCTTGGCCTCCCAAAGTGCTGAGATTACAGGCATGAGCCACCACACCCAGCCTGTCTGCTTCTATATGACTTTATTTTTCTCCCATGACCATTTATTACTCTTTTAATCATGAAGAAAAAGAGGCTTCCTTGTTGGAGTCCGGTCAAGCAAGAAGGAAGCATGAAGGAGGAAAGCATAGCTGGGGAGCAGTGTGTGAAGTTCAGTGACCACCCAGTGAGCAGGGGCGCCCCAGCCAGGCAGTTGCTCAGAAGCACAGCTTCAGACACAGGGACCCATTCTTTCTAGAACCTTCCCAGAGGCCTGCTGCTTCCACCAGGAGGTACTTGTGATTTGTATGAGATGTGAGTTGTCCATTTCCTATTCCTCGTGACCAAATGTGTCTTTTCAATTACGGTCATTTAAAAATGAAATGTGAGTGAAGACGATGATTCTAGGGCAATGGTTGTCAACTGTGGCTGCTCTGTAGAATCATCGGAACTTCAAAAGATACTGATGCCAGCCGGGCGCAGTGGCTCACGCCTATATTCCCAGCACTTTGGGAGCCTGAGGCAGGAGATCCCTTGAGCCTAGAAGTTAAGAGACCAGCCTGGGCAACATAGTAAGACTCCATCTCTACAAACACTTTTTAAAAAT